>NC_000015.10:33579904-33882934 GCF_000001405.40 Homo sapiens | reverse complement strand
CTCTTATATTTATTTCTAATTTTCTTCCGTTTTTGTTTCTTTTGTTTGTTTGTTTGAGACAGGGTCTTGGGTCTTGTTCCGTCACCCAGGCTGGAGTGCAGTGGCATGATGTCAGCTCCACTGCAGCCTCAAACTCCTGGGCTCAAGCAATCTCCCACCTCAGCCTCCTGAGTAGCTGAGACTATAGGTGCGGGCCACTGTACCTGGGTACTTTTATTTTATTTTTTTTAAATAGAGATGAGTTCTCATTTTGTTACCCAGGCTTGTCTTGAATTCCTGGCCTCAATTGATCCTTCCACCTCAGCCTCCCAAAGTGCTGAGATTACAGGCGTAAGCCACTGTACACCCAGCCTTATTTCTATTTTTTTTTTTTAACATTTTTGCTTCTTCACACAATTATTTGATTTAAAAATCTCTTATTAATTTTGGCTCTAGAAATGTGGCAATAGAGCAATGTAGTTGACTTTCAAAATACAACAAAATTGTCTCAATATCTCCTGTGTCTCAGCTTTGATTGCATGTGTGCCAACTTCAGCATTGTTGCTGGAATAGGATGAGATGAGGCTTTTTATCATGTAAGGAAAATGTGAACTCTTCATGTACATCAGTTTTGCTACCCCCTTCCCCCTTTTAAACAGATTCCAGTAAATGCCTTCATAATAAGCAGTCATTGGATTTTGTAGGCCTAATATTTTGGTATTCTTATCTATAAAGTAGTAGAATATTATGGGATTTTTATTGTTTTTTAAGCAGGCTATGTAATAGGCACTAGCTGCTCTTCCATCTTGTTTGAGGATATTATATAAGTACACAACAAGGCCGTTCTACAATATTCTGTAAGTCAGACAGTTGTCTTTACTTGAAGAAGAGGGAAGACAGTGGTATACTCCCTTTGAGCTTCCTAGTTCTTTCTAGTTCTATTCCTTTCACTATGCCCCAATTAATTCAGGACACACAGCTGTTGAATCTTATGACTCCTAAGACACACTTCTCCATGTTTGTTCCCTTGTCAACTACAGTTGGCTGTCACTGTTCTTTTCTGGTTTTCTTCTATACCTTTTAGTCAGATCCACCATGTGTTTAGTATGTGAGAGACCAGGAACTCTTCTGGCAAACAAATAAAGCTGGAGTGGAATGGAATGTGCTGTGAATACCCCTTGCTATCTTACTTAAAGTAGGTTTCTAATTGTCCATGCATGTCCATATGTCTGGTATATAAGATATAAAAGTAGCACATTTGGTGAATCACCATACTTTGTGTGTATGTAACAACACAACGCAGAAGAATTTTGGTAATATGTTTTCTAGAAAGACTTTTAGTTCTAGGATTCATAGTTTCAGGTTTGTACACTTTCATCTTCAATGTGAGAATCAGAGTGGTTGGTATTCTATAGTAGTCATTTTACCAAGTTTACTACTTAAAATTAGCCAGGAAGATCAGTTGAGCCTCAGAGGTCATGGCTGCAGTGAGCTATGATTGTGCCACTGCACTCCAGTCTGGGTGACAGAGTGAGACCTTATCTAAAACATAATAATAAAAGTAGCCTCTAGGCCACATGCAGTGTCTCATACCTGTAATCCTAGCTCTTTGGGAGGTTGAGGTGGTGGATTGTTTGAGGCCAGGAGTTTGAGACCAGTCTGGGCAATATAGCAATACCCCATCTCTACAAAAAATAAATTTGCTGGGCATGGTGGTGTGCACCTGTAGTCCCAGAAACTTGGGAGGCTGAGATGGGGGAGATCACTTGAGTCTAGGAGTTTGAGGCTGCAGTGAGCTCTGATTGTGCCACTGCACTCCAGCCAGGGTGACAGAGTGAGACCCAATCTCCACTAAAATAAAAAAATAAAATAAAATTAGCTTCTATATTCTTTATCTGTAAGGATTTTTAAAAGCCTTCTTTAAATTGTGTTATATTTTGAAGTTTTATTCCTGAAAACAAAATGTGGTAACTTTTGTGGTATTTAGGTAACTCATTTTTCTCTAACATTTTCTTCTTTATATTCTTTATGTGTATTTTATTTTGTGTGCATCAAAGATGCCTTCATGGATGTCATTGTTTATGATGTTCCTAGTTTTTCCTGTTCTTGAAATTTTGACATGGCAAAATTATAAAATCCATGTCTCATGTCCCCAATATCTTAATCTCTGTGGATCTTTTTCAGTTAACTCTTGTTTCTTTTTTCTTTTCTCTTTGTTTTCTACTATTTTGGTCTCATCTTTTGGTAGGCCTGATCGTTTTTAATGAATATTGGACATTGTAAATTAAAAATTATAGAGATCATTGGAGGCTATTGATAGTGTCATTTTCCTCCAAAAATGATTTACTTTTGCTTGTAGGCAGAATCAGAGATTGAGCTCACTCACAGCTGGACCTCAGACTTGGTGAGGGCTGGTCAATTCCTACTTTACTCCTAACTTACAGGATGCAGTCATCAGGGGGTCCCGCCTGAAAGCCTTGGTTTTCCAAGACTCTTCCTCATCCATTGGCCCTGAACTCTAGTTTTTGTCCTCCCAGTGCTGTAAGACTAGCAGAGCTTTCTTCAGCTTTACAACCTCCTGGGTTGTTTTTTAGCCTCTCAATACCACCTTTTGAAAATTGATAAATGCCTTAGGGGGATAAGCAGCCCTAAATGTTACCCTGACCTCCTTGTTTGCTTCTCTTCTCTCCAGGAATTTCATCCAAGTCCTCACTGCCTTGGGAACTCTCATGTCTTCAGATAAGACTTTTCAGGTCTTTTTGGGTAGGGGCGCCTGGTTCCTCGTTCTCAGCAAGACTGGGGGAATAAGATAGTCATTGTTGGATTTTACCCATTTTTTGTTTGTTTGTTTGTTAAGAGGGTTTTATTTTAATGGTTGTTTTAGGGTATACAGTAAATACATAACTTACCAAAATCTACCTTCAGGTGCTATTATATATTCACATATAGTACAAAACCATTATTACATGTTCTTCACCCACCTTCGCTTTTCTGCTTTGTCATATAGTTTGCTTTTATTTTTATTGAAAATCATAATGTATTCTTATTAATTTTTCTCTGAATAGTTCTCTTTATAGACATTACTGTTCTCTTTATAGACATTACATAATACAGAGGTTTCTAATTGATCCAGGTAGCTACTGTATCTGATTTTTCATTTCTTTTTGTCAAACCACATTTCAATGTGGGATCATTTTCTTTCATTTAGGGGTGTCCTTTATCATTTCTAATAGCGAGAGTCTAATGGTGATCAATTCCGTAGGATTTCACATGTCTGAAAAAGTCTTATTTTGCCTCCAGTTTTGAAAGATGTTTCTGGTGGATAAAGAATTCAAGGTTGTTGGATTTTGCATGTTATTATTTTCGAGACATTGCTTCACTATCTTCTTTTTTTTATTTTATTATTATACCTTAAGTTTTAGGGTACATGTGCACAATGTGCAGGTTAGTTACATATGTATACATGTGCCATGCTGGTGTGCTGCACCCATTAACTCGTCATTTAGCATTAGATATATCTCCTAATGCTATCCCTCCCCCCTCCCCCCACCCCACAACAGTCCCCAGAGTGTGATGTTCCCCTTCCTGTGTCCATGTGTTCTCATTGTTCAGTTCCCATCTATGAGTGAGAACATGCGGTGTTTGTTTTTTTGTCCTTGCGATAGTTTACTGAGAATGATGATTTCCAATTTCATCCATGTCCCTACAAAGGACATGAACTCATCATTTTTTATGGCTGCATAGTATTCCATGGTGTATATGTGCCACATTTTCTTAATCCGGTCTATCATTGTTAGACATTTGGGTTGGTTCCAAGTCTTTGCTATTGTGAATAGTGCCGCAGTAAACATACGTGTGCATGTGTCTTTATAGCAGCATGATTTATATTTTACCCATATTTTTAAGTGAACATTCAGATATTAAAAATAAGTATATATAGCATGCCTTTTTTACATTACTGAATCTTGTACCAATTATATATTAATCTGTGAAATCATATGATCATTTCTAATATAGAAGTTCAGGAATGTCAAAAACAACACTGAATAAGGCATTCAGCAATTTGGACAGTTTTAAAAAAATCTATCAGATTTTAAATTCATACATCTGTCATTTACTTCATATATATTAGCAATCATATTTCATATATTCTCCCCTTTTCCTATTTTCCTACTGGATTGCTTTATTCTAATGGATTTGTGGATGTTCTTTGTATCTAATACACAAAGATCTAATATATTATTAGATTAATACGTATTCTTTGCCAATAATATGTGCTACAAACGTTACTTCTCAGCCTGTCATCTTTTGAGTTTGTTGATAATTTCTGTAATTCAAAAAAATTTTCTTTTTATGTATTAAAATTTTTTCAGTAGCCAAAATTTGCCCTACCTGCTTTCTTGTAATAGTGTTATGATTTCCTTTTTTTCTGAACACTTAAATATCTGATTCATACAAAATATGTTTTACATCTGAGAAATGAGATATTGGTAACTAGCCTAGTTTCTCACATGGCTGGTGAGTTGCTTTAACACTGTTAAAGTGATTTCTGCACAGATATCATCTGCCGCTCTTACGATATCTAAGTTTCCATATACCTGGGGCTGTTTCTAGACACTCTTCTGTTCTTATGTTTTTCACCAGTGGCTATCCATTTTATTTATTGAGACTTTTGAATACATTTTTATAATCAATAAGACAACTTCTTTACCATTTAAAAAAAAGCATATCTTCGTTTCATATATTTTAAAAAATGAATTTGAGTAATTTGGACAAATTCAAAAATCTTTTTGGGATTGAATAGTGAATTTATAGACTTCATTAGGTGAAATTGGTATCTTGATAACTGTTGAGTTTTTTGTCTTCCTTTTTAAGTTTTATTTTGTAAAGTTTCTTTTAATAAATGTTTATTCCTGATTCATTCCCAGGAATTTTTTGTATGTTATTGCTATTATGAATGAGATATTTTCTTCCATTTTGTTTTATTTATTTATTATTTATTTATTTGAGACAGAGACTTGCTCTGATGCCCAAGCTGGAGTGCAGTGGTGTGATTTTGGCTCACTGCAACCTCCGCCTCCCGGGTTTAAGCAATTCTCCTGCCTCAGCCTCCTGAGTAGCTGGGATTATAGGCGTGTGCCACCATGCTCGGCTATTTTTTGTATTTTTAGTAGAGACGGGGTTTTACCATGTTGGCCAGGCTGTTCTCGAACTCCTGACCTCATGATCCGCCTGCCTCGGCCTCCGACAATGCTGGGATTACAGGCATGAGACACCGTGACCAGTCTAACTTTTGTATTTCTAGTAGAGATGAGGTTTCACCATGTTGGTCAGGCTGGTCTTGAACTCCTGACCTCAAGTGATCCACCCTCCTCGGCTTCCCGAAGTGCTGGGATTGTAGGCGTGAGCCACCGCGCCCGGCCCCCTTTTGTTTTCTCACTGGATTTTGTTTGTGTATTAGAGAGCCATTTATTTTTTAAGATAAGTTTTATAACTGGGCCACCTTTCTGAGTCCCTTTCACTCATTGTTTTGGTTTTCCAGACACACAGCATTGTTTCTTCAGATTATCATGCTGTTGTCCCCTGCTTTTCAGTGTTGATGCCTTTTAATTCATCCTCTTTTCTAATCGCATTGGTTGCTCTTTTTAAAAAAATGTTAGATGACCATGGTGTTAGTTTATATTTTTAGGTATAATCCTGGCTTTCAGTTATTTAGATGAGAAGATTGGTGTGTTTGTTTCTTTAATTTAAAAAGAAGAAAAAACAACCCACAACTCTGTTGGTTCTTTTCCTCAGTTTCTCTGTTTGGCTTTTTAGGAAGTTAGGAAACTTTATAAAACTGCTTTATTTCTTCTTAAAGTTCTTTCTTTGCTTAGTAATGAAAGTATTTGACTTTAACTTTTTCTCTGAGAACAACCACTTATTTCTTATGGATTGGTTTATATTAATTTATTACTCTTTTCTGTATTCTAATTCTACAGTTTTAGTTCTGTTTTTTTCTGATCAAAAAGTCATGTGGGAAGGAGATTAAATTTATAAAAATGTGGGGAGCTTTTACTTTTGTGGTTAATTTCTGCTTGCTTACATCAGTGAATATGATTTGTATGGCTGCTACATTTTAGAATTAATTTTTTCTTGGTCTTATACAGTCCTTTTTAAAAATTAGTGTTACATTGATATTTATAAAGTAAGTACACACACCTATCAAAATATGTTTGACATTCTGACCAGGTGATTTTTGGAGTGACAGTAGAGGCTGATAACCTCTTCTAAAGAGAAAGTTTAAGTCTGTTGTGGTATGCACATATACACATGTATATCCACAAATACAAGGTCTTATTAATTATATTATTCAGAGGCTTTATGTAATAATTTTTTTTTTTTGAGATAGGGTCTCACTCTGTCACCCAGGCTGGAGTGCAGTGGCATGATCTTGGCTCACTGCAACCTCCGCCTCCCGGGTTGAAGCGATTCTCCTGCCTCAGCCTCCCAAGTAGGTGGGATTATAGGCACGTGCCACCACGCCCAGCTAATTTTTGTATTTTTAGTAGAGACACGGTTTCACTATGTTGTCCAGGCTGGTCTTGTACTCCTGACCTCAAGTAATCCACCCGCCTCAGCCTCCCAAAGTGCTGGGATTACAGGTGTGAGCCAGTGTGCCTGGCCTATGTCATAACTTTTTGAGGGATCAAATTTATTTACCAATGACTAAGAGTAGTGATTTTATCCTTTTTTCTTGGTCCTTTTGCCTTACATTTAATCTTATCAAATGTTAACATTGTCATCTGTGTGTTTTGTAATTTTGGAAATGGAGTTGGAGGTATGTTCCAGTTTTATCCTTGCCTCTCCCTTTGAGTTTGAGCACTTCAGAAATGGCACTTTTGCTCTAGCAGGGAAATTTAGAGAACTGAGAGTTTCCGTTGGCTTTTGCATAAATTTTTTTTTTTTTCCTATTCCTAGGGGACTCATTCTCACAGTTCCGGTTTGCTGAGGAGAAAGAATGGGATAGTGAAGCTTCTTGTCCAAAACAGGTAAGATAAGAGTTGTGTTAAGTGTGGACTGGCTCTTCTTCAAGGCTGAAGGCTAACACCTTTTACGTTCTTGAGATAGAGTCTTCATGTAGAAAAGAGTAGTAATTCTTACAGTGTACCCTCAGCTAAACTTTTCAGAAAATTTTCAGGGGGCTGAAATTCCACAGGTCCTTGAAGCTAGAGTTCACCTTTCTACCTGGCCATCTGTGTGAATTATGCAGCCCACATGGACGGGGTCTCGAGGTAGAAACTTGATAGCCGTGATTTTGACAGAGTGGATTACTTTGCCATTTGGTCTTCCTCCTTTGCCACGCTTTGACAATTCCCTTGAGAGTTGAAAATTAGTTTTCTGTCTCTCACTGTTTTTGGTGTTAGGTTGAGAAAACCCTTAACCTTGCAGCTTTAAATAACACTTCTCCTACAATTAGGAGAATAGAAGTATAAAATAAGGGCAAATATTATAGAAGTCTTTCAGCAAGTCTCTCAACCCCAAATGCCTTATTTTCTTTGTGTGTATGTAATATTTTCTTCCCAAGGAGTTCTGATTATTTTCCAAGCAGGCTTCCTCTAATTCTTTTCATATAAGAGATGACAGATATTCTCCCCCTTTTAGGATGCACATAGGGACATAGTGGTGACTTGTGATATGCTCCCCAACTCCAGGCCTAGAGCATACTGTCTGATAAACTGATTACCATCTGCCCCCAGCTTCAGAGAGGTGGCTGAAGCTGCAGACCCGAAGCCCGTAGGCACTGTCCTCCCTGTTCTGCTCCCACATCAGCGTATGTGCTGTGGGTGGCTCGTTTGATCTGTGGGCTGGTTTTAGGCTCAATTGTTTGGGATGGCCTTTGACGCATACGGATTACGAGGAGGGGAGTCTCTTAGAAAATGACTGCCTGGCACTTTACAAAGAACGTGTTATATATGCCATAGAAAAAGGTGAGAATTACAAATATTTGTCTTTGCTTAAGTCTGGGCCTACGCCTGAGGTACTGTTTAGTATTCTAGGACACATCGAAGATAGATTGTTGAGGAATATGGTAGAAGCCGAACAATTTACATTTCATCTCCTTTTGAACCATACTGATTACCAAAGAATATTTCAAGTAGCTTCAGAGTTTCAAATAATTCTAAGCTTCGTCATTCATCAAAACATAGAGCACTTGTTTACTAAATGTTTTTATTAAATGGAGCTTATTCAAAGTGAATGAGACAGACCATGCCTGTTCATTGCTCTAAGCCCCTTACCTGGGCACACTCGGTGACCTGTAGTCTGTAGTATGGTAGATGCTCAGTAGATATTTACCTAATACATGAAAAAGAATACAACCTAAAATAAGGGGTGTGATGAATGAATTAACAATACTGAGAGAGATAGCTACTTTGCACTGGAAGTGATTAGAATTGGTACCATGGGGAAAAGATCATTTGAACGGGTCTTGGTGGACAAGTGTGACTCTGGTAGGTCCTGTCTGAGGAAACAACATGAAAATGGTAAGATCAGGAAAACGAGGTTATGCTCAGAGAAGGGTGTGGCCAGAGTGTAGTATTCCCAGAGGAGGAGGCCTCAGGGGCAGGTGTGGGCTAGTTAGTACCAGCAGTTTCAGACCTGAGTGTGAATTCTAGATCTGAGACTTGGGCAAACTTTTTCCTTCTCTATTGCTTCACCTGTAAAATGGAGGTAATAACAAAATATAACTCAGAGTTATAAGAAGGACTAAATTAGATAATAAATAAAAAGCCCTTGAGTGCAGTTCCTGATGCATATGAAACACTCAAAATGAGCTCTTTTATTACTAATATTATCTGTTAACAAAGTTTTGTTTAGCAAGAACATGGAAATGGTTAGATCTAACTTCAGCAGTATTGGGAAGGATGGGGAGGGATTGAACGGATGAGATGAGAGGTTAGAGGCAGGGAAACCGATTAGGAGGATGTGATGTTGGACGAATGGGAAAGAACGAGAGCCTGAGAGGGTCAGGCAGTGAGCGTGGGACAGGGGTTACTCATAGACAAGACTTGAGTGGAGGATGGGGTCAACTGTGCTCACTGGCCAGATGTGAGACACAAGGACAAGAAAGATTTGCAATGGCACTATGCTTTCTAGCTTGAGTAACTAGGTGAGTGGTGATGCCATGAATGGAAAAAAATAAGAGCAGAAAGAAGTTAAGTTTGATTTTGAACAGTTCGAGTTGGAGGTGTTGGTAGGACATGGCTGAAACTGAATTCATTTCACCATCAAAACGATTTCCTGTCTGACTTAACTCCTCACTAAATTTTCTTCCTTGTTGATGTAAGAGAAAAAACTGGATATATATAATATATAATACGTATTATATATAATTATATGTAATATATAATACGTATATTATATATTGAGTGCATATATATAATATATATTATATGTTGAGTGTATATATATATTATATATTATATATATGTACACACACACATATATGTAATTTGTTGTTCCTTATACCATCCCATGTCCTCAGTGTGACCAGTGACGCAAGACAATAGAGAGGGGGCGGGCGCAGTGGCTCACGCCTATAATCCCAGCACTTTGGGAGGCCGAGGTGGGCAGATTACCTGAGGTCAGGAGTTCGAGACCAGCCTGGCCAACATGGTGAAACCCTGCGTCTACTGAAAATACAAAAATTAGCTGGGCGTGGTGGGGCACGTCTGTAATCCCAGCTGCTTGGGAGGCTGAGGCAGGAGAATCGCTTGAACCAAGAAGGCGGAGGTTGCAGTGAGCCGAGATCGTGCCATTGCACTCCAGCCTGGGCAACAGAGAGACTCCATCTCAAAAAAAAAAAAAAAAAAAAAAAAAGAAAAGGAAAAGTAGAAATATGTTTTGTCTTTGCAGTTAAAGGGAGTGGGAGTTTGATAGGGAGACATGTCCAAAATCCTCAAGGGAATCCTGGCAGGAGAGGGACCGGGCGTCACGGCTTGGACTTGGCGTTCGTTGCTCTGTGGCTGATACGCAGGGTGAAGGGACACAGGTCGGCGGTCAGGGTGCTCTGATCTAGCTATGTTGGCCTCCATGACCACAGGGGTGTCGGTCTCTTAGATCCACAAGTGGGATTCTCATACCTTTCCTTTGGACAGGGTGGGTACCATGTAAAGAGAGGATGAGTGGGAAGGTAATTTCCCTGGGTGAACAAACAGATTTATTATTTTTTAAATCACCTAAGTTTTTAAAATTCCACATTAAATTTCTGTTGACATGGTGACTTATCCAGTAGGACTTCCTTGGGCAATATACTGGCTGCTGAGCAAACTGCTGGCTGCTGAGCAAACTGCTGGCTGCTGAGTGATATGCGGCCGTTCCTGAGGGCCTGGCTTTTAAAGGCACAGATTCCCGGCTCCCCCCACGCCACCCAGAGAGTTCAGTTCTGTGGGTGAGGCCTGTGAACCTGTATCTTAAAAAGCTGCCCAGCTTATTACTCCACCATACCATGTACACATGGTCTCTGGGCCCCAGGCTCATATGGACAGTAATTGCTGTAGATTCTGAGGAGGATGTAATAGTCTGATTGAAGGGTATGTTTTTTAGCTGCAAAGTGAAGTATATAGCGGGTTCTTTTCTTACTAAAGAGTGTGCCTTTATACAGATACTGGACACTCAGAGTCTTATGATTCCTGGCCAGAGAGGAAGCTTCAGGCTTGCAGATTCTCAGCACACAGACAGGGTCCTGTGCACACTGATGGCAGAGAAGTGGGACAGAAAGGCTTTGTCCTACAGTCAGGACTGGCTCCCCTCTCCCCAGCACTGGAGTGTCTCCTTTCTCTTTACACCCCACCCCCATAGCATCCTTAGTGGGTGTTGTCTGCTCCTGTCTGCAGCCAGATGTCGTAGGCCAGGCCCTCTACTTCAACTGCCAAGTGGCTGCCAGGGTTGACCAGGCTGACATGGGAGCTGGGTTACCCAGGCAAAAATAATGCACCGAATACTTTAAAACATGTACAAAATGCTGATTTATTATTATTCCAATTAAACCTATTTTTAAAATTCACAGTTTAGTATTAAAAGCAATTCACTGCAGCTAACTTTATATCTAAGGCCTTCTTCAGCTTTAGCCCTTTATGGGGCAAACTGGTGACCAAAAAAGAAAGCCTTCTTACAAAGTGGCTTTTTTTTTTTTTTTTTGAGGAGACTAGCTCGTTTGAAACCTTCGCAACACCTGTCAGTCCCTTCTCACTGCCTAAATAGCCCTTTCCTCTTCTGAGGCCAGCAGTCTGAATTTAGAGAAGAGATCAGGTTAGATTTCATTAAATGCTTGCTTTTCTTTCAGCTTGTCAGTCATTGCAAAAGCCTCCACCGTTTCCAGGTTACTGGACAGTCTTTTTTTTTTTGAGATGGAGTTTCACTCTTGTTGCTCAGGCTGTTTTGCAGTGTTGCGATCTCGGCTCCCTGCGGCCTCTGCCTCCCAGGTTCAAGCGATTCTCCTGCCTCAGCCTCCCGAGTAGCTGGGATTACAGGCATCAGCCACCATACCCAGTTAATTTTTTGTATTTTCAGTAGAAACAGGGTTTCACCATGTTGGCTAGGATGGTCTCAAACTCCTAACCTCAGGTGATTCACCCGCCTCGGCCTCCTGAAGTGCTGGGATTACGGGCATGAGCCACTGCGCCCAGCCTGGACAGTCTTGATGGGAGGATGATCATTGCCCTGTTGTTGCTCTGACAGTGTGAGCTGTGGCTCAAGAAGGTAGCTTTGGTTTTACTGATCATAATGTGGAGATGCAGAAACTCTAACACATAAGTGTGATGTATGGTGTGACTTATTCCTAGCCAAATGTAACTCCAGTGGATTATTTACAGTTTCTTCTTTTATTTCCAAAAGGTCATAATCATCACCTGATATTTTATTTTCTTTTATATATATATATAGAATTCAGCATTTTATGTGGATAGTGAGTTATTGGTTCGAGCCCTTCAAGAGCTGCCTCTCTGCCTCCGACTCAACGTTGCTGCCGAACTGGTCCAGGTAAAAATCCCGAAGCCCTCTTGAAGCGGGTGGATTAGGGCAGGAGGAGAAAAAGAGGGGAACACTTCCCTCAGCAGGATGTCTCAGTGTCAGCTTCCCTTTATAAAAGTGAGGGTTTCATATCAAGGTAGCATTTTGTAAAGTTTAAAGGAGAATCCAAAAATTTTTTGAAGTTACTTTTTTATATTTTATATTTGAAACATTTTAAAGGATCAAATGTAGTGGAATTGAGTGAAATGTAAAATATAAAGTCTGGCTATTTTACTCAAAATATTTACGCATCACGCTCTATGTTCGGCACTAGGGACACAGTGGTGAACAGACAGATGTCGTTCCTGCCTTTCTGGAACTTAATCTATTGGGAAGGATGAATATTAATCAAATAGTCACACAAACATATACAAATTGTAATACATCCTGTGAAGTACAGTGTGCTTTTAGAGTAAATCAGTTTCTGGTGTGGTGTGGTTAGGAATGGCTTTCTGAAGCAGTGATAGATGAGCTGAGGTCTAAAGCATAAGGACATTTGAGCTGGCATTTAAACGAGAAAGACCCAGTCAGCTTTGCGTTAATAAAAACGATGGGGCTGCCAAGTAGAGAAGACTGTGGGATTGGAGTGCATGTGTGGGGGTAAGTCTGCATGTGCACATACACATGCACAGAGCAGGTGAGGGAGGCACATGGGGAGGCTGTTGTACAGGTGCAGGTGAGTAGTACTGTAGCTTGGACTACAGTAATGACGGTGGAGATGGCAGAGGAGAGGGCTGTACTGAGGTACTTCAAAGGTACAATTAACAGGATTTGACGGTATATTGGAAATTGGGAGAGAGTGGTCAAGAAAAAATTCAAGACTTTGTAGATTGTGCAACTCAGTGGTAGGATCAGGAAGGGTGAGTTTTGGACTTTATGAGTTTGTGCCTCTGAGATATCCAAGTGGAAATAACAGTCAACTGAATGCTGAACTTTATAGTTCTACATCAAGGGCTAGAAATACAAATTCAGGAGATAACAGGATGAAGTGATAATTGATGAACTAAGAGAGGGGGAGGCCCAAAGATTATGCCATGAAGAACTTCAACATTCTGGCACGATCAAAAAAAAAAAAAAAAGTGAAACCTTGGGACGTACTGATTTTAAGTAGAATCCTAGCAACTGAAATTATCAACTTCCTTCTGTGGGTGAATGTGATGCTAAGCTTGAGCATAGTAATGAATTGGTTACCCATTCATTTGCTGTATAGCATTTACTAGTCTAAAATTTGGGACAGCAGGCAGAGTTCAGGGATGGAGGACAGTTAGGGACAGGGTAGAGAACTAGAAAGAATTACATTTGCCTCTGATGGGGGATTGCCCTGGGGGTTCTTTGGAAACATTTGGGGGTGTTTGGGAGAGCACTAGTGGCTCTTCTGCTGATGTCCAGTGATGTTCAAAGTTCTGAAGTGCTTGGCTTGATCTCATATGATGAGGAATGTTTAGCAGAACTCACCAGGGAAATGCTGAGATAAAGGATTCAGGACTCAGGACAGAGAGGAAGTGGTTGTGAGTGTTTGAAGTGAAGGTTGTAATGTCAGTGGCAGGCATTAAAGGTATAAAATAATTATGTGACATTGAAATCCTGGCTAAATCACTTAGAAACATTTCTCCCCCACCCATGCTGTAGAGCAGTATTCTCTACCTTGTTTGCACATTAGAATCACCTGGGGAGTTAAAAACAAACAAAAACAAGGCCAGACACCCACCCCAGAACAATTAAATGACTCTAAGATTAGAATAGAGGACCATGTCCCAGCTTTGCCCTGTACAACTGACTGACTCTGCTGGATATTTATTCCTGTTTGTATATAAAGCCATACCGTCTTACATGTCTGCTCAGGATGTTTATGTAAAAATAAGGGGTCAGGACCTCCAGTAGAGGTTGAACTTCTGAACCTGCCCACTGTGAGGCCTTGCTCATCCCTGGAGCCTTCCCTCGAGAGCGGTGATTCTCAGCCTTAGATTATAACCTTGTATTACAATCACCGGGGGAGTTTGTAACTTTTATTAAAGTATAACATCGATTCAGAAAAGTGCACATGTAAGTATACATGGAATGAGCATCCGGATAAAGACTTAGAATATTGTCAGCACCTCAGAAGCCACCATTCATACACACTCCACGTCACTCTCTCCCCAAAAGGCACTCGCTCACCTAACTTCTAATACCGTAGCTTTTGAACTTTTTACAAATACAATCATCAAATAGTGTATTTTCTTTTGTGTCTGGCATTTTTTACCAAGGAGAGTCTTGGTGAATTTGTTACTGCACCTTTATATTAGTGCACTTAAATACAATGAACAGATCTGATTTGCTAATTACTTCCTGGTGACTTTTTTTTTTTTTTTTTTTTTTTTGAGACGGAGTCTCATTCTGTTGCCCAGGCTCGAGTGCAGTGGTACAATCTCAGCTTACTGCAAGCTCCGCCTCCCAGGTTCACGCCATTCTCCTGCCTCAGCCTCCCGAGTAGCTGGGACTAGACACTCTCCACCACTCCTGGCTAATTTTTTTGTTTTTTGTTTGTTTGTTTGTTTGTTTGTTTAGTAGAGACAGGGTTTCACCATGTTAGCCAGGATGGTCTCAATCTCCTGACCTCATGATCCACCCACCTTGGCCTCCCAAAGTGCTGGGATTACAGGCATGAGCCACTGCGCCTGGCCACTTCTTGGTGACTTTTTATAGATGTTCATGTCTTAATACAGATTTAAGTGTAAAGCCAAATAGACCTATGGTACTGGCAGTTTTCAGGCCAGGGCTAGGAAGACATGGATCTTTTCATTCCAAATCTGAGCTAGTTAGCACATGGTCAAGGTAGGGAGAGTGGGAGGCACAGTGCTGGCATGTTTCAGTGAGGTCTCCCACATTTACCCCAGATGTCAGGAAGGGTGCCCCCACCAGGGCCTGGAAAGGAGCCACTTTGTGAACTATCTGAATTGAGTTTCCTCTGTCACAAAGTTTGATGGCTTCGTTTAGCCTCCTATGTATTTACTTAAGCCAATATGGCAAGACTCACATTTTTAACTCAGTTTTTATACTTCTCTTTCAGGGTACAGTTCCTTTAGAGGTTCCTCAGGTGAAACCAAAGAGAACTGATGATGGCAAGGGATTAGGGATGCAGTTAAAGGGGCCCTTGGGGCCTGGAGGAAGGGGGCCCATCTTTGAGCTGAAATCTGTGGCTGCTGGCTGCCCTGTGTTGCTGGGCAAAGACAACCCAAGCCCGGGTCCTTCAAGGGATTCTCAGAAACCCACTTCCCCACTGCAGTCAGCAGGAGACCATTTGGAAGAAGAACTAGATCTGTTGCTTAATTTAGATGCACCTATAAAAGAGGGAGATAACATCTTACCAGATCAGACGTCTCAGGACCTGAAATCCAAGGAAGATGGGGAGGTGGTCCAAGAGGAAGAAGGTATGGCTTTCATTTTATTCCCCGTGAATCTTGATTCTGGTGTTTTTTCAAGAACAGCCCCGCCCGCATCACATCCGCACACATCCCTCTGGGTGTCTGACATTGATCCAGTGTTGTCCACTGACATCTATTTCTGTGCTCACGTCTCTGCTTCCCCCTGAGCTGACCTTTCTGACAACCTTCCTCTCACGCGACACACCAAGCTTCCAAAGCTGCTACCTGCCTGACTGCAGTAGAAACCTGGGGCTGCAAATGGAATTTCCGCTATCAGAAGGCATTAGGATACCTGTAGCCTTCAGCTTTTTGGCAGTGGCCCTTTTAATCGACTGACAGGCCACCTCTTCATACCTTTTTCTTGCTATTTCTGTCTTATATTTTGACAAAAGAACACCACATTCTGATTTCTGCATGTCCTGTGAGATAGTGGCCCATCTGATGTAGAGGGGCCTAAGGTGATTGCCACATGCATGTATTACATTTGAGATCCTTTAATTTTCCAGGACTGCTGCAATAATAATAGTAAAAAGGAAACTGAGCTGTTGGTCTTTGAAAAAAAAACCAACTAGCAAGGTGTGAAGTTCAACTTCAGAATAAAGAGCAAATCCTCTACCCAGCTTTATTTGTTTAGATATTACTGTATCATCTTAGGGAGTAAGAATAATGAGAATGTTTCCCCTTGTTGTAAGGAAAGTAATAAATTGGGCTGAATTATACCTTCAATTTTAGGACTCATCTGAGGGTGTTAACATTGTTTTTTTTCCCCCAGTTTGTGCAAAACCATCTGTGACTGAAGAAAAAAACATGGAACCTGAGCAACCAAGTACCTCCAAAAATGTTACCGAGGAAGAGCTGGAAGACTGGTTGGACAGCATGATTTCCTAAAAAGGGGAAAAAAAGTGCCTGAAGCAAATCTTGGTTGCCTTCTAACGGCAGGTGGGCATAAGGCTGTCCTTCAGGACCAGCCAGTTTACAAGCATGTCTCAAGCTAGTGTGTTCCATTATGCTCACAGCAGTAAATGCCTACCTCTGTGTTTGACATCTGAAAGAATACATTGAAGCAGCTTGTTGCATTTGTTTTTCTGGCTTAGTAATCTAATAGATTTCCTTAAGGGCAGGAGATAGACTCTGGCCCTTGTTTCTAGCCTCCTTCCTTGCAGTGTTTACAACATAGCCAGTGTTTACAGCATAGCAGATGCTGCTGCTGATTAAGAGAATAGATGCAAACAAGGCATGCATTTGGCCAAAATAAACAAATGCTGGTCTGTCCAGTTTTCCTTTCCTTTCTTGTGTGGGGCCCTGGGCAATTCGTCTCATGTCCCCTTTCCCAGCAGTCACAGAGTGGTTGTAGAATCAACCAGAAGTGGTACATTCCAAGAGTCCAGACCCTGGAGGTATTGGTACGTATTACTTTATTGCAGTGGGCACTTCATTGTATTTGAGGAGATTCACCTAAACAGAGCAGCTCCACTACTTACAAGGGACCATAAAGCATTACTCCATTTTGGCATAAGGTTGAGATTTTTTTTCTGAATTTTCAGTACAGTACTTTTCTTCTAATAACAGCAGTTGACTGACAGCTGTTACTAAAAAAACTTGTATGAATAACCTTCAAGTGCAGTTTCATAAAGTAAGACGGAAGATCACAACTAATGAATGGAACTGTCCTTCTGGAACACAAACATAAAAAACTTGCATAGCTATGTCTAAAGAGGTTTTAAGGCACTTAATCGATATTTCAGTGTCGACAAAGTGTCGGTTTTTTTCTGTTTCTTTAACTGCTTAAAGCTTTTCTGGATACAGTCACTAGCAAGTACCATGGGAAAAATTAGACTGCAGTTATTATCTTTTGGAGTGAGTTCAGACCCTATGAGTCACAAGTTGGATACCATGATGACATTCAAGTGTTTAAATTTTCAGGTATTACACATTCGAGATTTCATACTTCTCTAGCCCTTTCCTTCATGCTTCCATCCCAACAAACTGAACTAGTTACCTCAGAACTGGAAAACTTGAAGGCATTTGCCTAGAGATTACTTGATTCTTCGCCTTCCTTCTTCGACATTTTGACAGGTTCTCTCCCACAGTGTATGTCCATTAGGCACAAAAAGCCAAATCAATTTCAAAATAGCACAGATTTTCAGCAGTTTTTTTTTTAAGGGAGGCATTTAGAAAATGTCACATTTCAGATATGTTGCAGAACTGTAAAAAGGGGACTTTATTTCATGGGAAGTTGACTGTCCAGAATTGTCGCGCTTCTTTGATTCAGATTTATCCAAGCTGATCTTCATATTGTTTACGAAAGCAGTCACCGGCTGGGAAGAAATCCCAACACCTTTCTTGGTACATCTTCCAGACATAAGATTCCTGAAATAATATGAACAACGGGTGCTTATTTTTAAACCACAGTAAAAGCTAAAACCCAGTTTGTTTTTGTTCTTTGTGGCTCCCTTTAGGAAGACTGATGTGAATTTATATGAGGCCAAACCTGCACATTCATTCTTGCTCTATTCCCAGCACAGGCTGTTTGGGAAGCAAGAAGCCATGTCTCTCTGACACATGCTGGCAGGGAAGGAGAAAAATCCCCCTCTGCCCCAAACAAGCAAAACTGAAACCAATCAATGTTTGCCACTAAACATACTTAAAGATTTAGCAATAAGCTGATTCCATGCCGCTGGTGGAAGACGGAGGAATGCTTGAGGGAACGTTTATTGCATGCTGAATCCAGAGCTGGAAACCAGGTACCTCTCCCATTGAATGAGTGAACTGTAAAGTTTTCCTACAAAGCCAATGATGTTTGAATATTTGATAACTGACTTTTTCCTCCCTTGTTCTCTACCTTTCCATTTCTTTTTCACATTTAGTCACAAAATTTGACACATCCTTTCACTCATCCTCTCACATGCACACCTCCAGGCTCCTGTGTCACCCACACATGAGGTCGTTATCTTTCTTAGCCTGTCTCTCACTCCGTTGTACTCTGATTTTTCTGCTCTTTGTTGCAGCCACCCACTCCATTTCTTATTGTCAGACAATTTCTTATTTCATATTGTCTCTGTAATGTTCTCCCCACCTCCAGCTCTTCTAGTCTGAAGCAGTAGCTATAAGCATTTAGAAAATGTCAGTGTTTGTTGGGAAGGATAAACAGGAGGACTTTGGCTTCTTATTGAGTCACAAAAAGGTGATGGGAAAATGCATTCACGGGATTAATGGGGCCATGTATGTATTTCAGATAACCTATGCCCTACTAAGTCTCAAGATTTAGGAAAGGGAGATCTAACACGGGTATATGATTCTTAATTTCTCACCTGACCCGTGTGCTCTGTTTCATCTTTATTAATCAAATACATCAGAAAGAACCTGGAACGAGGAAAAGATAGTATTAGATACTCTGGTCAAGACCCAAGTTCATTCGCATGGATTAACTGTGATCAGGGCTCAGAAAGGCTAGTTGGTCCCACGCTATCTACAGTGACTTAAATGATCAGGGAAGTGTGGCATAAGGACACAAACCATCATTTTCTAATAGTAGCACACATGAATCTCAAAATTAGCCACTTTGTGAGGAGAGATGCTTTTTGCCATCCCTATACCTTGAACTAAGTAAGATCACTTGCAAGGTAGCATTTTGGCCACCATTTTATTGTTAACAAAATTCTAATAAAACAATAAAATGGTAGCCCAAATTCTTACCATAGAATATTTAACAGGCCATTTATCATCTCATAAAAATGTAGAATTGAATTGAAATTAATTATGTGTGTGTCTCAAGAATATCTGTCATGGAAAAGTTAGAAAGTATTTAATCTCATGGAGATTCTTCCAGAACTATAGTTTTGTTTTCATCATAAATAGCTGCGGGAATGCCAGTGTAGTTTCACTTGCTCTGTGATCCATATCTTAGGTTTGAGTTTGTCTGTGACACATAAGTATCCCAGGGGGCAGGGGCTGAACTCTCAGCTCACATTATATGATCTCAGAGACCGTTTCCAAAGGAACCAGGCTCTTGCCCTTCCGGAAAAGGATTGTGAAGTTGGTGATATGAGAAAGTAGAAATTATGTCCTTCTGAGGGTGGAGAGTCTAAGCCCCAGATCTTGAGTTCTGTCATGGTGGTATAGTGTATAGAGCGTCAGGTCCTGGCCCACAGTAGCAGCTCTAAGTATGTTCACTGCCTTTCCGCTTCTCATTTACTGAGAAAGACAGTAGGGTTAATCTCTTTATCCTGTTTGATACGTAGGGGCTGAGGACATCATTCCTTGCCCAGCACATTTATTTAACAAAGCACCATTTTAGGTGGGAGGCTCAAACACGAATAAAATTGGGTTCTTTCCCCTCAAGCTTGCTCCTAGAGGGGATAGAGATAGGAAAGAGACCAGTGTAACAGTGCCATGGGAAGGCACAGAAGGGGTTCCAACCCAAAGGACAGCATCCTTCCACTGGTCTATAACCCATGGGTACAGACACGTGGCCATGGGCTCATTAACCTCCATTAAGATGTATATTCTCTTAATGGGAATTGATGATAAATACTCATGAGGAAGGGCACAGTAAAGTTATCTTTTTAAAACTCAAGTTTTTGAGGCCGGGTGTGATGGCTCACGCCTCTAATTCCAGCACTTTGGGAGGCTGAGGCCAAGGCAGGTGGATCACTTCAGGTCAGGAGTTTGAGACCAGCTTGGCCAACACGGTGAAACCCTGTCTCTACTAAAAATACAAAAATTAGCCCAGGATGGTGGCAGGTGCCTGTAGTCCCAGCTACTCAGGAGGCTGAGGCAGGAGAATCACTTGAATCCAGGAGGTGGAGGCTACAGTGAGCCAAGATGGCGCCACTGCACTTCAGCCTGGGTGACAGAGACTGTCTCAATAAATAAAAAAACAAAACTCATGTTTTTGACTTAAACTCATCCCCCAGCAAAAACATGTTATCTTTGCCACTTCTGACAATGCCTTCTCCAAAGGCTGAGCCTGCTCTAGCCTAAAGAAAGATGAGGGCTCAGCCCAGTGGCTCACACCCGTAATCCCAGCACTCTGGGAGGCCAAGGTGGGTGGATAGCTTGAGCTCAGGAGTTCGAGATCAGCCTGGGCAATACAGCAAAGCCCCTTCTCTACCAAAAAAAAAAATTAGCTGGTGCTAAATTAGTGGTACACCTGTCCCAGCTACTCAGGAGGCTGAGGCGGATGTCTTGAGCCTGGGAGGTGGAGGTTGCAGTGAGCCAAGATCATACCACTGCACTCGAGCCTGGGCAACGGGGTTGAGACCCTATCTATCTCGAAAGATGAGGACTCTCTAAGCTACAAAATAGAGAGAGAAGGGGGAAGAGCTAGGCTGGGGAGCAGAGCCCAGCATTTTATTTTTTTTCTTGTAAATGAACAGTTACAGGGTCTGAGTTATCAGGTAATAAAATCTATACACTCTATACATTCTGTTTTAAGTTTTATAGGAAGTCCCTAGCACCCAATAGGTTCAAGTAACTTGTTATTCAGTGAATGCTTTACCGTAGAATAAGTGAAACACTTATTAGTTGCCTACTGGGTGCCAGGCATTGTTCTAGGTACTGGGATAAAGCAGTATGAGGCTGGGCACAGTGGCTCACACCTGTAATCCTAGCACTGAGAGGCCGAGGCAGGCAGATCACCTGAGGTCAGGAGTTCAAGACCAGCCTGGCCAACAAAAACAAAAAAAGGCAGTATGAAAACAGACATGCCCAAAAATATCCCAGGTCATGGGGCTTAGCTATTAATGAGAAAAGACAGACATGATGAGGCCTGAAAACTGAACACAGAATTTAGCAACATGCAGGTTACAGGCCCCTTTGACAAGACCCAATATTATGATGTAGTGGGAGGAAAGCCTGCCAGTAGGAGGTTCACAGGAGAATGAAAAGAGAAAAATTGAAGACAGTGACTGAGCATGGACAGCTTTCAATTGTGCTGAAAGGGAAAAAGAAGTAGGGCAATAGTTGGAAGTAAAAGTGGGGCCACAGATTTTTCTTTGTTTAGGATTAAAAAAAAAAAAGCATATTTATATGGTGATAGAAGAAGTCCAGTAGAGAAAGAGAAATTGCTGGAGGTATGTGTCCCGGATGGAATCCAATCACAGGTTGAGGGGCTGGCCTTTTGCTAGGAGCGGGAATTGTCCACAACACACGTCTATCACACATGGGAGAGACAGAGTCTATGGACAAAGGTACAGGCTCATGGGGACTCCTGGAAGTTCCTTTCTGGTTACTCTTTTTCCAGCAGAGACTGAACTATATGACCTAATTGGCTTTATTTACGCTACAGCTGCCATTACTTTTGTTAACCAAGAATACTCACAAGTAGTTGGCTAAGTTGTGCTCTTGTAATGTATGTGTTTCAAAACCATGAGGGGTTGTGTCAAAGTAGTCATTGCCAATCCCACAGATGAAACATTTAGTCTAAGAAAAATAACAGGCAGAAAAGGCATTTGTTGGCATAATATAGGCAGGAGAGAAAACTGTCATGATTCTATCGAATTGAAGGATAATGAAAACTTTCTTTCTAATGCTTTTGGCTATTAGTCATTCACTCAGTAGTGCCATACATTGGCTATTAGTCATTCACTCAGTAGTGCCATACACTTAGCTCCTGATTAGCTGAGGATACTGCTCCCTCCTATTGTGGGACAGTGGAGGAGGCAGCAGAGTGGCCGGCCTGGCAGGGGTATGGCAGGGTGCAGAGAACAGGGCATGGAAAACAAACTGCGTTCTTGCTTAGTACTGGCCCTAAGTAATAGTAAAACCTATTGTTTAAAAAATCTATTTGCTTCTGGGGATATTAAAATAGAGCTGGGATTAGTAGTTAGAGTAACATTACCTCCATATCTTCTCGTACTTGTTCCTGCTGGTCTCTTAGCTCTCCGAAAGCATCAATAATAAGACCTGGAATGTTAAATACAAAGACAAAGCAATCTGTGTAGTGGTTCAGGGGTAGAGGAATGATAAAGGAAGAAGCTACTTTGTTCTGTTAAAAAAAAAAAGTGAATTATCAAAGCAAAATTAGAAAAATAATACTCGTGTTTCTTTGTGTTACATCCTGGCTAACAATTTCTCATTGTTCCTCCTAACTCTACCTTTCTACACCATGCAGTGCTGTTAACTACTTGCTCCTCCCTGAAACTCTTTCCTTTCTACTTCTCCCTGGTTGGTCTCCTATTTTGCTTAGCTATTTGTGTTCAGTCTGTGTGATAGGCTCTCCCTCTTCTCCTAGCACCTCTGACACTGAGGTGGATCAGGGTTCCTCCTCAGTTACTTCACTTCTTAGCCCTCAACACCTGCATGTCTTACAGGTTCCTCCACTCAGCATGACTCAAGCTAAATTTATCATCTTTCTCCAATCTTGACAAGCTGTTGACTAAAATATCATTCTTTCCCTCCCCTCCCCTGCACTGTCCAGCTCCTCTGCTCCTACCCTACCTCCCTCTCTGGGAAGAAAATGAAGAGGACAAGACTAGCCACAGGAGAGATCTCAGAAGCAGAAGTGAGGAGTAAATAATTCAGAGTAGAGGAACAGAAGGAAGGGGTTCCTCTGTATGGATGAAGCTTCTTATAACTGTGCCTGGGTGTGTATTTGGCTTTATATATAGCCAAAGCCTCAGGTATAGTAGATGCTAAATTAGTTCTTGCTAAATTAACAAGTAAATGAATTCACACGCTTCTTCATAAACCAATTAAGTCATAGATGGAAGAAAGCAAAAAGAACTAGATTAAACCCTGTTCATACTCAACACAATTGGCAATCATACCTTGAATGATGGCCAGCAAGATGACAATGACGAAGAAGAAAAAGGTAATGTCAAAGACAATGCGATACATTTCATAAGGATCACCAGCAGGGTCTTCAATTTCATCACCAATGCCACCTCCTGCTCTCACTCCCACGTACATGTGGAAAAGGTAACACTAGAGAAGAAAAATAAGGGGGATTTAGGCAAAAGTCACAGTTCTGTTTTTAGCAAGATGCTCAGATCATTCATATGATTCGGTCAGATTGTGGCAGCCCTAAGCCACGAGAGGGGAACTCTTCAGAGGTGCCAGTATTCATGCTGCTAGCTGCTGTCCACTGCACCCTCTGGACAGTTTGATATCTACAAAGATGGAAAGACTGTCGTTACATTTAGGCTTTTAAAAGGTATTTTTAGGCCCATTAAAGGTGTATATAAGTTAAAAGATCTTTAAGCCTTGATGAGTATGGCCTATGCCATATAATAATTTTTCCTCATTTAATTTTAAGAGTGTTAGCCTGGCCTTCAGGCTGTGCTATAAACTGCAAAAAGGTCCCCCCTCTTCTTCATCCACATTCCCCTTACACCTGGTAGGGCAGGGATTCCTGCAGCAGGAAGGTCAAAGGTAATGGACTTTTCTGCTCCTCCTGTTCTGCAGGTTTGAGCCAATCTAGGCACGGGCTCCCTGAGCAGGGCACCCTCTGTCTCTCCACCTGATGGGTTGATTAGACTCACAGAGAAAGGACCGTCTTACACCTGGAAAATCAAAAGCCAGGGGCAGCCTGAAGACACGCTGGTCATGCCAGTACTCTAGGGGCTAGGATTGCTGTCTCATGACGGTGCTTGGCCCGAGAAAGCACATGGAGAGTTTTTCGTCAAGAAGTGTTACCTCTTTTATGGAGATGCTCACAGACTGGGCATTTCACTGTCCCCTGTCCCTGAGACACAGATTCTTTTTCTGAAATCTGGTCAAAATAAACTGGCGATGTTGCTGCAGCCAAGCTGGCTTACTCTGGGCAGTGCCTTTTTTCTCACGAAGATCTGGCCTGACGGGACTCCCCCTCCCCACCTCCAACCTGATCCTGCTGCTGGCTGTCCGCAAAGAACCTCCGACTGGCTTGCTGAAATAAATCAAGTGCTTAATCCCGGTCCATGGGACTTTGCTCTCTGTTCTGAGAGACGATGATCAAAGCTCAACTTCCATGAAATTTAGACACTGGTTTCATTCATAATAATGTCTCATCTTGGCCAGGTGCAGTGGCTCACGCCTGTAATCCCAGCACTTTGGGAGGCAGAGGTGGGCAGATCACCTGAGGTCGGGAGTTTGAGACCAGCCTGACCAACATAGAGAAACCCCATCACTACTAAAAAAAATACAAAATTAGCCAGGTGTGGTGGTGCATGCCTGTAATCCCAGCTACTAGGGAGGCTGAGGCAGAAGAATCACTTGAACCTGAGAGGCGGAGGTTGCAATGAGCTGAGATGACGCCATTGCACTCCAGCCTGGGCGACAAAAGCAAAACTCCATCTCAAAAAAATAAAATAATGTCTCATCTTTACCCCGGAAATAGATGAATGATGACGCCACTGTGCAGGGTGCTTCCCTTTCCACGGGGCTTAGATGTGTGGTAATGAAAACTACCTCCATCACTTCTGTCTTCCCAGGACACTCTCCTGTTTGGAGAAGACATCTGTCTTCTACTTTAATCTCTGCTGTGCTCTGTAACTAACTCTACAGTTCTCAAGAGCACCCCCACACAGCCCTTCTTCCCAGTGAGGTGGTGGGGCGGGGTGGCCCCGCAGTGGGTGGGCTGGCCCCGCAGTGGGTGGGCTCTCACCGTCATCATGTCGTCGCACTTCATATCGGGCTCGTCATCGTCTTCGCTTTTGTTGTAGAACTTGCGGAAGAAGTTGAAAGCCACCACAGTATAGAGATAAACCACCACGGCCAGGAGACCGACAGTCAGAACCAACTGGGAATGAGAGGACAGAGAAAGGAAAAGGAGTGGGGTCTTCTCTACCTTGAAAGGTTCACAGGAGACTCTAAGAAAACGAGGAGGAAGAGTGAGGACGGGCAAGGAGAGGAAATGGGGAAGGGGTGGAGGGCGGCTAAGAAAGCTATCAGGCCATGAGCAGAGGAGGAAAGATGGCACCACAGGTAAAGAGAAGCGGGCTTCCTGGCAGAAAAGAGTAATGATGGGGTGTTGGGGGCTGAATTGTGTCCCTTCAAATTCATATGCTGAGGTCCTGGCCTCCAGTACCTCAGAATGTGACTGTATTTGGAGATGGAGATACAGCCTTCAAAGAGGTGAGTAAGTTAAACTGAGGTTGTTAAGATGGGCCCGCAACCAATCTCACCGGCATCCTTAGAAGAAAAGGAGTTGGAGACACAGAGAGAGAGGCTAGACACAGGCACACGTGAAGGGACGGTCAGGGGAAGCGGCAGCGAGAGGGTGCTGTCTACAGCCACAGAGAGGCCCCTGAGGAGACCAGGTGCTGGTGCTGCCAGCACCATGATACTGGACTTACTTACCGCCTCCAGAACTGTCGAAAAGACATTTCTGTTGTTTAACAAAATAGCAGTCTGTAGTACTTCGTTCTGGCAGCCCAAGCAGACTAATGTATAGGGCATTAGATTGGGCGTAAGTAAAATATAAAGGAACTTAAGTATTGAATAGTGCAGGTGCTGTGAGGAGGGATACATTGTGTTTTGTTATTGTTCATACAGAGCTAGCTGTTACCTGAGGCTTCACAATGTAGCTTCTACTCTAATGCTGCTGCTTAAAAAACCCCAGGCCGGGCATGGGGTGGCTCACGCCTGTAATCCCAGCACTTTAGGAGGCCGAGGCGGGCGGATCACGAGGTCAGGAGGTCGAGATCAGCCTGGCCAACATGGTGAAACCCTGTCTCTACTAAAAATACAAAAATTAGCTTGGCGTGGTGGTGTGTGCCTGTAATCCCACCTACTTGGGAGGCTGAGGCAGGAGAATCGCTTGAACCCAGGAGTCGGAGGTTGCAGTAAGCTGAGATCGCGCCACTGCACTTCAGCCTTGTGGCAGAGTGAGACTCCGTCTCAAAAAAACAAACAAACAAACAAACAAAAAACCCAAAGGTTCTTTGGACTGGTGGATATCCCTACCTTATACTATTTCATAAATAATCATGCACTGGATAATTGTCACAACTTTGAAGTTACTCTAAGAATTATGATGGTGGAGCTGAGTCACACTTTTTATTACAGAGAATTCTGCCCAGGCCCTTTGCAGTGTCCTAGGGCACGCTTACTTCCAGGCTTTAGGAGTGAGAGTTCACTGGCTTAAGTGAGGAGTACACAGGACCTGCACATCTGACCTCTCTCAAGGACTAGGCATTGAGCTGGGAGATAGGAAGATCAACAGGATCAGAGCTTTGCCTTCAAGGAGCCACACAAAAGGGAGTGGGTAAGTGTGAAGATCAGCACCAGAGGAAATGTATTCAGCAGACTTGAGGGAAGAATAGTGACTCAAACCTTGGAGAGCAGACCTCACAGAAAGCAGGTGGTTTAGGAAAAAAAAGAGAAAGAACTTGGACTTTGCATCAGGGAAGAAAAGGGGGTGAATCTACGCTCTGCCACTTAGCAGCTGTGTGGTCTTGGGTGAGACATTTAGCTGCTCTGAGCCTCAGTTCTCTTATCTGTAAAGTGAGCTTAACGTGTGCCTTACCAGGTAGTTGTGAGGCTGTCACAGTAACTGGGACACGGCATGAGCTTGGCACACTGTAACTTCCGTCTTTTCTCCCTCTCCCGTACAAAGGTTTGGACATGTGAGGAAGCCTGTCTGTCATACACAGACTTGTACTTAATGAGGAATGAAATGCTAAACAGTTTGAATCTGTATACAAGGAGAAGCCATTAGAAGATTTTAATATGGTTATAGCCGTTGCTATATCCAGTCTCATCAATATCCAGTCTTCCATATATTGTCAGAGTCAATTTCTTGATTATATATTAACTATATAATATGTATTAACTATATAATGTATATACACACATAAAATGTGTACTATGTGTATAACAACCATATACATATGTGTGTGTGTATCTGAAATCATTGGCTCTTAATTGGATGCAGATATCAGAAATATTGGCTCTTAATTGGATGCAGATATCAGAAATACCTGGGGAGTTTTCTGTGTACAGTATGTCTACTTGCTAACCCCCAGGGAATATATCAGATTCATGGAGGAAGGGGTAGACCTTAAAAAGATCTCCGGCCGGGCACGATGGCTCACACCTGTAATCCCAGCACTTCGGGAGGCCGAGGCGGGTGGATCACCTGAGATCAGGCGTTTGAGACCAGCCTGGCCAACATGGTGAAACCCCGTCTCTACTAAAAATACAAAAATTAGCCGGGCATGGTGGCATGTGCCTGTAATCCCAGCTACTCTGGAGGCTGAGGCAGGAGAATTGCTTGAACTGGGACCTGGGAGTCGGAGGTTGCAGTGAGCCAAGATCCCACCGCTGCACTCCAGCCTGGGCTACACAGCGAGACACCGTCACAAAAAAAAAAAGATCTCCAAGGTCATTCTGACATGTCCATCACCTCCCTCCCTCTCCTGGTTGATCTAAATGTCAGGGGTCACTGAATCAAGGTCTTATGCTTTTTAGATGATGGTTGCAGTTACATTTTTAATTGGCTACAATTTTGCAAAAACAATCACCATTAGTTGAAGTGTTTGGCCAAGAAAAGTACATTATATACCAAGACATATTCCTTCCTGTCATATACTGTATACTACCTGCTGTTCTTTTTTTCCTGTGCATATACAGGTCCATTCTGTTCTGCATCAGTAGAAACCATACCTGTTTGCCATTGTGAGTTACAGATGACAGAATGGTCCTCAGTGTCTTGAAGCCCATTGCGATGTCCAATAGGTGAGCAGCAAAGAAGAAGTTATTGTAGTGGCCCAGGACTGACATGGTTGTATACCAGGCAAGGTAGAGAAAGGACTGGGAATGGAAGAAAGCAGACTTTTAAGCATGTTTGCCTCATAGTGTGCTCATTATAAAACATTTTTTCTTATTTTGGGAGACACACTGAGGATAGAGGGGGTTTAGGTGCTGAGGTGCTGTGAGCTGGCCCAAGATCTGCTAAGTGAGCCCCATCTACCTTATACCATTGTATAAGTGTTCCCCCAGCACGTATAAGGCTCTTGGTCTTTGATAAGCAATCCCTGAACCCTTCTGAGCATCCTGCATAGCTTGCTTCTCTGTGGCATCCCTGAACTGGGGTATAGAATTTTGTTTTTCCAGGTGCAGTACTTACGTTGTCAGTAAAAACAACTCCAAGCTTCCAGATATGGTACTTCATGTCTATGGAACTTAGCCTAGAGAAGAACAAGTGATTTTAAAACTTATAAATGTCAAGAGGTAGTTAAGTGCTCAATAAGGGGGAAAAAGTAAGTTTTTTCTCTCAGGTTTAATAACCTAAATATGGCTCTCAGCTTTATCAAGTTGTATGTGCTCCCCATGAGACAAGAGAACAGTTGAATCACATAGCCTGAATTTTTTTTTTTTTTTGAAACGGAGTCTCACTCTATCACCCAGGCTGGAGTGTAGTGGCGTGATCTTGGCTTACTGCAACCTCCACCTGCCAGGTTCAAGCGGTTCTCCTGCCTCAGCCTCCCAAGCAGCTGGGACTACAGGTGCCCACCACCACGCCTAGCTACTTTTTAAAAATATTATTAGTAGAGACGGGGTTTCACTATGTTGGCCAGGCTGGTATCGAACTCCTGACCTCATGATCTGCCCACCTCAGCCTCCCAAAGTGCTGGGATTACAGGTATGAGCCACTGCGCCCAGCCCAACCTGAAATTTTAATTAAGTCTTTATCTTTCAGCTCTATAGGGCATAAAAATGTATTAGTCTTCAAATTTTTAAGGCAGTGCTCTCCCAGTGTTAGAACCTAGAAGAAACACCTAAGCCAGACCACAGCCTGAGAGAACAAAGACACGGTTGTGATTTTTTCCTATGGAAAAGCAAAGATCTATCTATTTTAGCTGCTTTGGATTTGAACTCCTAAGCTTTTTGTACCATGACACCAGAGAAGCCGCTTCTGCTTTGGTCTCTTCTACTGGGCTAAAGTCAAGAGCATTTTTGTCCAAACCCAGAAGTTCAGCAATGCGTTCTGCTCCGTAGAGATCTCCATACTTGTTGATCACCTGAAGCAAAGGATGACAGGGTGAGCTCAGGCCACACGCCACCACCAAATATTTTCTAGCTCTGGGGTCTTCAGAGCTTTGCTGCCCTATGGGCAATCTTCCAAGGGGTAGATGAAGACATAGTTCAAAATGCAGAAAAAAGAGAAAACCCAGAGAAAAAAGCAATGAAGACAATTAAATGATAACTGTTTTTTAAGCTGATACTGATATCTTGATTTGCAGGGGAGAAAACATCTACTATGCAGAAAACAATGAGGACTGTGTTAACTTGTTTAAGGCAGATGAGTATATGAATGAAGCCAAAAACCTACATATGTTCATATCCAACCCCTTCTGTGACTTACTCTTCTTGAGATATTATCATAAAAGTAGCATCACATTTACTCATGTTTGTATGTGGAGAACTTAAAAAACATACACCACATTTTTTGGTGATCACGGAACTCACCCCCACTAACAAGGCATACCTTTCTCTTTACAAACTTGTCCCAGTAGTTATTAGGAAAAGATCTGAAAAACAAAACGAAAAAGGTTGGTTCTTCATTCTTAACATCAAGGAAAACACATCAAGAAACGTTTCAGTTTGAGTGCCTGGATCTGGGATCTTTCTGGTTTGTGTCCTGCTCACCAAAGAATTTTAAGATCTGATTGAAGTTCAGAGTCATCACAGGCTCTACTGAGTCATGTATGGCTTCATTACTTTGTATTGGCTTTTGAAACACTCAGAAGGCCACTGGGCAGTTTCTGCCTCAGAATTATGATTTGGAGCCAAGAATTGTGATGACAGATTAGACAGAGACAGTTGTATGTTTCTAAGTCCTTTCCCTAATCCCAGTATAACCAGAAACAAAATGCTACAGAAAACACAGGCATTCCATTCAATGAGTCACTACTTTATGTCACCTACTGGGGTAGATAATGGCGATGCGGGATGTGGGGTGTGGTAGAAAGTGTAGATAAAGTCCCTAACTATATGCAGTTTCCAGTCTGGGAATCACCTTTAGTTTATTTACATTGGATTTTTTAAGCTGAGTGTTTTTCCACTCTATTTTCTATTCCCACGTAATGCCACAGGGCCTGCTTTCCTCCAGGAGTTGGATCCCTTTCTTTTTTGGAGATGGTTCTGTACCATCCCCTAGCATCCCCAGAGAGATGATCTTTCTTCTCTCTGTAGCTTGTACCAGCTCCACTGCAAATATTTCTTACTGTTAAAGTTAAGAAAGAACTGTCATCTTCAGGAATGCTTGCAAAAACCATTGAAAATATGTTGTTCCTATCCAGAATTACTGAATCCTTCCTGTGGGGGGGTTCCTTGTAAGACTGGATTGCAGCCTAGGAGTCTCTGGCCTTTGGTGCATGCATTCTTACTTTTGTTTTCCTTTATTTGATTCATTCTTTTTGGTTCTAGAACACAACAGTTCCCTATTCTCCAGAGACCACCCAAGTTGGTGATAAGGAAATGGAGACCTCCTACTATTCACTGACCTCTCATGCCGCCTCTCCCCCAACAGGGTGGCAGTATTTAAAAAAAAATGTTTTTTTTTTTTGGTTTGTTAAAGCAGTTTCTTTGTCTTAAACATTTAAATGCCACTTGAAAGCAAAAACAAATGCTGGTGTTACAGAGTAAACTGCTAATATTTTATCTCTGGGGGATGAAAATAACAATTATTTTGACTTTCTTCCTTGTACATTGCTCCTTGATTTTTTTATGCACTGCATTTAAATTGAAAATAAAACAAATAAAAATCAAGCCATGCGCTCTCTGCCACACTGATACCTCCTTTCTCTTAAATCATTTATACAAATGGTAACATACAACTCAGCCTGGTCGCATTTTCTCCTAAGCAGAAGATTCCACGAGTGATGCTGAAGGGCCAAGGACCACAGGCTCTGGGCATGACCCCTTCATAGATGCGGTCTTACCTTCATCTGAGCATTCTGAATTTCTTGTCCCCTGACTAGGTATGCAAACTCCTTGAAGGTAGAAAACAGATTTTTTACTTGTTACGAGTCCTTAAAGTGTGGCATAGAGAACAGACCTTCAGAAGGAAAGTGCATAAATAAAGAGTACATCTGTACATGAATGTTCAGGGAAAAAGTACAAGATGCTTAACCCATTTAGTAATCAGGGAAACATACAATGAGGTGCCACTATACACCTACTAGATCAGCAAAATTATCTGCCAGCAATAAGTGCCAGCAAATAAGCAGAGAAGAAGAAACTCGAATATAGTACTGTTTGGAGCATAAATTGGGACAAACATTTTGCATATCCTACTATTCAGCAAATTTCTCTCCTGGGTCTATACTCTAGAGAAATCCTTCAACTTGTGTATCAGGTATAAGAATGTTCACTGTAGCACTGTTTATAAAAGCCAGAAACTTTAGAAAACAAGTTGAAATATCTACTGTCAGGAAAATTGATCAATGTGATAATATACATAATGGAAAATGCTACAGCTTTGAAAATGAACAAACTATAGCTATATACATCAACATAGGTGAGTTCCCAAACAATGCTAAAAAAAATTCAAGTGACAGTATAATGTATATAGTATAATTCCACTTATATTAAGTTCCAAATAGTCAAAATAGTCAAAATATATTTAGGGACAAATACCTAAGTGGGAAAACTATAAGGCAGGAGAATGAATATCACTAATATCACTGATTGCTAATTATTTAAGAATTAATATTACTAACCACTAATGAACATCAAAAATGTAGATAGCTGTGGGTTGGGAAGATATAATCAGGGAGGATAATACAGGGGATTTTTAAGCTCTCAGTAATGTTCTATTTTTTTAACCTTTTTGGTTTATAATTATACTGTAAAATGTACATATACATTTTATATGTTCTTATGTGTGCTTAACAATATAAAAGTAAAATGTTTAAAAAGAAAGCTCCCATGACATACAGTTAACTGAAAAAAAGCACGTTACAAAACATGAACATGTACTATGATGCCATTGTGAAAAAAAATTAAACATTGGTCTATCTAACATTTTAAAAAATAGCTATTTATTTATGCATTTCCTACTCATGGACGTTTAAGCCACTCTAAGTAAAAAATATTGGGAAATACCTTTGTTAGGACATTTTAGTGTACTTGTCTCATTATCTCCTTAGGATACATTGCTAGAAATTGAACTGCCTTCTTTTTTTTTTTTGAGATGAAGTCTTGCTCTGTCGCCCAGGCTGGAGCGCAGTGGTGTGATCTCAGCTCACTGCAACCTCCGCCTCCCAGGTTCAAGTGATTCTCCTTGCCTCAGACTCCCAAGTAGCTGGGATTACAGGCGCCCACCACCACGCTCAGCTAATTTTTTTGTATTTTTAGTAGAGACGGGGTTTCACTATGTTGGCCAGGCTGGTCTCGAACTCCTGACCTCATGAACCACCCGCCTCGGCCTCCCAAAGCGCTGGGATTACAGGCATGAACCATTGTGCCTGGCCGAAATTGAACTGCCTTCTTACTGGGACTTTTAGGCCACATGCCCCTGTATAACAAGACGCAGGCATTACTGATGATTGCACAAAGCTTACCAAAGGATTAAACTATTCAATAGTGTCTAAGACTTCTGTAATGTAATGACAAAGCATCAGAAACAGTGCTTTTCCTTGTGTGAGAAGATTGGCAGGGGACCCGCAGGCAGGGACAGACTTAGGATGTGAGGATGTGCCTGTTCACATTTTCCCCCTTCTAAGGGAAGAGGCTTCCTTTTCTGGAGAATATAAAGAAATAAATATCCTTAGTTGTACCTTTGCAGAGCTGCTTCTCAGTTTGCCTGATCATCTTTGGATAGGACACAGCTTTCTTCCCCTGGAGTCAGGGTTGCTGTTTCTTAACATGCCTATCTTAATTGGCACACCTAAGAGTTTCAACACAGTCACCTTTGTTTACTATTTGGCCCTATTTCTTTTCTTTTGCCACATTAATTTATCTTGAAACTGTCACTTACTTGTGAATCAACTGTCATTAGAGTGTGACATTTGCTAATGGTGATGGCCACTTTTTGGATAGTTACAGGAAAGAAAAGAGAATGAGTAACAGCTTAATGCCTACCACGTGCCAGGCATTTGCCAAGCATTTGACACATACATTCATTAATCCTCTGCAGGATGATATTCTCATCCTTCTATTACTGATGAGGAAACTAAGGCTGAGAAGGCTTGATTACCTTGTGCAAGTTCACAGACCAGTAAGCGTCAGAGCCTTGGTGTCACCTGCCTGTCAATCAGTGCTCTTCCTTCTTCCCACCACAGTGCCACATGCCTACAGGAAGGCAGGCTTGCCTCCACAGGTCTTCATATCCCTACCAGACGGCTCTATTTACCTGCCCATGTAATTGCCTCTCAATCTTACGTTAAGACGAGGTCTCTTACCAAGCAGGCTATTTGGTTAAGAGGAGGACTTCAGGCCGGGCGTGGTGGCTCATGCCTGTAATCCCAGCACTTTGGGAGGCTGAGGTGGGTGGATCACCAGATCAGGAGATCGAGACCATCCTGGCTAACACGGTGAAACCCCGTCTCTACTGAAAATACAAAAAAATTATCCAGGCGTGGTGGCAGGCGCCTGTAGTCCCAGCTACTCGGGAGGCTAAGGCAGGAGAATGGCGTGAACCCGGGAGGCAGAGCTTGCAGTGAGCTGAGATCGCGCCACTGCACTCCAGCCTGGGCAACAAAGGGAGACTCTGTCTCAAAAAAAAAAAAAAAAAAAAAAAAAAAGAGGACTTCAGAGATGGCAGTTATAGCAGTGCTGTGCCATGGAAGGCTATGGAAAAGCTGAAGCTGATCAACTTGATCTCTAGACGCCTTGGCCACTTAAGCCCTGGAAACACTGTGTGACTCGAACATGGAAAACTAGTTTAAGCAATATTGTACTGGACTGTCTGGTCTAAATCAAATATATTCAGTACTTTCTGATAATATCTTCTGTCCCCATTAAACTAATAGAAGTCTATACAAGTATTTGATGGGCAGTAAGTGGCTTTATTGAAGAGGCAAGGGAGAAAAGTCCTAGAAATCAAAAGACAGTTTATATTAACCAGTTTTAAGGCCAGGAGGAAAGAGTTACTCTATTTACAGTAGAGACTCCATCTCCTTTTTAGGTTGGGGTAGAGGGACACTCACGGTGTGTTGATCACCAAGCGGTCCCACTGCCCCTTGATGTCATCTTCAGATGGCTGTTCGGTGATATATAGGCCATCAAACTCCAGCTTCCTGGCGATTTCTTTTTCCCTTTTGAAAACCACCAAAGGCACCTAGGAGTGGGAGGAGGATGGTTACTCAGAGCAGGCTTTGTGATTAAAGCTCCTGCTCCCAGGTATTTGTCACAAATTAACCTTCCAACTTCAGAGCAGCAATCTCCTTATAGTGGAATTCTTAGAGTGCCTAGTTGTGGGATCAAAGCCAAATGAATCTCTTTGGCTAAATACCTACCTACCTCTTTAAAGCTGATCTGATTTGGGTCACCCTTTAAGTTTTCAGTTAGATGGCTAATATTAATACAAACTAGACTCCTTGACCCATGCTAGTGTGCAGGCCACGCCTAGATGAGCCCCAGGGTTGAATGAGTTAGGACTCCTAAGGCTCCTCGGCTGGAGTTGAACCAAGATTTAGAAAGGACAATAAACCATTCTAGAATAGATCGGCCAGCCACAGGAATATGATGAAATGTTCCAACTCCCTTCAATGTACAGGGCCATATTTATCTCATGGCGTTGAAGGTCAGTTAATGAAACATGGTCTCATAGTTAGAATGAGAAGATTCAGTCTTTCTGTATGAAGTTTTCTTCCTGAGATTCTGTCCGTAAAGAGCTCCTTCCAGGTAGTGGCATACTTGTTTCCTACTATCACTCTCTATTCTTTTATAATTGGAACTTTTATTTTAGACTAGATATAGTGGTATGGCTCTAAGGACCTACTGCCAAAGGGGAACACAGAAAGGGATTGGAAAATAATCCACTTGCCCCAACCATCACTAAGTGCACACACACTCCAAACATGGGACAGTTAATGAGGCCAGAGGATACTGCTGAAATCCCAGGAAATGAGAAGTCACAATTGACGCAGCTCCTCTAGCCAGAAAAGCTTAATTCAGACAGAGCTAGGGCGTCTCATCTCATCTCCAGCTGAGATGCCACTGGCTACTTGGCAACATCCTTGAGACCTTTGTCTCCAAACCCATGATATGCATGTACCCCACATCGCTTTTGTCCAAAACAAAAGAACAAAATTCAGACAGTGATTTGTAAAGAGTTACCTCTTGCCCTGTTTTTCTTTAAAACAATGAAATAACACTGATAAAATGAAAAACTCACGATAGGAAGGTGGCAAAGGCTAGTAGCCACTGCACACTGTGAGGAACTGATGATGACTGTTAGTACACAGATGATGTGGGAGGTGAGGCAAAGCTCAGCGACTAATGCCTGCCGTGTTTTGGATGACTCTAGAGAACAGTAGTAATATCAAGTTGTAGAGCGGTGCTCATCTCTGGGATTCCAAGCATTCCCCTTCAGTCTCCTAGAAGTTTGTATACTCTCGTAAACAGAACTTCCACATTCTTTACTTGCTAAATAGTGTTTCTTTTTTGTTTCTCCTGGTCACAGTATAATCTGTACTCCATCTAATAAGCTGAACTCTAGGATCTCAAACTAAGGAGCAGCAGCGAACATGCTTGAGGGTTTACTATGTGTTCTGAGTACATTTACACATACCTCTACATTTAATCCCCCCAGCAACTTTAGCAACAGTACTCATTTTTATGTATGAGAAGATAGAGGACTGGGAGTTTAAGTGGCAGAGCTGTGAGTTCAACCCAGGCAGCTTGGCTCCAGAATTTGCACTTTCATAGTTGCAATAGAGTCCTTAGTGTAGCCCAGGGCATAAGGTCTCTGCAGCACAGTAGCTGGACTTCCTACATGACACAATAGTTCACTGAGGGAAGAAAGGACCACAATATAGGAAAGTATTTCCTGGACTCTTCCTGGGAAGAAGATGGCTTGCTGTACTTAAGGAGACTTCCTACTCAAGAGAAGGAAGAAAAAAATGTAATGAGAAAAGCAGTGAGAAAAACACAATTATGATGTAGCAGAACTAGATCTGGACTTGGGACACCAAAAATTGAATGACAGAAGATTGACATAACTGTAGTGGTTGTGAATATGGCCCCAAGGAACCACGCCTCCTGGAATTCATGCCTTTGTGTAGTGCCTCTCCCCTCTACCATGCAGCAGTGCATCTGGGATGGCCATGTGACTTGCCTTAAACCACAGAATGCAATGGAAATGACACTGTACCAGTTCTGGGCCTAAGACCTAGGAAGGCTTAGCAGCTTCCACCTCCATGCTCTTTTTGGAAACCCAAGCCATCATGCAAGAAGTCTAGCTACCCTACCGGACAGATCATGTGGAAAGGCCACGTGGAGAAGGAGATGCTCTGAATCTCCCTGGAGAGAAAGAGGGAGACAGAGAGAGGCCCAGCTACCCCAGCTGAGCCCATCCTTCCAGTTGTCCCCCTGTGGAGCTGCCAGGCATGGGAATGTGCCATCTTGGCCATTCCAGCCCAGCTGAGCTCGCAGATGGCTGCAAATGTAGCGCCTTTACATAGAACAGAGGAACTGCCCAAATGTGCCAGTCATCTCACAGAATCACAGAGATAAATAGTTGTCATTTTAGACCACTGAGTTTTAGAGTGGTTTGTTATGCAGCAATGGATAACTGAAAACTAACACATCAGTAAGCTTTCTTCTGAGATCTTGAGTGGTTACCACCTAATGAAAAGGTATTTTTATAAAAATTTTGACATCAATTCAAAGATCAGAAGATTCTGTCATGACTAGCTCTCCATGTGACTTTAGCCTGATGACTCTAGTTCTATGAAATTCAACAAGAGGTACCTGAAATGGGACTCCTAGCTCAAGGCTTCTCAAACTTGAAAGTGCGTACAGATTGCCCAGTGATCATGCTAAGTGGTAGATTCTGAGTTAAAGGACTTAGGGGCTGGGCGCAGTGGCTCATGCTTGTAATCCCAGCACTGTGGGAGGCCGAGGCAGATGGATTACCTGAGGTCAGGAGTTCAGGACCAGCCTGGCCAACATAGTGAAACCCTGTCTCTACTAAAAAATACAAAAATTAGCTGGGCATGGTGGCAGGCATCTGTAATCCCAGCTACTCGGGAGGCTGAGACAGGACAATTGCTTGAACCTGGGAGGCGGAGGTTGCAGTGAGCCGAGCTTGCACCACTGCACTCCAGCCTGCGAGACAAGAGCGAAACCCATCTCAAAAACAACAACAACAGAAGAAAACCTATGGTGAGGCCTGAGACTCTGCAGGTCTAGGCAGCTCCCAAGTGATGTGCTGCTGCTGCTCTACGGACCTTACGAAGGCCTTTACGGCTAGCAAAGTCTTAGAGCAAAGGGCTGGCTGGGCTCAAAAAGGACATTTCTTCCTCAAGGAGTGAGATTAGATCCAGAGTGGCAAACAGCTCACCTTCAGGCAGTAGTAGCCCACCACACAGACTAGAGAGATGATGGTATGGATGATGGCCAGGGCACGCAGGGTTGGTGCCATATACCCGGTGCTCTCCTGAAGGACAAAGAATACCATCGCTTCTTCCTCTTCCTCGTCATTAAAGGAATTCCATAGGTTTGCAACATCCTCTGTCTCTTCTTCTAAAGGTTCTTCAGTGACCTGGCTCAAAATACACACTCGCTTATTAAACATCAAAAAGAACCTCAGCCATTGGGCTCTCCCCACATATTTTATATTGTTAGCATGTGCTATACAAATAGTAGTGACTCAACATTACTTGCTGAATGAATGAGGTTTTTAGGTGACTTATTACTAGGAATCACCCAGTATCTCTAATAATTGCAAACAAACTTTTAAAAAGGAGACAAAACCTATCTCTTGAGAAGAAAGCAAAAAAATTAAAATTAGGCAACTTTTACTACATATGCTTATAATCCTTATGCCACAGAAGGGAATCTCTGATCATGCTGTGGCCTGAGAGGAGGCAAAGACACACACACAAGCGTGAAGGATGTGTGTGCCCGCTCCCCCACCCACCACTGCCACCCAGCCAGAGACTCAGTATTTTCCATTCTTTCTGAGATGCCATTTACATTCATGGCTTCAGCCGCTATTCTTATACAGATGACTCTCAAATCTACAACTTTGAGGCTTTGTCCTGTAGCTCCAACTGCTTGCTGGCTTTCTCTTCTTGGATGGCTGTCTGAAGTCACTTCAACCTCAATGTGTTTAAAACCAAGCTTTGCCTCTCTTGGCTATGGACTTCCATTTTTCTTTTATGGGCAACAGAAGGTCATTAGTTTGTCGAGTGGAAAGTTGAGGTGGATAAAACAATGTTTCATACAAATTAGATTGGTGGTTTTAAGTAGAAAGGGAGATAGGCAAGAGATAGAAAAACCAGTTAAAGACTATGTCGAGAATTCAGGACCCTTCATTAATTCACTGCACTAACAATTATTACATGCCTACAGCATGCAAGACCCACTTGCCAATGTTCAAAACCTTCATTTAACTTGAGCAGTCCCCTCTCTTTCCAAATCCTGTTAATTTTTCCTTTATAACGCTTCTAACAAATAGGCCAACTATAATGGCTCTTGGTTACCTTATTCCTTGAAGAAAGAATTTTATTTATTACTCATTTTGAAATACCTTGTTGTTCCTAATACAGGGTCTAGCTCATGGTAGATGCTCAGCAAGTATTTGAAGACTAAGCAACGACTAAAATAAGCATGAACTATTGAAATAGTCCCCTCACTGGCTCTCTTGTCAGTAGTCTCTCCACTGCTAGAAATTGTATTCCTTTTAGAAGCCAATGTCTTAGAAATTTGCTACCTATTAGAATGTTTGCTACAATTAAGAGCACAAATTCTGTCATGATTCTTTTTCTACACATAGCATACTTAGTATACAGCATATTTAGCAAATAACCCCTGAATGAAGTATCACCTTATAAAAAAGCAGGATGAAGTTGATAGCGAAGGCTACAAACAGAGCAAGGAACCTCAGGTTGTAGAAATTCCTGGCCAGGTAATGCTGCAAAGAAAAGGACAGGCAGAAGTAGAAGAGCTTTGGAAGGAAAAGAGAACTTCCTACTTTCACACAGAAGGTCAGTTCTGGTTAGAAGTTCACACTTGACTCGTCCTACTCTTTGATGACCACTCTTCTAGGGTAACCCTGGCATTCTTTTCTTTCTTTTTTTTTGAGATGGAGTCTCGCTCTGTCCCCCAGGCTGGAGTGCAGTGGTGCAATCTCGGCTCACTGCAAGCTCCACCTCCCGGGTTCATGCCATTCTCCTGTCTCAGCCTCCCGAGTAGCTGGGACTACAGGCGCCCGCCAACACACCCGGCTAATTTTTTTGTTTTTTTACTAGAGACGGGGTTTCACTGTGTTAGCCAGGATGGTCTCGATCTCCTGACCTCGTGATCCACCCATCTCGGCCTCCCAAAATGCTGGGATTACAGGCGTGAGCCACCGTGCCCGGCCAACCCTGGCATTCTTAACACAGCCATGGCATGACTGTGTCGTGTCATGAACATGGAACCAAAATGTTGATTTAAAAAAAAATTGCTTAGAATTGGTATAAAGAATCCTGCTCTGGCTTTATTGCTCAGGGAGCCAAAGGCCTAAACACGCCACCAGCAGAGGACTCGAGCCTTGCCTTGAAGTGCTGTGTGACTGCATTTTCGTGATCACTCCACGCAGCAAGCAGTCTATTAGGAAACTGTAAGTGGTCTAGGCTCGCAGAAGACCCTGGCAACTCCCAACCTGGATGTAGCCATTCTGTGGCCTCAGTCCTCATTCCTTTCCAAGTTACAGTTCCAGGAGCCTCTTCTTCTCCCTTGTTGGGAACAGCATTCCCATTCTTGCTGCCATCTTCCCCAGAAAAATCAGCATCCACAGACTGGAGTGGAAGCTGCCTGGGTAACGTTCCCAATCTCTCTGTGGGGAGCCCTCACTAATGGTGCTAGGGAAGGTGTGGTCCTGGCCTTCAGCCACTGTACCTCAGAGGGCAATGTATCAGAGAAAGAATATTACAAGCTGTTCTAAGCTTTGATTGCATATAGAACAATCAAGGTTTGGAGGACTAGTGTGGGAAGCTAACATAAGAGGAACATTCTTTCTGATTCCCACGTGATCAAAACACTTCTGAACTTTTGGACCAGGATTGGCTAAGTCCCCACATAATACACATAAAGGACTGGGTAGAAAGAGGTGTTCCTGCTCTCCTGGTAAGGAAACAGGTGAGAGAGGACACCCTGCTGATAGCAGAGCTGCTGGAGGACTGTGGTTCTTTCCAGGCTCTCCCCCTTTTCTTTTCCTCCAACAGAAAAGGAATAGGTAGACACATGGGAAGAAGAAAGTTTAGGAATGAGAAAGGGGAGGAAGTGTAACTGACCAAACAGTGAAACAAATCAGCGGCACCTCTCTGCCATCTGCCTGGGCCAATCCCTGCACCATGAACAGGGCCAAGGTTGGAATGCTTACCAGTAACTTGGTCTGATAGATTTCCAGCCCTTTAAAGAAATTGGCTGTGAAAGCTTCCGGCTTCTCAACCTTCTGACCACACCGCCGCTTCTTCTTTTTTGTCACTTCTGTCCACAGGTACTCAGCTTGCTCCTCTTCTTTGTCTTTGTCTTCCTTCTCTCCATCTTCCATGCTGCAGAAATGGGAAACCCACTCAGCAGGGCAGACGGGAGGGCGGTCTGGCCCAAAAAGGGAGACTAGATTAAAGAGAAATCTGGATTGAGAGGGCCGGGAGGTAGAATCATTCCTTGAAGGTGGAAACTTCAGGTCTTTATCAATCCACAGTGGCTGGACATTAAATTTATATTCAATGAGGATGAGCCATGATCTTGGTGAACATCAGCTATATACAAGTTTGTACTCTTCTTCTGAAATTAGACTTAACAATTTTTTTCCCCTTCTGAAGTTACCCTTTATTTTCTAAGCAATAGTACCTACTCTTCCACACTTCTGGCAAGATTTAATAAGATATTGTATAAAAGACCTGAGCACAGGCCTGACACATAATAGGTATTTAACATTAGATATCACTGTCATCAATATATGAAGTTGCAAAGTCATCTGGCCAGATAGTGAAACTCTGATCTGCTAGTGGGATTATAAACTTAGCATGATAAATATAAGGTATTTATTATATAGCTAGGGTAAAAGGAAATATACCCAGGGCTTGCAGAATAATTGCTTGCATTGACAGATATCAAGTTTTCTATTTACTATAGCGACAGAATATCAGATGCTATCAATAACTATCTTTATTTTCTTTTTTTCTTTTTTGTTTTTGAGACAGGGTCTTGCTCTGCTGCCCAGCTTGGAGTGCAGTGATGTGATCTTGGCTCACTGCAGCCTCGACCTCCTGGGCTCAAGCAATCCTCCCACCTCAGCCTCCCAAGTAGCTGTGACTACAGGTGCACACCACCATGCCCAGCAATTTTTGTATTTTTTGTAGAGATGGGGTCTCATTATGTTGCCCAGGATGGTCTCGAAGTCCTGGGTTCAAGTGATCCTCCAGCCTCAGCCTCTCAAAGTGCTGGGATTACAGGTGCGAGCCACTCTGCCTGGCCTAAGAATTATCTACCATAGCAATGAGAGTAGTTGATGCTACCAAGAACTTACTCTGCCTTCTCGGATTCTACTTTTCCTTCTGCTTCATTTGCTGCTTTCATTTCTGCTGCCTAGACAAAAATAACAATTAGTCAAGCTTTCCTCAAAGAAGCGAGGTCATGATGATGAGACATTTTCTTGGCCATTTGCTTCTTGGTCACAAATTTCAATGGCTTTTCATGTTTCTGCTTCTCTCAGGATCACTGAACATAAGTGTCCTGCTATATATGTCAAGTGACTCTGAAGAGATGCCAAGACAAAGATTTGAAACTTGAAAACTCAACCTCCCTTCTATAACTTACTCAATTCAAAGAGGAAACTTGTGTTAGGACATTGTAAGAGCCTCAAGGCGGTGGTTCTACTGCTCCACAGGGTCAGAAAGACATGGGACACAGATCAAACCAAGTTTGATCAGCCTGCCTCCATCTGACAGGCTTCTTCTTGCCTTGTCTTTAATCCTCTTGCCAGTATCCCAATCCCTCTGGCTGAGGACCACTGCAGTTAGAGTAAAATTCAAGCTCCTCAACACAGCCTATGAGTCTTGCATGATCCCGGTGTTTCTCTTCATCCCCATCTTGTACCATTTGACTCGTGTCCCACACCCAAACACGCAGACTTCCTGGAACATTCCCGATCATTCCAGGAGTAATTCCAAAGGATACTTAGCCATATCCTCTGCCTGGAGTATGCCTGCCCCAGCTTTTCACGTGCCTGCTGCTCGTCAGGACTTGACTCAGATGACACCTTTTCAGAAGCCTCCTCTACCTATTTCTGTTGGGCCTACATTCACTCTGTAACTCACTGCATGTTCATGTGTTCTAACACGCAGCACAAATGATAATTATCTTATTTGTTGTCTTCTCCCACTAGAAGTTAAGATCCATGAGAGCAAAAATGTTGTTTTCTGCTTTGAACCTATGTATTCCTGTATCCTAGAACACAGGCTGGCACATAGCAGTCCTGGAATGGGACCCTATTATGTATCAAACTGTATTCTAGGTTTTGGGGCTACATCAGGGAGCAAAACAGAATATTGTGGGAATGCTGATTCTGATGTTTTCTTCCCTGAATCTTCGAACCAGCGTTCTCTCCTACAGAGAACTATAGTACCTGACATTTCTCCTTCCTAGCATTCTTTATACTTGTCTTGACTTGTCCAATGCCTTTATTCTCCACTAAGCTGTAGGGACAGTGTGTTTCTTATTCAGCACCATATTCCCAGAGCCTAAAACAGTGACAAAGCACAATAACTTTTCAATAAATAATAATGGAATGAATGAATGAATGTTTTTGGGCTTGGATCTTTTCACACTTCTCTACTCTCTTTGATGCTAGAATGACACTGTGAATTGGATACTACAAGAGAGGGGAACACCCAGAACCTTCCATGGTCAAGGGGCTCTGAATTCCTGCTATCTTGTTCACTTAATCTTGTTGACTGACATGAAGTACTAACTGAACAGTGAGTGTATCACAAGGATAAAAATGTCCCAAGCATGATCAAACTCATAGAGAGGCCAAATCATAAGGATCATTTTGACCTTTTATGACACTGAGAAAGCACGGACTCAGAAGGAAGGTCTCCTTTTATGTTATTCTTCGTTTCCTGTGCTTTCAGTTCACTGAATGCATCTGCACAGCATGAGAACTAACCTTCTAATAAAAGTCTGAGGCAAAGTGTCACAGGCCATCATGTTTGAATTCTACAATATAAACTAGACGACCAACCAATGACTAGGCACTGAGATAACCATCTAAGTCTTGATTTCTGCAGACATGTCAGAGGTGGAATTATAAGATCAGCGTAATCACACCACAGCCACTGTCTAACATAGAGTGTTGGCTCCTAGGGAAATGGTGTCAGTACTGATTACAAGATATGGTGGCAAGTCTTATTCTGGGGATAAAGGAAGATGAAAGAAACAAATGACACTTACCTGAGCTTTCCTCTTCTTCTGTACAGTACTCTCTAATGTAGGGGGTTCATCCTTGCCAATAATTTCTGAGAGGTCACCCAAACCCACTTCAGGCCCATGCTTTAAGCTGCCCTCTTTCTTTGGGTGGAGTCCAAAGAGGTCTGACATGATATCTGTATCTCCCTTCTCCCCCTTTATGAAGTGTACTAGTTCAGTGGTGATACCTGGCTCCATCACCTCTGCCCTCTCAGCCTCCATAGTGTCATCATGGATACCAAATTGGGTTGGGTCAGGCATGTCACCCAGGATCTTGGTCACTCTGATGTTCTTTGCCCCTTCTACCAGGCCCCCTCCAAACACTGTGCTCCAGAGGATCTGAAAGATTCCTCCCAGGATGGTGAAGAGCAACTGGAATAGCCCCACGAACAGCATCCAGAAAAAGGAGAAGAGCACCTTCACCAGCTCCTTCGCAGTCATCTTTTTCACGTTCCTGTACTGCTTCCTGAGGTTCTTCAGGGTTGCTCTCTTCAGGAAGTCGGTGACATTCCTCTTCACAGAGGCACAGGCCATAGCAAATGCAGAGGCCGGCTCAAGAGACCCGTCTTCTTCCTCTTCACCCGCAATTTCTAACACGTAAGAAGAATCTTCATCTTCTTCCTCCTCTTCTGGCCTGTCAGCTGAATCGGATTCAGAGATCTGAGATGCTAACTGCATTTCAAAGATGGTGTCCTCACAGAAGTTCACAAACAGCTCCATCTTTTCCTGCTCCCCACCTTCATTGACAACATCAAAAATGAACTGTCGCTTAGATTCCTTCACCTGGGGCTTCTCCCACTGAGTGCGACTGGATTCACTGATCTCAAAATAAACACGCTCAATCTTCTTGGCCCCACCCATGATCTCGATGCGTCCTAGGTAGGGTTCGAAGTAATTTAGCACACTTTCTGCTGGGTCCAACAGACACTTCAGGCGGGAATCGTTTGGCATGTGTTCAGAAAGATTTGTCAATAACACAGCCACATTAAACCCTATGTCCTTGGCTGGCTCATGGAACCGGTCTACAAAATCAACGTAATTAAACATGTCATTCTCATCAGCTTCTGCACACGACAGGAGAAAGTCAATCTCTGACTGCGTGTACTGTTTTTGCCCTTCCATGGCCTTCTGGAATTCTTTTTTGGAGATAATTCCTTTACCATCTGGGTCATATTCTTTGAAGGTGTCTGAGCTGGTTAAGTCTTTAAGTTTCAAGAACATGTCAAAGAATTTCAAGATCATTTCTACATTGGTAGATGATTCTACCAGTGTGTCAACCATCTGCTTGCCAATGGTGCCATTTACCACATTCCCTGTGAGGCAGGTTCAAAAAGACATACAAATATACAAATAAACCCAAGCTATCATGTCACTTGTCAGGTAGCTATTTTTAGAAGACTTTTGTGCCAAATTAGTCAGCTCTTCTCTGACCGTGATGATGTAGGAGGGAGCAGCAAGCCATAAAGACTACACCACTAGGAGCCAAGGGGGAAAGAAACAAAGGGAAGAAGGAGGTGGCCACACCACTGCCTTTAACATGGCCTGGGGCCTGGGAAGTGGTTTCATTATTAGATTATCAGGGACACATAGGGATACATGGTGTCCCTTTGATCCCCTTAGACCTAGGAGGGTGCCCAACTAGATGGCTGGCATACACACTGGCAGCCAGATGTGTTGAAAAGCAATGGGGAGAGGGAGAGGATAGGGAAGAGCAAAGCTTGGAGGTTTTCCCCAGTTCATTCTGGCTTTCCTATTGATAGAAAATCAATTGATTTCAGGCTTCGTCCGTCAGACCAGGTGCCCCTCATTTTATTTTTCGTTTCTGAAAATTTGGCTTTCTGACCAATGTCATATGGCATCAGTGACCTGCCAGAAGGATAATCTGCATGATCAGTAAGGTTAGTGCTCAGACCAATTACAGTTGTGTGAAGGCCTAGTTATACCAAACAGCCCAACCTTCCAGGAGGGACAGAAGCATCACCACCATGTCCTGAAGGAGATCCAAGAGTTCCTTCAGCAGCTCGATCTGACTGGAATCCTAGAACAGAAACAGGAGATACCCCTGAGCTATCTGATCCCTCAGTAAAGTACAGGGCAGTGAGCGAGAAGAGCCTGCTCTGGAAAGGTTAGGTGCAGGCTGCATCAGTGTCGGGAAAGAGCTTCCTTCTCATTCTGAATGAGGATGCCTTATCGTCCACTGTTTGCAGCACCGGGAGACTCACTGTAGCAGGACTCATCCAACAAAGCTCCTTTACATTTTTCCTTTTATTAGTACAATGTGGCAGATATACCAAGTGTTGTCCAAAACGGCTGAACAACCCAATGCACCAAAGAGCCTTCAGGTATCTCTAGTAGTTTACGTTGTCATTATCTACACTGGAGAATTACCAGTGAGCTTTATGGGAACACTGGACATCTGGTAAAGGTATCAAGGTTATAATCACCAAGTGGGTTCTCCTTTCTTTCTGGATTAATTTAGAGTCTCCTAATTCTAGTTGGTGGTGATCTGGGTGCCACTTGTCCCTTTAAATGGAATAAAATGGAGGCTATTCCTCTGGATGGTTTTGATACCAGTCTGTTTGGTTTTAATTTCAGCAATGCAGGAAGAGCATCGCTAAGCTACCTCCGTGCCTTATACCCTATGTCACAGTAGGAAACAATTCTTGGAAGATCTGAGGTGGGCAATCTGGGGATTTGATTAAAAAGGTATTCCGAGTCACATACCTTTTACAGACCCCCCCCTCACAAAAAAAAGGAAAGAAAAGAAATAATAATAAAAAAAAAGCAAAAGAAAAGAAAAGAAAAAAGGAAAAAAAAAAAAGAAACCAAAAACCAAAAACCCAACCATAGCTCTTTGCCTAGCCCTTCAACTTTCAGAGGAATCTTCATCACCTATGGTGTGTATCACAGCTATATACAAAATATCACAGAAGTGTAGGATATCAGAGCTGTGAAGAGACCTCAGAGATCACCTATTCTAACTTGGGATATTTCAGAGATGATGAAACCAAAACCAGAAAGGGAAAGTGGCTTTCCAAAAGTCACTGGTGAGGAGGTGGCAGGGCCAGGGCTCTTGTCTCGAGACTACACTACACTGCCCAGCTGACACAGGAATGGACATCTTACTGTCAAATTGCAGCCCTCCCAGGAACTCTCTCCTCCCGTAAGGCCAGAGTCAAAAGGGGAAAAATGAAAGGTTAAATAGCACATTCCAGAAGAGAGGAGGCAGATGTGACAGCCTTGAAAATTTTAGATACACATGATTTAAGTTAAAGCTGCAAATGTTACTCTAATCAGCCTCAAATACCTCCTGAAGGTCTCCCTCATGTGTTGCCATGGAGAGAGGCAATAAACTGCTACATATGCTACATTTATTTGTTCATAATAAATGCTCTGAGCGGTTCTGATTCATCTTGCCAGAGAGATGGGGAGTGAGAAGGAGAGGCAGAGACAGGGAGGGAGGGAGGAGGAAGCAGGAGTGAGAGAGAAGAGGGATGTGGATTACAGAGACATGCAACATGGGACAAGTCAGACGGGGCTGGTAGAGTGTTTGTAAGTTGACGAAATGGTGGCAAGGAAGCAGAAAGGATTAGCACCACAGAAAGCAAATGTTGAGGCAATAATAAGGGTAGGTTGGTGAGACACAAAGAAGGAAGCTGCGTTCATGCAAAAGCCTGTCTGGGACCCCGCGCCCCTCCGAGGCATTCATTTCCATCTCCCATTTTGGCCTTCAGTTTAAAAAACTGAGACCTAATATGCATGGCTTGTCCAGCCTTTGATCAAGCAGCCACATCACAATGGGAACACCAAGGAGTGAGGACTGACTTAGCATTTCACAACAATGACACGTGCAGGGAATGGGCCACAGTACCTGAGAGAGTTTCATCTGCATATTAGCAAAGACATGGAGGAAGCCAACCACTGCGTCCCACAGCCTGCTGTGAGCCAGGCTCTGTTGATTACCAATGCAAGGGCCCTGCAGAGAAGAGGACATTCTTATGTCACTTAAACATCACAAGTTGCTCTGAAACCTGTCTAGTAAGGGCATCTGATACCTACTTATATGAGCAGATAGACTTTCCAAAAGTCAAATATTTCATAGCTCAGTATTTTCCCAGGATTATTACTTTTTTCTTTTCCTGATTATAGGATACCATATCTAGGAAAAACCACTAGGGATTTCACAGTCCAGTGATTTTCAGATACTTTCTTTTAGCCTCAGAATGAGTTCTTAAAACAAAAGCTTACACTGGAGAACAATATTTAAAACAGTGAAATGTTGTGGTTGACACAGGGCTGAAGGGCACACTCCCCACCCTCACCTTGGCCTCAGAGGCCTTTGGAGGAGATCAAGGGTGCTGCGAAGCACAGTGTGAAAACCAGGCCCTCATCTACCTATTGTTTCCAGGCAAAGTTACACATGCTGATAACCACACAGCTATCTAATTAAGTTAAAAAAAAAAAAAAGAAAAGAAATCTGTGTAATAATCTTAGCATTCAACCACGTCTAGGATTTTCTTATTAACCTAAACTTCATATATAATAGCATCTCTGACGAACTTTTCTGAAAGCCAAATGTAGAGGAATAACTTAGTTTGCATTTTCCATGTTAATCTCACTGTGTGTGTGTGTGTGTGTGTGTGTGTGTGTGTGTGTGTTTAAGACAGATTTTTGCTCTGTCACCCATGCTGGAGTGCAGTGGCATGATCTCGGCTTACTGCAACCTCTGCTCACTGGGTTCAAATGATTCTTGTGACTCAGCCTCCCAAGTAGCTGAGATTACAGGCATGTGCCACCACGCCTGGCTGATTTTTTTATATTTTTAGTAGAGACAGGGTTTTGTCACATTGGCCAGGTTGGTCTCAAACTCCTGGCCTCAAGTGATCCACCCGCCTTAGCCTCTCAAAGTGCTGGGAGTACAGGCATGAGCCACAGTGCGCGGTCAATAATCTCACTCTTTTTAAAGATCATTATTGAGCCAACATTTCTTATCTTTTCTTTACAGTCTATTTTTTTCTACCCTTTAACCAATCTCCAAATTACTCAATAAGAAAGTTCTAAAAGGAACACATATATTACCCTAATTTCTAGAAAAGTCTTGGCAGGATTCCCAAGGTTTAAAAGGTGAGGAGAAATACTGCCTGCATTCCCAAATCACGTAAGTTTGTTAAAAATCACTGTTTATGTACATTCAGTGTCTGATCCCTAGAAACCATTAGATTCTTTCTGTAACAAAGCTGGTTTCTGAAAGAAACACATTCACCAAAAATGAGCTTCTCCTTTACTTTTGGGTTCGTGCTCCATGGGAAGTTCTGAAGATAAGGATGGATTTTGCAGAGATCAAATCAGATGCTTATCAAATATATTCAATGATCTCCTTAGGTACACTGCATTTTGTGAAACTTCAGATCAGTAACTTATTTTTAGGTTTATCACTTCATGTCCTTATAACGCTTGAGTGACAAGGATATATCTCCCCTCAAAATCCTCCTTTTCAAGTTGACAGTCTTAGTTTTGTGTTTCTTTTAATGAGCAAATATGATCTGACTGTGCCAGTTGGCTCATCACATGGATCTTTATTTGATGAGAATTTAATATTTTTCATAGAACAAGTTTTGGCTCAGTCATATTACCAGTAAAAACAAAAAAAAGTCACTAAAAACTCTTGGACTCTTGGAATATAAAAAGTTCTTTGGGAAAGAAATGAAGGTGTACAGGAAAAGGTAAAAAACATTGTCCACTTCTTTCCTCACCTATGTCTTCTGTCTCAGCAAGATGGATATAATTGCCGACATTATTTCTTATAAAGCCACGCATAATCCTATCTCTAACTTCTCCAAATCACTGACACAGAATGTACTTCCTCCTCTTCATCTATCCATAGCCTACGTGGTCCTATGGAGACTCGGAGCCCTTTGGCTCTTTTTTTTTTTTTTTTTTTGAGACAGAGTTTTGTTGCCCAGGCTGGAGTGCAAAGGTGCAATCTCAGCTCACTCCAACCTCTGCCTCCTGGGTTCAAGCGATTCTCCTGCCTTAGCCTCTTGAGTAGCTGGGATTACAGGCACCTGCTACCATACCCAGCTAATTTGTATTTTTAGTAGAGATGGGGTTTCACCATGTTAGCCAGGCTGCTCTCGAACTTCTGACCTCAGGTGATCCACCAACCTTGACCTCCCAAAGTGCTGGGATTACAGGCCCCAGTGAGCCACTGCACCTGGCCCCTTTGGCTCTTAAGGGGCTTGCTTTCCTCTGAACTCATACGTATGTAGGGTTTTTTTTTTTTTTTTGAGACAGAGTCTCGCTCTGTCACCCATGCTGTAGTGCAATGGCGCGATCTCGGCTCACTGAAACCTCTGCCTCCCAGGTTCAAGCAATTCTCCCTGCCTCAGCCTCCTGAGTAGCTGGGATTACAGGCACCCACCAACACGCCCAGCTAATTTTTGTATTTTTTAGTAGAGACGGGGTTTCGCCATGTTGGCCAGGCTAGTCTTGAACTCCTGACCTCAGGTGATCTGCCCACCTTGGCCTCCCAAAGAGTTGGGATTACTTGCGTGAGCCACCGTGCCCGGCCACATATGTGGTTCTTAATTAAGCACAGTATATATGATTATTTTAAATCAGGTATGATTTTTTCTTTTCTTTTTTTTTTTGAGACTGAGTCTTGCTCTGTCGCCCAGGTTGGAGTGCGGCGGCGCGATCTCAGCTCACAGCAAGCTCTGCCTCCCGGGTTCAAGTGATTCTCCTGCCTCAGGCTCCCGAGTAGCGGGTACTACACGCGCACGACACCATGCCTGGCTAATTTTTTGTATTTTAGTAGAGACGAGATTGCACCATATTGCCCAGGTTGGTCTCGAACTCCTGAGCTCAGACAATCCACCCGCCTCAGCCTCCCAAAGTGCCAGGATTACAGGCATGAGCCACCGCATCTGGCTGTATGATCATCTTATATTGAATAATTTTCCTTGTGCATATGTATTTTCTCAATTGCACTGTAAGCTCTTTACGGGTAGAGGCAATATACTGTGCTTCTTTTCATGAACCACAGCGCAGAGTACAAACTGAGCGTTTTGATGAATGAATGAATAAAAGCCCTATTCATGAGTCTCCTGATTATGGTAATCTGAAGATGAAGTATTACTTTTGCTTTAAAAAAAAATCTTGTATCACCGACGGTAATGATACGCCTACTAATTTTATAGCAAATTATGCCTGAATATATCCTCTGTTCCTTTTCTAAAGTAGCTAGACCACCATAGACAATGAATAGAAAATACTATGAATAGAGAAAGACTGCAGCAAGATCTAGACAGTTAACATGAAATACACTTGCGGGTTTGACTGCCACTGCATGTAGTTTGTGCGCTTCTGAAGTTACTTCTTCCAGAGTTAATTTCTGACAAATCAGTAGGATCTCATGGATCCTGTTTTTAATCTCCATCAAGAGAACATCATTTATCCCTTAATTCCTTCATTCTATGAATCATTTCTCCACTCCACTCTCCATGCTTACTGAACAGATATATGCCAGACATTTTTCTAGATATAAAGAGTTTTGAGTAAGACATTTTCTTTCCATGAAAAATTTTTAGTTTAAGAGGGAAAGCAAAATGTAGCTAGATAAATGCAAATAAAGTGTGAACATTATAAACAGGTCCAGTGGGGGGACCCCAAACTATAGCTGCTTGTGGAATGCAGGTACTATTGCTTCCTATTTAGAGAAAATAAAAATTGTCAGCATTAGGGCTGGATGGATAGTGCACTGTGTACAATCAAGTATTCTGTAGGGAATATAGAATACAGGCATATCAACAATGTTCTCTTTGTTTTCAACCATGCACTCTGTAGCACATACCTGGATGTATTCTGTAAGAGAATTGAAAATCTGCTTGGTGACTGCCAGAGCTTTGGAAAAATTGTGCTGTCCAGATTCATCAATGATGTCCTTCCCTGAATAATACCAGTAGAAATCACTGATTGATTCCTAAAAACAAATGAGTAGAGCTTAGTATTTCTCAGACTTCAGTCAGTGAAGCTAAACTCGGTGTTTGGGAAGGGTACATGATAATCCTGCATCTCTATGACCTCTTTGCTCTGACAGGAGCCAGGGACCCTGTGAAGAAGTGCAGAGATACCAGGTCTCTAGGATCTTTCATGCACAAATATCCCTGCAGAGGAAAGAATAGATAGGAGTGAGGACTGCCTTCAGCTGGAACTTGGAGACTATGAAATAGGATAATTTACTCAATGTGAAATATGTGAAGATAATGGTAATTATCCAAATAATCATAGTAACAGCAACAACATAATAGCTAATATTGTAAGTGCCAGACGTTGTTCTGAGTACATTACATATACAGGCATGTAGAGATTCAGAGATAATCCGAGTTTGATTACAGATAAACTACAGTAAAGTGAACATTACAATAAAGTGAGTCATACAAAATGTTGATTTCTCAGCGTACATCAAAGTTATGTTTACAATATGCTGTAGTCTATTAAGTGTGCAATAGCATTATGTCTTTAAAAAACAATGTACGTGCCATCATTAAAAAATACTTTATTGCTAAAAAGTGCTAACAATCACCTGAGCTCTCAGCAAGTTGTAAGTTCCACCATCTTTTTGCTGGTGAAAGGTCTTGCCTTGATGTTGATGGCTACTGACTAAACAGGGTGGTGGCTGCTGAAGGTTGAGGTGGCTGTGGCAATTTCTTGAAATAAGACAGTGTTAACTGCATCAACTGACTTCCTTTCATGAAAGACGCATGTACTGCTTGATAGCATTTTACCCACAGAACTTCTTTCAAAATTGGAGTCAGTCTTCTCAAACCTTGCCACTCCTTATCAACTAAGTTTACAATTTTAAATCCCTTTTTGGCATTTCAACAATGTTTAGAGCATCTTCACCAGGAAGACTCCATCTCAAGAAACCACTTTCTTTGCTCATCCATGAGAGGAAACTCTTCGTTTGTCAAAGTTTGATCATGAGATTGCAGCAATTCAGGTTCATGTTCTTCAGGCTCCACTACTAATTCTAGTTCTCTTGCTATTTCCAACACGTCTGCATTTATTTCCTCCACTGAAGTCTCAAACCCCTCCAAATCACCCACAAGGGTTGCAATCAACTTCCTCAAGTCCTGTTAATGTTGATATTTGACCTTCTCCCATGAATCAAAATTTTTTTTTTTTTTTTTTGAGACAGAGTCTCGCTCTGTTGCCCAGGCTGGAGTGCAGCGGCGCAATCTGGCTCACTGCAAGCTCCGCCTCCCGGGTTCACGCCATTCTCCTGCCTCAGCCTCCCGAGTAGCTGGGACTACAGGCACCCGCCACCATGCCCGGCTAATTTTTTTTTTTGTATTTTTAGTAGAGATGGGGTTTCACCGTGTTAGCCAGGATGGTCTCGATCTCCTGACCTTGTGATCCTCCTGCCTTGGCCTCCCAAAGTCCTAGGATTACAGATGCGAGCCACTGGGCCTGGCCCACAATGTTTTTTAATGACATCTACAATGTTGAATCCTTTCCAGAAGGTTTTCAACTTACCGTGCCCAGATCCATCAGAGGAATCACTATCTGTAGCAGCTGTAGCCTTACGAAATGCATTTCTTAAAAAATAAGACTTGCAAGTCAAAATTACTCCTTGATCCATGGGCTGCAGAATAAATCTTGTATTAGCAGGCATGAAAAAAAGATTCATTTCCTTGTATATCTCCATCAGAGCTCTTGGAACCAGGTGCATAGTCAACAACAGTAATATTTTGAAAGGAATCTTTTTTTTTTTCTGAGCAGTTGGTGTCAACAGTGGGCTTAAAATAGTAAATCATGCTGTAAACAGATGACAATCCAAGCTTTGTTTTTCCATACATAGAGCATGGGCAGAGTAGATTTACCATAATTCTTAAGGGCCCTAGGATTTTTGGAATGGTAAACGAGCAGTGGCTTCAACTTAAAGCTACCAGCTGGGCTGCCCCTAATAAGAAAGTCAGCCTGTCCTTTGAAGCTCTGAAGTGAGGTATTGGCTTGTCCTCTCTAACTATGAAAGTCCTAGATGGTATCTCTCTTCTAGGAGAAGGCTGTTTCATGTACGTGGGAAATCTGTTGTTTAGTGTGACCACCTTCATCAATTATCCTAGATAGATCTTCTGGGTAACTTGCTGCAGCTTCTATATCTGCACTTGCTGCTTTACCTTACACTTTTGTTTTGGAGATGACTTCTTTCCCTAAACCTCATGAACCAAACTCTGCTAGCTTCAAACTGTTCTTTGGCAGCTTCCTTACCTCTCTCAGCCTTCATAGAATTGAAGAGAGTTAGAGCCCTGCTCTAGATTAGATTGTGGCTTATGAGAATGTTGTGGCTGGTTTGACCTTTTATCCAGACCACTCGCACTGTCCCCATTTCAGTAATGAGGGTGTTTTGCTTTCTTATCATTCATATGCTCACTGAGGCAGCCCTTTTAATGTCCTTTAATAACTTTTTCTTTGCATAGCTTGGCTGTTTAGTGCAAGGGGCCTAGCCTTTGGCCTGTCTTAGCTTTCAACATGCCTTCCTTACTAAGCTTAATCATTTCCAGCTTTTGATTTAAAGTGGGAGATGTGTGACTCTTCCTTTCACTTGAACACTTGGAGGCCACTGTAGGGAAATTAACTGACCTAACTTCAATACTGTTATGTCTCAGGGAATAGGAAGGCCTGAGGAGAAGGAGGGAGATGGAGGAACAGTTGGTGGAATGGTGAGAACACATGCAACATTAAGTTTGCTGTCTTACAAGGGCATAGTTCATGGCACCCCAAAACAATTACAATAGTAACATCGAAGATCACTGATCACAGATCACCATAATAGATATAATAGTGAAAAGTTGGAAATATTGTGAGAATCATCAAAATGTGACAGAGACACCAAGTGAGTAAATGCTGTTGGTAAAACGGCACAGATAGACTTGCTTGATGCAGGGTTACCACAAACCTTCGATTTGTAAAACACACAGCATCTGTGAAGCACAATAATACCAACTGCAATAAAATGAGGTATGCCTGTATCCAACCTCTCAATCTTTACTACCACCCTATGGCATAGGTCCTACCCCTTTTACTGATGAAAAAACTGGAACACAGGCACATTAAACATATTGCTCTAGGTTACAAACCAGTAAGTGGCAGAACCAGGATGAGGAATCAGCAAAGAGGAAAAAAATCCCTTTTTGTTAATAGGTTTGTGTAGATTTTTTCAATATAATTTGGGCTTCCTTGAAACAAACCATCTGACTTCTCAACACGAACTTGTAAACTCATCCTATTCCTATCATCTCGTGTAAGTCTTTTTTTCTAGTGAAATCTGTTCTCATTCACAGGTTATTTTAGAGCTCTTGGTTGTGTTATAGCTCTTGGTTGTTTTATAGCAACACAGATTGGTTTTCACTGGCAAAACTAAAGTAAACCAGCATTTCATAACAGACGATTTGGTGTTTAACCACGTCTCCCACTTCTGTCTTCAAATATACTCTTTGGGCACTGGACTTCCCATGCATCTGTGGATACACGTTACAACGCCTTCCTTATAGGGGCTTGACTGTATCCTGGGCTGTCCCTGACCCTGTGTAACTGTGTTTATCTTCTGGAAGCAAAGGTGAGAGGTCCCATTGTCCAAGGCCCTCCCACTCACCTGCAGACGCAGAAGGTAGTCCACAGTGCTGATGATGACATTCACGGTGGTGGTGTTGCCCATCTGAGTCCGCAGGAAGTTCTGAAAGTCTGAGAGCACCAGTGCTGGGTCAGAGCTTGTCCCTGCCATGCCGAGGGGGCCAAGCATGCCCTCTCAGCTGAGCTCAGATAAGACATTCTATGTGAAAAGGCTTACAAGAATACCATGTTTGGGTCATGGCAGATCCTGCAGGGCAGAGCTCTGCTCTGAGCACCCCCCCAACCTGCGGACACCAGAAACTGGACTTAACGAGCCCCAAGGGGCTAGATGGAAAGGGCTGGGTATTTAGATTTCTCATCTGAAGATTCTGGAAGCAGCTTAGCCTTGGTGGCACTAAATATCACTAGCCATGATATTTACATAGTTTCTTATTGAGGAACGCATTAACTGATGTCCTTGAGTTAACAACTAGTTGCATCAAATGGGGCATACTGAACGGAATTCTAGTTTTGCCCGAGTGCTGTGTTTCCTTGGCAGATCAATCTGTTCCACTCACCACTGTTATGTCCCTCACAAAGTAACTGTAGGAATCTAAAGAGATCACGCGTGAACTCGTCATTCTGGAGTACTTTTTCACCTTGAAAACACAGAACGTTGATGAGCATTGGTTTGGCTTCTCACCAGAGAATACTTTCTAATGTAAATGACTACACAGATGATAAAGGAGTTGTGTCAGAATGGTTTGGAAAAGGAACTTTGGATGAATGGTGAAAAGCCCAATTAAACTGAGCTGGGCTGCAAGGCACAATGCCCAATAAATGCATTTGTAATGAAGACAACTGGATAAGGAGAGTAAATGGCTCACGGTCCATAACCCATGCTTTACAGATGGAAGACACTTCTTTAATTAAGTACCAAACTGCTGAGTTCAACTCAACATGCAACTACCAAGCCTAAAATGTTTCTGTGCTGAGGCAATTAAATGAGATCTCCTAGGATTCACACACGGTAGGAACTCAGGCCAGAAACTGAAACTTACCACGTTCCCGAACAATGACTGGTAATGAGAGAAAAACAGAAGAATAGAAAGTAAGAAAACTGTAAACATCATGATAAACTGTCTTTAGTTAAAACTGGCTATGTGAACACATCCATCCTAGATGATAGCTTTATTAAAGCTACCGATGGAAGCATTTTACTGAAACAGAGCAAGTCCTTGCATACTAAGCAAAGACATGAGCTCTGACCAGAAATAGGTAATTAAGATTTTAAATGGCCAGGTGCGGTGGCTCACGCCTGTAATTCCAGCACTATGGGAGGCTAAGGTGGGGTGGATCACCTGAGGTCAGGAGTTCAAGACCAGCCTGGCCAACATGATGAAATGCTGCCTCTACTAAAAATACAAAAAATTAGCTGGCTGTGGTGGTGGGAGCCTGTAATCCCATCTACTCGGGAGGATGAGGCAGGAGAAGTGCTTGAACCCAGGAGACAGAGGTTGCAGTGAGGTGAGATCGCGCCACTGCAGTCCAGCCTGAGCAACAAGAGCGAAACTCTGTATGGGGAAAAAAAAAAAAAAAAAAAAAAAGATTTTAATCAGGAAGAGAATGGCCTTCACATTCATTAGTTACTTACGTGTTCCTTCTTCAGTCACCATCCCCAGGCCTTCAGCTTTATTCTGCCTCTCAAATGCATTCAAATCAAGGACACTTTTAATAGACAGAAAGAAACAAGGTTCAGGGCTACGCACGCTGGGAAAGCAGATTTCTAATGTTAATGTACCTATCGACTAAGCATATCCTGCCCCTGTGTTATCGTAAATAAACTAACACATTCCAGGGTGGTTGCAAGTCTAATGATTCCTTGGTTTTGTGCCGAGCAGTGTTGTCTTAGGTGCCTATAGCTCACAGACTTTGTTACATACAGGTAGAGGGGTCATGAACACTTACGGTGACTCTCATTGTCTGTCCAGTTTGAGTCTTTTGGTGAAGACTCAAGGTCTTCACTTTGATGTGAAGGTTTAGAAAAGTTTTCCAAATAAAGAAGGAATAATCTGTTTTTAAGATTTCTCGAGGGAAAGTTTACTTTAAACAGCACTGATTAATGTTTGCCTCCCACCTTTACCTACTTTCTCTGAGAATCACATGGAATTGTGGTTTCCAGAGCTTAGGATGAGCTACAAACTTCCAGATTTCAAAGGGCCACGCCCTTTTATGATTCTACATCATGCAAAAGCCTATGGAAGCTGAGGTTCCGCTTTCCACAGGGAATGGTGCCTCCAGGTATTCCTGAATTTATGACAAGTTGGCCTTCATTTTTGTCCCTACTCCCCACAACCTTCCTAGTCACAGCCACTGCCAAATTTTACTCAGCCAGGAAGCCATAGTGCAACCACAAAGCTTGCTGATGAGACCACTATATGATCATGTTATTTCTAAGTGGGGCTCATTCCATTTTACTAACGGAGTCTAACTTATTCCCCAATCTGAAAGGTTTCATAGAACATAGAACATAGCTCTTAGGAAAGTTTATGGCTAAGTCCATTAAGACTCTGCAAAACTTAGCTTTCCTTCTACCACGGGGCAAAGGCATGGAGAAAAATCTGGCCTTCCTGTTTTCTTTTTAAGGAGTCACATGTTTTGTGATTTAGGTAAGTTTCATTTACCTAATTTCATCATTTAGGTAAAAATGATTTAGGTAGACAGTGAAATCTCTATTGCCATTTGTTTGTTTTTCCCAGATTCTGCTGGCAAAAGGGCTTGCTCATCAACACAAAACTATCCTTCTACTTTGGTTTAGCCGTCAGGGGAGGAAAACATGGGAAAGAACATTTGGACATAGTTGCTCTGAAGCAGCAGTTTTGAATCTGAATCTATGCAACACACATTTCTGATCCTTACTCACTCCATTCCTAAATACCCATTTTGAATGTTTTAACTTCCCTACTGCTTAAATTTTTAAAAAACATATATTGTTCTTATAATCATAAAAAACCCAGCAGTAAGACATCTTAAAACTTCTGTTAGAACTCAGCTGGCATCTAAGCGTATATCACCTGTCTCTCCAAGCTGTCATTATAAATGAGTTTAGCAATATTAAGTATTACAGGATACTGAGAGAACTGTTAGAAAGTAAATGGATAACTTTATGAGCAATATGGAATTGAGTTGCCTTGATTTTTGCCATCTCTGAGTTCATATGTACTATTTTAGCTTCAGAGAGGCAGGCCTGGAAATATTCCTTTTTGTTTTCCTGAGAGAGATAATAAATGAATAGACTGTTGGTGGGGAAAAGCCCCACAGAGCTGAGACTAAAGAATTATACTGCAGCTCACGTATGCTCCCTACTGCCCAGGGTACGATATTTTACCCAGTGAAATATGGTTAGCAAAAGTATGTAGTCCACCAAGAGAAAGGATGACCATCCTCCACATTTTTAAATGGAAAGCATAATTGGAGGCAAATGAACTAGGTAATTAAAAGTTTAATTTCTTTTAGAATTATCTGCAGACTATCCAAATACATATGAATCTTAGACAATAAGCTGACACTTTTCTTAGATTCTGGCTCATCTCTGAATTCAGCAAGTATCATGACCTATGACTCTGGATTATATATTATTTATGTGTCAGAGCCATTCAGCCATGAGGGGTGGCTTAAACAGCTTAATAATATGAATGGAAAGTTCAAAGCCTTGTTTTTTAGGCTATGTCAAAATGTTCCCATGCCAGGATGTACCGCTGTCAAAATGGATGTGTCAAAATACACACTACCCTAACACATATTCAAGCTCAAAGAATTGTTAAGGACAAAGATTAACAAAGTACCTAGTGGGTTTAATAAAACATAGCCCTGAATCATAGTCAGGAATCCCCCCTTTTCCATTCTTTCCTGGTTTGACTTTTATGGACATACATGTTTGATGAGAAACTCAATGCGCACACTGAGCCTGCTGGGAAAGCAACATAAACGTGGAGGTAAGGAAGGGAGATTAAACACAACAGCAGTGGGGGAGCGTGTGTATGTGGCTAATGGCAATCACATTTTCCCCTCTGAATGTTAGCTGAATTGTCATCCTGAAGGCTGGAGGAACAACACCTACTCTCTTAGCTTTCTAAGTAGGTGCTTCCTCTCTCAAGAATTCTATGGTAGGCCAGTATATTTTGTGCTCCCCTTCCCCTGCCTCCTATGCTTAGAGGGAAGAGTTTTTTAAATGCTATGGTAGTTTTCCCGCATTTACCTGCAAGACTGCATAAGACCAGAAAGGCTTTGAAAGAATCCAGCATCCTTTTTCTCCTTTAGGTAATCTAGCATTTTCTGCAAGGGAGACACGTTGTAAGGGGAAAAGCGATGAAAACTATACCACAGAGCTGACCCTCCTAATCCTGATGGAGAAATCCCCAGCCACACTGAGTTGGACGCTCTGCTTATGGAATCAGAGTCCCATGGGGTAGATCATGTTTATTTTATAAACGCCCACTGGCATTTCTTCTAGGGCAGAATTGACATTCATAGACCTACTGATTGAAGTCCCTTCTATTTGGGAACAAGCACCAAGGCCGTGATATAGTAATGTATCACGAAGCTGAGTTATAATCTGAATAGCTCATGCTATGAATTTGGCACAGAGGAGCAAGGAGCTTAGCCAGTAAGGAGCCTAGCTGAAAGCTCAGTATTTCTTTCACAATGAGGCTTTGTTTCCTGTGTTCTCTTTTACTGGAAGGTAGGAACTTTGTTTGACATAATAAAAATTTTGTTTTTTAAAAAATAAACAAAAGGCCCCATAAGAAAGTCAACTGACATCTCGTGGTAGGTGGTAGAAGGGAACAGAAAGTGAAGGATAACTTAGAAAATGACAGTTTTTAATAAAAAATTGGAGAAACTTTAGGGGGATGAGTTAAAGGCTGGGAAAAGCTATATGCAGTAATGGTGGTTGTGAATCTGGAGACTCTCACAGGCCCTGGGATATAACCCTTATGAATGCCAAGGGTCTGTTTGAAATTTCACTTCCCTGTACACACAGATGCTTTTAACCAGAACCCGGAGTGCCTGAGAAACACCGGTATGTTCCTGTCTTCTGCAGCCTGTTCCAATTCAGATTGTTGAAGAAATACCATGTGTCAGGTACTTGGTTGTATGCTTCTATGTGTTGTCGCATTTAATGCTCACTAGAGTGTAGGCTGCACGATGGCAGGAGTTTTTATTTGTATTATTCACTGCTACACCCTCAGCCCTTGCAGCAGAGCCTGGCATGGTCATCAGTCAGTAAACAGTTGCTCAATGAATGAATGAATGGATGAACGAACGAATAACAGGTTTGTGAGTTTATCAGTTCCACTTAACTGATGAGGCTCCTTGCTCATACTAAAGGCAGCTAATTAGTGAAAATAAAGGGCTAAAGTAAAAACCTAACTCTTAGGAAATTTTTCTGGAGAATATTTATACAGAAAGTTATCTACTGATGAAAAACTAAATGTTTTTATCTTTAATCCTGGATAAAACCTCTTTATTAAAGACACATTTGCCTGCAGATTCCCAGCCATGTTGCGTTCCCAGCTACTCTGATATAACTGGCCACTAAGGACAAACGTGAGCTAAGTGATTCTGGGTGGCTCCCCTCTGTAGCAGTCAACTCCTCTTCCCTGAAGCATGACAGGTGTCAAATGGGAATACCCCGGGAGCCTGCCCAGCCGCTGCAAGTTCCCGTTACCTGTTGCACACCAGCATTGCCTCCGTTCAGAATGGCGATCCCCAGCTTCAGCGTCTCAACCACCATGGGGCTCATCTCACCTGCCATGGTGAAGATTCGATTGAATCACCAAGGAAACAGATGGTAAATCATGCCTCCTGGGCCTTAGCAGGGCTCTTTAATAATGGCTGTATGTCACAGCATGATATCTTTGTGGAAGTTACATAAGCCCATCCAGAAACTAGGGAAATCACCTTTGCTAGCGCTTATCATCTGAAGGACCATCTCTGCAGCACCACGCTCATGCAGCCGAGCTTGCTGATAGAGGGTTTTTTGCTTCTCCATCTCTTTCTCCTGGGGGGAAAAAAAATCACAGGGAAAGATTGGTTCCTACCCAGCACCAGGGAGTTCACCCATAGTGAGGTGAGAGAGAATTTTCCAGTTACCTAAGGAAGGTAACACACATCAACTTGGATAAAGCAGACTTCTGAAGTTTATTTCCAGACACTAGCCAGCTTTCTAAAACTGTCTACCCATCACTCTTATTTTGATGGTACATTTTCCATTTTTTGTACTGATAGAACACACAGTCCATTCCTTTTGGATACCATAATTGTGGGAAGCAACGCAACATTAAAATGTGTTTGTTTTCCATGTTCTGTTACACAGGGAAACCTGCTGAGGGGTCAACTTGAGTATTTCTGGCTGAATGCAGGAAATGCTCAATAGGCTAATGTCAGCACCCACCTCTGAAGGCCTGGCCTATTGGCCTTGGAGGGTGGCTCTATTTTTATTCTTCATGAGAACTTACTTCGAATGTTTTTTCCTTGTCTTCATCTTCTTCTTCATCCTCACCACTTTGACAACTCTGGATTTCATGGAGCAGGGAAGGGAGAAGACAGACAATCAAATTAAAGGGAAATCTAATAAACACAACTCTACAAGGGCAGGGGACAGGACGTAATTCACAGGCACCTCAGGACCTCAGCGTTGTGTAAAGCCAGGAACATTTTGGCCACTGCTGGGCAACATTTCTCCTGTAAATGCCATCTTCGCAGTTACCATAGAGTTCAGAAATGAGAAATGAGAACACAGAGCTCACATCATCAATGGTGACCTAGCTGGTTTAACCACAGACTTGAACTCTTCTACCTTAGTAAGGTTCTGGTGTAAATGGGAGACAGGAATGCAGGGAGCTGCCACTTCCTAGATACAGCCCCAAGGGCATGGCATTAAGATTGGAGACACATCACCTAGGATGTGAATCCTAAAGCGCCTCTTCCCACTGGGGCCCTGTGGTACAGCTAGATCAAGGAATAGGTGCTCCTATACCCCAACACATCCTTTCTGCCTGACATCAAAGTTTCCCTTATTTGCTCAGCATTCCAGAGGTCACCATCTTTCTAGGTGACAAAGAACATTTCTGGTCACACTGCCTCTTCCAGAGCACCGGGAGCTCTCTCTAGTTTCTAACCTTCACCTGTGGATGTGTTTGAACTGTCTGATGTATCCTGAACATTGAGTGAAAACACAAGGGTATTCTGTATGCCTAAGCCCCATTTAGCTGGCTTTAGAAATGTCAGTGTGAACCTATCCACCAGCACCCATTGTTTCTGCAAAGCTTCAAGGTTTCCTTAGGAAGACGGTGAATTGGTTTACTAATATCATCTCTATGGCACATGAATTGTGCAATGCCTGAAACCTATGTCATGACAAAGTCCCAGGCCTGCTATTCAACATGACAATTTTCATGCGCCTAAAGAAATCTAAGGGAAGACAGAAAGACAGAGACAATGGGCAGAAAACCTGGGTGTACCTTGGCCATCATGCTGGAATAGGAGGTGTACAAAGGGTCGTCTTCCAATTTGCTGGAAAGAATGGAGGAAATATTTAGCAGGCTTTTTATTTATTTATTTATTTATTTATTTATTTATTTATTTATTTATTTTTGAGACAGAGTTTTCTCTTGTCCCCTAGGCTGGAGTGCAATGACGCGATCTCGGCTCACTGCAACCTCCGCCTCCTGGATTCAAGTGATTCTCCTACCTCAACCTCCCCAGTAGCTGGGATTACAGGTGCCTGCCACCATGCCCAGCTAACTTTTTTATATTTTTAGTAGAGATGGGGTTTCACCATATTGGCCAGGCTGGTCTCAAACTCCTGACCTCAAGTGATCTGCCTGCCTTGGCCTCCCAAAATGCTGGAATTACAGGCATGAGCCACCATGCCCAGCCTTAGCAGGCTACTCTTTGGACCCCACAATAAAGACTAAGAGTCATATAAATCTCAAATTATAAGTACTAGTGAATTAATTAGAAAATCCCTTCCCCCACTCTGATTCTTAGAAACCACTCTGAAAATGTGAACCAGCAGGGGCTTAACATGGAATTCAGAGATGAAGTTTATAGTTTTAGGCTGTTTAATCTTTAGCTCAGTGTCTGACATTATGAAGAGCAGGCTGTGGCTTGATGTAGTTTCCCTAGACATGTCTTTTTTTCTGGAGACGGAGTTTTGCTCTTGTCGCCCAGGCTGGAGTGCAGTGGTGTGATCTCGGCTCACTGCAACCTCCGCCTCCCGGGTTCAAGCGATTGTCCTGCCTCAGCCTCCTGAGTAGCTGGGATTACATGCGTGCACCACCATGCCCGGCTAATTTTGTAGTTTTAGTAGAGATGGTGTTTCACCATGTCGGTCAGGCTGGCCTCGAACTCCTGCCCTCAGATGGTCCGCCCGCCTTGGCTTCCCAAAGTGCTGGGATTACAGGCGTGAGCCACCACGCCTGGCTCCCTAGACATATCTTGATGGCCAAATATAAGGCAGCAAGGAGGGCTGCTCAAATCTAGCTTCCCTTTTCCACCCACTGCCGTCTGAGAGAAGAAGGTCAGGAGTGGACACAAGTATCCCTGGTGCCTGGGAGAAGCAGGTGAGCTGGTGGTTCTGACCTCCTCTCCGTGAGAGCGTTGCGGCTAAAATAGAGAATGATCTGATGTAGTGGGTCAGGTTGTTTTTCTGTCTCTTCCTCCTCCTCCTCTTCCACCTTTGGAGATTTCTACACAAACCAACACAGATAGGTTTTAGGCATGAATTTAATCTCGTGCCACGTGACTGGCATGCGAACAAAGAGAAGGTAAAGCGCAAGGCACAGAGTGCATCAGACTAAAGCACAAAACAAAACCACTACGTCATGTATTTATTTCAGGATAGAAGCCCTAAAGGTGCGAGGTTTGAGATACATGTGTATATATGTTTGTATATTTTTTATTTTTACAGCCAACCAAAGAAACATTCCAATTTCAGGTTAAAACAAAATAAAAAGCAAAAGGCTGCCCATAAAGGGAATAGCTACAGACTCCAATCAGCTGACCTCTCATGCAAGCTCTGGGCACCCGAGTTCAGGAGGAAAACCCCACAGAGACACCTGAGAGACTGCTCTCTCAGGCCAACAGCTGACATTTCTTTTGAAGGGCTGGGCTGGACATGGAGGTGGGGCAAGAGTTACAAAGCAGTGGGGCCATTTTGGGTCTAATACTATTCTAGATTCAACCCAGCAAAACATCTCTCTTTCCTGACCTAACTCTTGATTCTAAAATTCTTGTTGCTCCTGAGAGCTGCCATCCTGGAGCTGCAGGCCTTGCCCTTCTCCTTTTATCAGGTCTTTTCTTTATCGCTTTTCATGGAAAGAGAAATAACAGCTAATGTCAGAGGTAAAAGTGAATTTTCTAGCAGTGGCAGAGCCAGCAGGGTGGACCGTATTTGGTAAATTGGTGAGAACTACATGGGTTGTATGAATGGTTCAGAAGAAGTAGAGGGCTGAAGTGACGCTCATTGTCAACTTCACACTCATCAAGAAACTGAGAAAACCAACGGAGTGTCTTTCTCACCAACAGGAATATATGGGAAGAATGAAAGACATAAAGACAAAGGGAAAGAAAACAATAGGAAAAGGCTTTAAAAAAGAAGGAAAGAAACAGAGGGTGACAGGGAAAGATAGAAAGTGAAAGACATTTAGAAAAAAGTGACTATCAGAAACACAGGACAAGATGAACGGAGAGAGTGAGTGGTAAGAGAAAAAGGTTCGTGGGAGAAGGAGAAAAAGAACCACAGGGCTGGCCAAAGAGAAGGAGGGTTTATTTTCTCTCTGAACCAGAATGAGGCTCTGTGGCACCTCTGCAGTAAGTTTTCCCCTCTTGTGTCATTTTAAGTGGCTTTAGAGCATGAAGTCTGTTAGAGACAAGGCATGCCAAATTTTCTGAAAGGCCAAATATAGAAATGTAAGATGCAGGAAGGGTATCTAGATGCATCTTCCCCAAAGCAGAACTACAGAGTAGGAACGTGGGGCTTTGGCTGGGGTGGCCTCCTGCAACCAGTGGTGCTCAAAACTTCACTTAGCATGAACCCCCCATGACATGGCGGTGCATTTTAAGAAATATTAGTTGTTAACAGCGACAATGAGGAGGACGATGACAGTATTAGCAACTCCAAGTGAAAATTCATCCTCTGGCTCCTATGACCATTAGCAGGGCCTCCCCTGAGCACTTACACAGTTAGTGCTTTTCAACTGTATACACACGATTCCTTGTGAATGTTTAACTGTTACAACCACACACATGAATTCGAAAATCAAATTCATCCACACTCATATCTGCTCCCAGGGGAGTCAGTACTTACAGCCAAATCCTGTACTAGTTTCTCTTCAAAGGAATACTCCTCTGTTTCTATCCAAAATCTCTGATAGCCATGGAGGAAGAGGTTAATAGAGCGGTGCCTGAGCGGAAGGGGTGAGAGGGAGGTCAAGAGGGATCCATGGAACTTGTTCTTTTAGTTTGGGCAGTTAATGGTTAGTAAGCAGGACAGACTTTTGTACAATTCTTGTCTTCTGATTGGTCAGGGTAGCCAGTAGCATACCACAGAACTCACTTCAAAGAAACCAGAACCCTCTACCATGACGAGTCTTGAATATTAGAGCACCTTCTGAAAATGACAATGGTTAGCAAGACATGGCAGTTATCTGTAATCCTACTCTGTTCTCATAGGCTCTTTATCACATTTCCTCTCCAATGAGAAATCAATCATTAGGCCAAGTAACAGTCCTGAAGTATTTGCTTCATATGGCAATTTAGGTATTCCTTTAGGCTGATCACCCTTCTAGGTAATCCAATCTAAGTCATACCGATGATCAGTGGTTTCATCTTAGAGATACCAAAATACCAAAATGTGGCTTCTTTTCATTCTCCAAGTAACCACAGTGGTAAAGTGCTCCAGCTTTTACTTAGCACGACAAGGTTTAAGCACGTTACGTCGTTGGCATATTTTCTGTGTGCCGCATGGATTCTAGCTATGTCCCTGGTATGTGGGTGCACTGAATAACTGGCATGAGCCACTCCCGATAAGCCAGGATTGACTTCTGGGAATATTAGCCACTGCAAAGCAAAAGCAGCCAAGTGTTTACAAAATGTGAGGACAGTGGTGAGGAGGGAAGGAGAGGGGAGGAAGATAAAAGTCAACACCAGAGCCATTAAACTCCGGTCATGGTTTTCGGTAGGACACAGCCCTTGCCATCTTTCTTCAAGTCTGACCAATCAGAATTCTTCCTAAAAATTGTACAAATTCGTGTTCTTATGGTAACGTTAAATCATGGTCAATAAAGGAGGAGTGTGCAGAGAATGAGCAGGTCTCTCCACAGGTTACATTACCATTAAAATGGGTATAAGCCTGTCATACTGAGTTTTTTCATTAACCTTTTCCAGCCAAACTTGTTGAAAGGTGCTCAGGAAGAAATTATTAATTTTGTGTCTGGAGAGAAGCATACAAGTTTTCTTTTAAAAACTAGCATCAGAGACAGTTTCCCATAATAAAACAAATCCCTTTAGCCCTTTAGTTTGGGAGATTCTGTGCGGTTAGATGATCACAAGGTGGAGAAGAGAAGTTGTCTCCATCATCAGCTTCTCTGTTGTTATGAAATCTACTTACAGTCCTCCATGCTAGAGAGATCACCCATAGCAGCCCCTCTAAAACAACTGAGTTAGGGACGGTCATGCTTCATGAAGGACATAGTGAATTCCTAGACTTACTCTTACCCATACAGAGTAAAACTACTGAAGGTGCAGCCCAGATATGTAAGGATGGTACTAATATCTTCAGTGGATTTAGAAAAAAATGCTTGTTTTTGAGAGATGTAATTTCTGCCTAGCTGTCCTGGTCCCAGAGACATGTGCTTTCGAGCTAGGCTCTTTCGAAGGCCAACTCAGCACAATGTCAGGTAGAAATCTCAATCAGATAGGGAAGGAAACACTTTCTGATGTTTCGACACTTCCAGAAAACAAAGACAAATTCTATGCACTTTTGCTTTTTCTAACGGGCTATGAATTTCACTTTTCTGTTACGACTTCAGCAGCCTTAACGCCCATGACTGCTTGAGCTTTTCATCTTTTCATTCATGAATTCTACTTGATTTGGTGGTGCCTCATTCTCTTCCAAAGATAGTAATCTGTTTCTTGAAAGAGATCTGTTGGAGCAGGTATGTGTCAGAGACTGTGATTCCTTTTTTTTTTTTTTTTGAGACAGAGTCTCGTTCTGTCACCCAGGCTGGAGTGCAGTGGTGTTACCTCTGTTCACTGCAACCTCCGCCTCCCAGGTTCAAGCGATTCTCCTGCTTCAGCCTCCCAAATAGCTGGGATTATAGGCTCCTGCCACCACACCTGGCTGATTTTTTTTTTTTTTTTTTTTGAGACAGAGTCTTGTTCTGTTGCCCAGGCTAGAGTGCAGTAGCGTGATCTCAGCTCACTGTAACCTCCGCCTCCTGGGTTCAAGCAATTCTCCTGCCTCAGCCTCCCAAGTAGCTGGGATTACAGGTGCATGTCACCATGCTTGGCTAAGTTTTTTCTGTATTTTTAATAGAGATGGTTTCACCATGTTGGCCAGGCTGGTCTCAATCTCCTGACCTTAAGTGATCTGCCTGCCTCGGCCTCCCAAAGTGCTAGGATTACAGGAGTGAGCCACTGCGCCCGGCGGAGACCATCATTCTTAACTATCTTCAAAGACCCTAAGAAAGCCCAGGTGGCCAGTTGGCTCAGGACGAGGTTATAGGCTACTCTGGACAAATGATGGCCAAGATCCACAATTTGATGAAAACAAAATGTCAAGCATAGGAATAGTCCTTTATGTGATATTCCAAAGAAACACATTTATTTACATAAGCTTCAGAGTATACTTGTCTAAGTCAGTTTAATTTCCCTGAGCAAGTGAGAATATTCCTACTGATTTGATAAGTCAGTGAAGCAGAGGCTGATATTCAATTACCAGCTTTGTTTATTGACCCAAGACCTGACCATACCTACTCTGCAATAAGTCTGAGGACAGGAATGTCACCACATCACCAAAGACACTGAATCGGTCTGGGTGGTCAACTCTGGGCCAGTCTGTCACTGATACTATTCCCTATGTTGACAAGGATATGTCCCAGACTTTTCAGCAAAAGCTTCAAATACATTTTACTTCAAAGTATAAGCTGAAACACCCGAAGGCATCGTGCCTCTGGCAAGCCTCTTGAGGCATCTGCAGCCTTTCTATATTTTGACAGCTAGTACACTGTGCTAAAAGATTTTCAAGTTACATTTCTGTACCTGCTGAGGAAATGGTAATTTCAGTGTCAAGTTCCTGAGCAGAGAAATACTATTGGAACTGTTGATGGAATTTGGGGTAAAATGTTTCAGAAAACAGTTTCTCTTTTTCCAGAAGTCTTTACATGCTAACCAAGAATCCCACCTCAGCAAAAGTAGTGTACTTCCATATGCTTACTTGGCTGACTTTAGGGTACAAATGGTGAGCCTGACAGGAATGGGCTCTAGAGAATCTCATCTGGTTTCAGTTTTTATGCTTACCTTGATTGTCTTAGCCAGGCCCTTATACTATGCAGACTGCAATAGCTCCATAGGCCAAGGATTCCAATTTCTATTCCTTGGATTAAGAGTGAGAGAGCACAGCTGTGGGAGGATACCTCCATTCCCATCGCTGGCTTACATGCCAGGAAAAAAGACAAAATACTTGCCTGGGCAGGTTGTAGAGAGGGGCCATCCTGAAACAGGCCACCACTGCCCGTTTCCGTTGCTTTGATAACAGTTTGTGCCAGACGGCCTTCTTGGACCTCAAAGGCTGTTCCACCTGAGAAGAGATCACATCGGTTGGTGCACATTAGGCTGATCTTCTGGTGGCAGAAGCTAGTCACCTGTAGCCCAGACTTCTTCATTCTGGAAGAATTTTGGCTTCTCAACTGTAGTTAGCAAAATGCACCCAGGAGCAGATGATTTCAGTTGTGAAAGTCTTAGGTTTTCCTCTTTCTCCCAGTTGCTTTTAGTCATTTATTCCCTAATAGCAGCTTAACTAACAGTAGTGGACTTAAATAGGGCATTTGAGCTAATGGCAAGAATGCACAAAACACTGGCAGGGGAAATAATGGAGAGGTCTCCTATCACAGGGCATCGAGATGGCACGTGGGGGTGATCTGGGATGATCCTTGGTCCTTGTTTTCTCAGTCTTATGAGGGCACTTGTACCTGAATGCTGAGTGTGGAGGGGAGCTTTGTATGGTCCAGGGTGTTTCTGCTTCCCCATTCCTCAGGGCAGATGCTCCTTACCTGTTCCAGGTGGAAGACAGCTGCTGAAATTCTCTGCACACGCTCCACTGTCTTTTCCGGATTGAAAGGTTCTTCACTCTTCAGAACATCCTTGTAGAGGTTCAGTTGCCATTTTACAGCTGGGTCATCAGACTGAAAATTGAAGCATACTCATAAGATGAGGAATTTCCTGTACTTCTTATACTGAAGAAGCCTTTTGGTCCTACCATGGTTCTGTAGGAGTCAAGACTCTCCTTCTATTATCACTTCACTTTCATTTTCTCAATTATCTTCTGGAACACTGTAGATACTGTATAGGAACTTCTCATTCTAACTCCTATGTCTCTTAATGCTTCTGTCATATTTTCTATCTCGTCATCTCTCTGTGTTGCATTTTGGATGATTTCCTTAAAGCACTCTTCTAATTTATAAATTATTGTTTCAGCTATGTGTAGCCTATTTTTAACCCATTTATTAGGTTTTTAATTTCAATGATTATTTTTTATTTTTATAATGACTATGAAGTCTTTTTTCAAACCCATCTCCCCTTCTTTTTAAAAATATAACATCCAATTATTGCTTTATGGGTTCGATTAATTCCTTTATATCTCTTTAAATGTTTTAATTTTATTTACATTTACATCTCTTTCAATTGCTCCTTATGGTTGAATTATTCTCTTTGTTTCCTATGCTGACTCTCTACTAGTAGATTTCCTGATGTGCTTTGTAATCAAAAAAAAATATGAGCTTGTCTTCAGGAGGAATTTTACCTATTGGTATCTCAGCTTGTATTTTAGAAGGTGGAGGCTCTCCAAGTGGTTATTCCACTTGGGTTTCTCTGTGGAATATTTGTGGGTTTTACTGGTTCAAGGCTAACTTTATGGAAGTTTCTTGCTCTGTATTTATGCATAGTGTGGGTAATTAGGTCCCACACTCCTCTTCCTTTACAATGATTAAAAAACCAAGCCCCTAAGATTTTTTTTCTGGCCCTAGAGATTTCTTTTTATTGCCTTTTTTTTCCTAGTATATTTTATCCACCATTCCTATATGTTTGGGGCGGAAAGGAAAGACTTTGTGTGTTGGCTTAGTTCTCCATCTCAGGGCATAATGTATCTGAGGTAAGAGTTGTTCAGATTCACAGGCTTTAAAACATCTCAAATAGCCTTTATCATGAAAATTATATTTTTTTATTGTACCAACTAGAAACAAAATTATTTTGTTTCAAAATCTCTTTAGAGCAGGAAGTGCTAAAACTTCCCCCAGGTGTCCACTGCACTGTTTAACAAGACTTACAGTCAGTAAATTCTGACACCTAAGCTACACGCCACTGCTATGGCCTGACGTTCACATAATGGGAAATGGGAATAGATGCTTTATTGGGTATCCTCTTTGTAATCCTCTTTGTAATAACTAAGAACAAAAATTAAGGGCAAAAACAAACAAACAAACAAACAAACAAACATACATTAAGGGCAGTTTATGTACCAGTACTTTTTTTTTTTTTTGAGACGGAGTCTTGCTCTGTTACCCAGGCTGGAGTGCAGTGGCCTGATCTCGGCTCACCACAACCTCCGTCTCCCAGGTTCACACCATTCTCCTGCCTCTGCCTCAGCCTCCCAAGTAGCTGAGACTACAGGCGCCCGCCACCACGCCCGGCTAACTTTTTGTATTTTTAGTACAGACGGGGTTTCACCGTGTTAGCCAGGATGGTCTCAATCTCCTGACCTCGTGATCCGCCCACCTCGGCCTCCCAAAGTGCTGGGATTACAGGTGTGAGCCACCGCGCCCAGCCATGTACCAGTAAATTTTTAAAAAAAAATTTAAAAAAGAGAGAGCTAGTCCTACCAATTAAACACAAATACCCCCAAACTGTTTTTGGAACACATATAAGAAGCATGAGTAAATGAAGTGAAAAGCTGGAACCCTGCAGCCAGAAGGAAAGCCGGTGTGAGTTCTCACTGCTGTCCTGAGTCATCACCTTTTCCTGCAAGTGCAAGTTGTTCCGCAGATGTTCTCTGACCTCTTCATCTGTGTCCCTCTGTGGAAAGAGATGTCAGATTTTATTCCCGGAGATCACCATGGAACTGTCAAGTAGCATATGGGGATGTATGGAGAGTCAACGCACAGTTTCACTGGGATCTTTATCAGAAGAACAAAAGAAAAAATATTCCGGAGATTTGTCCCAAAGGGCACACACGGACTTCCAAACCAGTTTTAAAGATGAGGGCGTGTTGCCTCCATACACACTGGTTTCTGCGCATCTGCTCCCCGCCCCCCAGGGGAGGAGGACTAACCCTTCAGGGGCTGAATGCTTATCACTGCACCATGTGGATCACACACTCAGCCCAGGCAGACGGGCAGCTTACATGGCTGTATCGCGATTTTGCGAGGGAGATCAGCTCCTGGTCGCCTGGAGTACACATATTCAAACCAATGGGCAGCATTTTCTTGAGTGCAGCCACGATGAGGGAGGTCTGGATGGAATACAAGTCTCCCCGCCGCTTTGTCTTCTTCCGCTCCTGGTCTTGTCCTCCAGACTAGGAGATGATGTTGAAATAAACAGAGAGGGGTTCAGTGATTCTCCCAAAGGAACGGCCTCCTGTCAGAGGCAGCCTGCCTCCTTGTGGCCCTGTCAGTATAGGGTGGGCCTTACTACACTTCAAAGGACAGTGAAAAGAGTGTGTTGAACAAAGACGAATTAGGTAGCCATCAAAGACCAGCCATAACCCTGAGCCTTCTCCTTCTGCGCATGCACACAGAGCCACATAACTAAACACACATCACCGACGCCTATTGCTCACTCAGTTCCGGACTGAACAAGTAAACTGGTGTTCTACAAAAAGAATGATTTGTTAACTGACAAAAATGGCCCCAGAAAAGTTCTGAGAATTCTGATGCTGGGGGATCACTAAAAATATGAAAGAGTATCCAGCACAGAATAATTGCTCTGTGTTTTCAAAGCTGAAGCTGGTGTTTTGGAACACCTCACCATGGCCTCCCGACCATGAGCCAATGCAAATTCTTACAGGAAAAGGAAAATCTAAAGCAGGGCTGCTTTGGAATCCAGCTGAAGGAAAGTTAGGAGAAAAACTGAAGACATGAAAGAAAGGAACTCCTCAGTCCATGGAAGCTCATACCCATCTTTGACTTATACCTTCTCATCCTTTTCAGAGAGAGTTCACTCAGTGAAGTTGCAGGTTTAAGAGAGGAATCCAGGCCAGGTGCGGTGGCGCATGCCTGTAATCCCAGCTACTTGGGAGGCTGAGGCAGGACAATCGCTTGAACCCATGAGACAGAGGTTGCAGCGAGCCGAGATCACGCCATGGCACTACAGCGTGGGTGACAGAGCAAGACTCGGCCTCAACAACAACAACAACAAAACATTAAAAAAAAAAAAAAAAAAGAGAGAGAGGAATCCAATGCACTGGGCTATGACACAATAGCAGCCCCAGGGAACCCACTGAGAACCCTCAGCATCCACGGCACAGGGAAATCACTTGGTGGGTCCAGGTGGGCTCAAGGAAACAAGGCGGTGACTCAGATTTCATGATTCCAGGTTCCAGAGACACAGAGCTGCTCACGTGGTACGTGCTTGCAGGACTGGGCCTCAGTGGGCACTTGCTGGAAGTGGGGAGGGCTGGGTAGCCAGAATCAAGTCAGGGACTCTGGGAAAGAAGCGGTGCTCACCAAAGCTTTACGCTATGAGGTACCATGGAGTGTTTGCAGCAATGAGGGGACAGCACTGTGGTTTATCATGACATACAGATACAGGGCTCTGGAAGCACGCCAGATGCCTCCCCTGGAAGTGGCACGCAAGATCTGGTCCTCCTGGGCTTGGGCAGAATTCATTTTATGGGAAAAGGCTTTTGGAAGAGAAGAGTAGGGTCAGAATTAACAGTGTCTTGGGACTAATCTCTTTAAATTGCTTTCCAAAAGGCGAAAGAGTTTCATAATTATTAATGGACACTCTTAAGAACAGTGTAATTTCTTTCAGCACTTGTGGCGGCTGCAATTTCAGGTGGTTGCATCACAGTATCACAGAAACCACAGCAAAATCCCTGGCCAGCAGAACCCTAGTCTGGCCAAACATTGCCAGAAAATTCTATTGTTGCAGGGGTATCTTGCGTCCAGTGCTCCAAAACACCAGTCAGCCCTTGGACAGCAGTGGGAGGGGCAGTAAGAAATATAAACAGAGGGAAAGAAATGGGGCTAAGAGAAGGAGCCTCCTGGTGTTCCAGAAAACAGCAGGAAGGGAAAGCTGCTTCACACACAGACTGAGCGTGTGCCAACTATCACTGGCTGAGTGCTTGCTGGGCTCCTCACCATTCTACCACCAGGTTTAAAATTCTAAAGGTTGCGACTCAGGGCAAAACTCATTTATAGTCGAAATTACCCTTGAAAATGTTTCAAATCATCCATAAAACATAGAACCTGGTTATATGTATATAAACTATGTGATATCACGTATGTATACATGTAAAATATAAATGGTAATACACAGTATGCAATCGAATAAATATGCTCAAAAGTGTAATTACGTGGATTTGATTACACAATCTAAATTATTTCCTGCTCACTCTCTATTTGATTGGGCCAATCTCATGTCCTTCTAATCATAAATGCTGCATATGCAATATGACTCCAATGTGCCTGCTACTTATATAAAACATTTATGATCCTCCCAAAACCCCTGAAACCAGTCAGTTTTGTAAATGAGAATGGGATTGCTCAGGGAAGTTAAGCAATTTTTCCAAGATCACATAGCAAGTAAGCCTCTGAGCTAACCAGATGCAAGTCTATCTCGCCTGGGCTCCATCTTCCTTTCCTAACTAAGAGCTGCGTGTGCCCTAGTTCCTCCACATCTCCCCTTCTTCACTGCATAGTGTAGAGCAGAGGTTTGGGAGAATGGCAGCCGACACACATTAATTAAGAGGAAGAGAAAATGTTCAGTTATAACCTGAAACTGTAACTGGGAAATTCTCCCAGGGTAGGCTTTGGAAGACTCTCTTTGAATCATGGGAGCCTTATACAGGATGCAGGACACCTACAGTGTGAAAGGGCTGAGACCACTAATAAAAAATAGGACTCTGACCCTGGGTAGCACCACGAGGAGTAGTCCCCTGGGTTCTCAAGCCCTGTCAGTCATCCCTATCTCTGTTAGTGTGGTGGCTGCCGAGAGGGCAGCTGGAGAAGGGAGCAGAGATAGCAAGGAGACCTCGGTTAGGGTGAGGCTTGGCTGGCTTCCCCGGCTTCCCCATTCCAAGGGTGGGTAGGCCTACATTCACTCTTTGACAGGCAGTTGTCTTCCCTGGAGCAGGCCTGGGGGACCTCCAGGCGGGAAAATCCATTCTCTACCACCCCCATGGTGATCACAGTGCAGAGGGGGCCAGAGCCCGGCACCTCTAATACTAGGACAGAAAAGACACGTCATGCATTTGACCTGTACCTTTACTTGCATGGCCTGTGTGGAAAGACAAAAGAAAAGAAACAAGGAGAAGAGTCAGTCAGTAAAAGCAGGGCTCTAAGGCAAAAGGCACCATATGTTAGTTATAGCTTCTTAGCCCCCATTTCTCAGCCAACACAACAGAAACTCAATGGTTCTGGAAGCCAGTTGAGCATAGCATGAAGAGTGAGTGGGAGGTTAGGATGGAAGTTAATTTGGTCAAAGGACTTATACCCAGACCAAACAATCAACCCAGAAGCAGCCTTCTAGAGTGTGTGGCACTCAGACCCGACCCAGGCTGGTCTTTAGATCTAGAGAGTTCTTGTGGGTGGCCAGAACTGAAGTCTTTGCCCCTTCTACCTCCCTCCTTTCACCTGGGTGGGCTATAGACAATCTGTTGTATAACCAAAGAGCAGAGTTTTCTTTCTTCCTTCTACCCACCACATTAGCAACATCTGTGGCTACAGAGAGGGGAGAACTGACCTAAGGGGCAATGCTTGTGCTTATGTTAAAAGAAGGTAGCGTAGGCCACAGTGGCTCATGCCTGTCATCCCAGCACTTTGGGAGGCCGAGGTGGCAAGATCACTTGAAGCTAGGAATTTGAGACCAGCCTGAGCAACATAGCCACTGTCTTTACAAAAAAAAAAAAAAATTCAGCTGGGTGTGGGGTTGTGTGTTATAGTCCCAGCTACTAGGGATGCTGAGGCAGGAGGATCGCTTGAGCTCAAGAGTTCAAGGCTGCAGTGAGCTATGATCACACCAGTGCACTCCAGACTGGGCAACAGAGGGACACCCTGTCTTAAAAAAAAAAAAAGGAAAAAAGAAGATTTATTAACAAAAAGTACTCTAGGAATATCCAAAGTGATTCAGAATCACCAAAAAACCTAAAAGATGGAGCGTTTCCCTTCTTGTGCTACAACCTTTAAACATGCCTTAGGTTGGGGCTACAGATTCTAGTTTTATTTGTTCTGTCACATATTGCTAAGATTAGTTAACTCACTGCAATTTTCTAATGAAATGCTTTTAAAAATTTGGTGGTGGAAACGTTTTATTTTCTTGCGTTTTCTTCCTTTTTTTTTTTCTTAAGAGACAGGGTTTCGCTATGTTGCCCAGGCTCGTATTGAACTCTCGGCCTCAAGTGATCCTCCCTCCTTAGCTTCCTAAAGTACTGGGATTACAGGCACGACACTGGCCCATGTTTTATTTTCTTAATAGAAATGTACAGATTCTTATACCTTCAAAATCATTGCATCTCCCCACGCTTACATCATAAACTATCACCAGTGGTTATCTTATAATGATTAGACAGTTGATTTTGTGTGTAGAACTTAAAAGACAGACACAGGCTTTTGTGGGGTGAGTGACTTTGAGGACACATCACAAGGGGACAGCACAGGGAGAGCTGGTGTCAGACTTCTGGACAAAGGCAAGCCCGGGCCATGGGAAGCTCTTGTCCCACTGAGAAGGTAACCGAAGCAATGACAAGTCAACCCAACATTAGACAGAGAAAAAACAGAAGACTTTCTGTAAGTCGGTCTGAGAATGCGAAGCAAGAGATAGAGTGAGAGAAGGAGGGCAGGAGGGAAGGAAGAAATGGTGGACAGAGGCAGAGGTGGAGAGAAGGGAGGGGAAGGGAGGAGAAAAGGGGAGGGTGAAAGGGGAGGGGGAGAGGAGAAGAAGAGGATGAGTGTGCGTTCCCGTGTGCACATTTATGAGAGAGAGAGACAGAGTATGCACACATGCCTGTGAGTAAACAGCAGAAGTGCAAGAACAAAGGGAATAAAAACAAAAGAGAAGGCCGGGTGTGGTGGCTCAAGCCTGTAATCCCAGCACTTTGGGAGGCCGAGGCGGGCGGATCATGACGTCAGGAGATCGAGACCATCCTGGCTAACACAGTGAAACCCTGTCTCTACTAAAAATACAAAAAATTAGCCGGGCGTGGTGGCGGGCACCTGTAGTCCCAGCTACTTGGGAGGCTGAGGCAGGAGAATGGTGTGAACCAGGGAGGCGGAGCTTGCAGTGAGCCGAGATCGCACCACTGTACTCCAGCCTGGGCGACAGAGCAGGACTCCGTCTCAAAGAAGAAGAAAAAAAAAAAAAAAAGAGAGAGAAAAGTGGTAGGGGAGGGAATGAAAGAGGGAGAATGAGCAAGAAAATTCACTCACACGTGTAAGTGTGAATGCCCTTGAAAAACTCAAAGATAGCTTCAAAAATATTTCCTGTCCTTTTTCGATCCACTGAAATCACACTTCATGGGGTGGAGTGGCTTTGAACAATGAGGCACTCTAATATTTCCTGCATCACGACACTTTTTTGATTTTATTGTTTATAACCTTGGTCAAGGAACTGGCATTTCTTGGGCTGAACACATTCTAACTTACCATTCCCTTCTGAGGAAGCTGCTGTCATTTTTCCAGAAACAAAAAAAGTTTCAAAACAAAAAACACTTGCTCAGCTTAGTTACATTTAGCTTAACATACATTTGCAAACTGGTGTTATATACACAAAATATACAATGAGCTCTCACAAGCAAAATCTGCTTTGACTGCCCCAGAAAAATAGCGTTATCTTTGAACTGACCTTCAACTAATCAAGTAGTAACAGCGTGGCTCACTGTATATTTTCTCCACTTCCTTTCCATTCGCAACGGCATATGTGGTGTGTGTGGCATAGGGCATTCATATACACATACCTCCACAAAGCCTGCCATATGCACTGAGGCTAACTTCATTTTTACAACACCAGAATTCAGTTAAGAGTGGAGATAAAAGCAAGTACAGGTCACTGTTCAGATCAGGTAGTAGAGAGAACATCTAATTGCAGGGAGGCAAAGGCAATAGGGAGTCAACTGATAAGGAAGAATACTCCTGCCCTAACCCCTCAGTATGTAGTTCCACATCCAAAAAATACCAGAAATGGCTAGGAGATATTTCTTATCGGAGGCATGGTATCTTTTTGTCTGAAATAATGCACTGTATTTCTCAAATATTACTCTATCCTAGAGATACTGTTGAAACTGACCTTAAACCAGAACATCTTAGTAGAGCTGGGAGAAGTCAGGAAGTAAGCTCAATCCCATTCTGCAGATTGGTAAATGGGACCCAGAGGAGTTAAGTGAATGATGCAAGGTGTAGCTTTAGCCAACAGCTGGGCCAGGGGCAAGACTTAGCTTCCTTTCGCCTTCTGGTCTATTTACCACTACACAGTGTCTTAACTCAGGCAACAGAACAATATGAACTCTTGTTACCCTGAGGACCATGGCAACTATTATTCAACATCTAGGGAGTGTCCTCTCATCCATTCGTTAAGTTGTAATTTTGACCCTATCCCATGTGGCTCAGAAATACTTGGCATATGACAACAACAGAAATGAAACAAAAGACTTTGCTTCTACAGACTAACCGGACCAGCAAGGAAGAAGACCACTTTCTGAAAATGACCATCCTTTGTCAAGAAACAAACACCCGCTTTTCCTCATTCAGTGATGTGAATGAACAAAATGTCAGGTTAGTTTGTTAGTAGGTGGGTTTTGAAATGCCATTTTCTGCTACCTCATCTTTGTCCAAATGTAAACCCAAGGACCTTGAGCATTCATTCATTACCAGAGGCTTGAGATGTCTTTGCCATTTCTGCTCATCCAGGATCCAAGTCCTGGTATCAGATTCATTTCCATTGCTTTGTGATTGTTCCCTGACAATCCCAATGGATGCTAGCTGGTTCAGTCCTAAGCCATTGAATCTACCCCAATTTGAAGATAAGGCCGGGAGCTGTGGCTCACGCCTGTAATCCCTGCACTCTGGGAGGATGAGGTGGGTGGATCACTTGAGGTCAGGAGTTCGAGACCAGCCTGGCCAACATGGCGAAACTCCATCTCTACTAAAAATACAAAAATTAGCCAGGTGTGGTGGCGTGCGCCTGTAGCTCCAGCTTTTGGGAGGCTGAGGCAGAAGAATTGCTTGAATCTGGGAGGCAGAGCTCACAGAGAGCCGAGATCATGCCACTGCACTCCAGCTGGGCAACAGAGTGAGACTCCATCTCAAAAAATTAAAAAAAAAAGATAGTATGGAATCTGTCTGGGATTTATTGACTTTCTGCAGGTAGATGAGTCAAAGAAGAGGCTGTGATACCTGTAAGAAGACCTGCAGAGGCAACTTAAGATAAGCTAGCTGTCCCCGAAAGGTGGATTTGAAAAAACTCAACCTCGTCTACATCATATGACAGTAGATGTGTTTACCAAAAGACAAATGCAAAATGAATTCTGAAAAATCAAATAAAACTAAAGCACAAAGGATACCTTTGCAGCAAAGATTCCTCATGAATGTGATTGCTCTACTTTGTATGTACGTAATTTTGTTTGTCAAACTTTATCAAGCAATGCATACTAAAAGTGTATACTTAGAGTATACTATAAACTCTAACAGTCAATTTCTATATGTTGGAAGAAATGTGTCAACATAAATAAAAGCAACAGAAAGCTCAGAATGATCGCAGCTGACTAGAGCTAGCTATGCTTGGTGGAGCTCCAGATGCTAAAGTTTTCGCTTTTGGTGTCATACCAGCCCCTTGTCTGCAGCTTATATATGAGACCTCCATCCCAAATGGTTATTTGGAAAGATGCCCAAGGGCTTTGTTACAAACCCATGATTCTCATCTTTCCAGAGCTGACTTTTACTTCTGAGGGTCCCCATGCACACTCCACCCTGATGCTCCTCAAAGGCAGCACTGTACCAGCAATGAGAGAGATGCACATCTCAGGTATTAATGTCACTTATACTTGACATATAAAATCAACCCTCACTGAGGCACATTTCTCAGGGGTACAGAGTCAAGGTAAGTCATAACAGCTGGTAACAAAACATCACATTTAAGTAGGCTTTGCTTTTGTATGTACACTTGAAGGAGTACGTCTGAGAAGTCTCTTAAATCAAAATAATGAAGCCTCAGCGTGCAGAGCCGACGCAAGAGGAGGTGGGAGGCTAACTTGTGCCCCTTGTATTCCTGCTATGCTCCTCTCTATAGGTTAGTCTTTCTTCAGACAGATGTCCGATATGCCTTTTCAAACATTTCCTAAAGGAAATGGACAAATGTTTGGCTTTCTGAGTGCAACTATCATGAAAAAGAAACAGAGGGCATTAAGAGATCAACACAGCTGAAATAAAACAGGTATTGGATATTACAGATAGGAGGAAAACAAGCATGATGTAAGAGTACGTGCTGTCAAAATCTACAAAGCAAGGTAATTTTTTCCTAGCTATCAAAAGGTGGTTCTAGGCATGTGTATTGCTGTATCCTCACTACACAGGAAGAAGTTCTATTTTAAAATCACTAACAGCAGCTTTTGTTTTGGAGACCTCTCAAATGCCTTAGGCAAGTCTTGAAACTTAAGCTTTTTGACATACAAGCAGCTATTTATTCATAAAATGTGATGACCATGCTTATTTGAGAGCAGTTTCTTCTGGCTCGTTCTCAAAGAAACAGCAGCAGAGACTGTTGGTCATGTAGTTTGACCTAAATGCAGTACGGTGTTAATCCCCAGAAAGTATGAAACAGATCCAAGTCATGGCTGAGGTTAGGGTTGAAGAGTTTTTGGAATTGATTTCTAAGGACTTACTTTTGACATCTTGCTTTTGCTGTCTCCAGTTAAAAATGCCAAATTATTAATTTCATTCTGAATCACAAAATTTTGCTCTTCTCTCTTGAAGTTCTAAGTGGGAAAGAATTGAAACAGCAAACATTACAAGAAAGTTCTGTAAACCAAAAATAAGATTCTAAGCTCCCCAAGTAACGGAATAGACCCCTCCTCTCAGCCGAGGTGATTCCAAAGACACGTGAAAAACTAATTCATTCCATTATGGGAAGAGGGGGTCAGGCATGTCTCATTATACCCTCTCCCTTTTAGAGTTTAGGCACATATGACCAGCATCAACATTAAAATAGAGATCTTAAGACAAAATAGACTCTTGGTAGTAATAAGACACCAAATTCCAACCTGACTCTAGTATAGCATCACATGACAGACAGCAGGCCTGGAAGGAAATAAAAATATTTGACCCCAAAATGTATTTATTTGACATTATTTTGAAAGGGCCCTGCAAAGCTGTCTCTGCTGTGGGGAAAATTCACATTCTGTAGAGAATCCCCTTCCCTTTCCTGGTCTTTTCCTGATCTTGAAGAGATTAAATGAGAGTCTAGCACCTTTTAAATGTCTAAATATGAAACATTTGTCACCTGTTGTCTCTATGGGTGGCCACATATGAGACTTCATCTGCATAATAAGAATGTTGGTCTGACAATCCTTTGTCTTAACTCAGACACCGTTTCTATTGATTCCAGGTTTTTAGATAATAACTCTTTCTGATTGACAACTGTCAGTCAGAAAATCTTTGAATCCACCTATGACCTGGACGCCCACTACCTACCCCTGTAAGATGTCCTGCCTTTCTGGGCTAAACCAAGGTATACTTTACATGTATTGATTTATGCCTCTGTCAGTAACTTCTGTCCCACTGAAGTGTATAAAGTCAAGCTGTAACCCAACCACCTTGGGCACATGTTCTCAGGACCTCCTGAGGCAGTGTCATGGGTCGTGGTCCTCACATGTGGCTCAGAATACATTTCTTCGAATATTTTACTGTTGGCTTTTTTTCATCAACAGTTTTCCACGGTCTGCAGCTTTCACAACCATTCTAAACCCAGGGCCCAAATGTGTTCTTACATGAGATTTACACCACAGAATGAAGACTTCTGCCACCATGCGGAAGAGCTGGTCAGAATCAGCATCAGGACTTTTCAGCCAGTTAGATCTGGGTCCAAAAGTAAATAAACAGGCATTTGAAATTCAGTAGAGATTAAAATATTCACACTCTAAAAATTATACCAGCACTGGAGACATACATTTATCCAGATCAAACTGCATTCTCATATGAAAGCAATAATCAGGGAGACTAAATAGCAATATATTCCTTAAACATTCAGATATAGGTACATAATTAGAGTAGATTTCTTGAAAGATCTACAGTAATTATTTCCATTTGCCAAAGGATTCAAGAATTGCCTTAGCAAACTGATGTCAGAAATCGACATTTCAAAATGGTCAAAAGTAGGTTATGTTTTTTCTTTAAACTGATTAGTTGATTAAGGTTAAGCTCTAAGTTTTGGGACATGCTTCCTTTAATATATAAGGCTAGCAAAGGTAGGCAAGTCTTGGTCACTAAGACATCTAACCTGGTCCTGGACACTTGTCATTGTCAAACCTCTGAAATTCTGAGCACTCTCAACAGTTCATGTCCCACCCCTTTTCCTTTAAAGCCAGTTTTATCAATGAAATTTGTAAGATAATATGTTTTTCGCTGTGATTTGAAGTGTATAAGCAGAGATCAATTATCTTCATCTATGCCCTCTAAAATGGTTTGAAGATTCCCTACAAATAAGCATTACTCATAAAACAAAAAAATAGACTGGTTAAGAAATTTTGCAGTAGCACCAAGAAGGTTGAACTGCAGTTTCAGGAATTCAGTCGTTTCTCTAAGCTGTCTTGCCGTGAAGTAGCTTACATATTCAAATTAAATTATATTTCCAAGGGCTGGGTGAGTTGCCATTTTCAAATGTCTACATAGAGTAACTAAACAAACAAACAAAAAACCCCCACTGTTTCTCTGCTCAACGCTTCTGATATCAAATGTGGGGTTTTTCTCACATAAAACAATTCTTCAACTCTTCAGACACTGACTGAATGTCCTACAATTCAAATATGACACTAACTACCTGGATTTAGTGCAGTCCCCACAGGTTAAGGGCTCAGACCCACAAGCCTGCCCCTCACTTCAGATGCCGGTCTCAAGTCCCAGGTTGTGACCTGTACTTCTGACCAACTGGCTATAACCAACCCCTTCATTGGGTTCAATAATTTGCTAGAGCAGCTCACAGAACTCAGGAAAATACTTGATTTACTATTACCAGTTTATTATAAAGGACACAACCAAGGAATAGCCAAATGAAAGAGATGCATAGGGCAAGGTATGGGGGAAGAGGCAGGGAGTTTCCATGCCTTCTCCAGGCACACCACCTTCCCAGTACCTTTGTGTGTTCAGCAACATGGACGTCTCCAAACCCCATAGCTTAGGGTTTTTTTGTGGTGGCTCCATTATATAGGCATGATTGGTGAAACCCCTGGCCATTGGTTATTAAACTCAATATCCAGCCCCTCTCCTCTCCCCAGAGGTTAGGGGAGGGTAAATGGTGGTGGGGCTGAAAGTCCCAACCCTCTAATTGCAGAGTTGGTACATCTGGCAACCAGTCTCCATTCTCCAAGAGTCACCTCATTAGAATAAACTCAGGTATGGTTGAAAGGGGCTTATTATGAATAACAGAAGATGTTCCTTTCATCCCTTTCCCTCAGGAAATTCTATGAGTTTTGGGAGCTCTGTGCCAGGAAGCAGAGATGAAGAGCAAATACATATTTATTATATCGAAATATCACAGTGACACAAGTTAAACTATTGTCTTCCTTTAGTTAAAAAAAAATGCGTCTCAAAATGGTCTAAAAAACCTGATGCCTCTTGCCTCATGTAGGGTAACAGCTACCAAAAGCCAGTTCCCTAAGCCCTAGGACATCAGAATGAATTGTTGTGGGTAGCCTGTACCTCCTACCCATTCATGAGGAGCACCAGGCTAAGAAATGTAGAGACTCATGAGGCCAAGATCACTTTGGGATCCTTCTCTTATCTCCTGAATTCCTTACTGCCCTTGGTTCCAGTCTCAGGGACATTCTTATCTAATCTCTCGTTTTCAGATTCAAGCAGCCTCTCCTTCATATAGCTGACATTACTGGTTGTCTACTCAATATTCATTCTCCTCTTCTTCCATAGTAACAAACCCCATTTTGTTCAGGGTGGAACTATGCCCTGCTAAAGATCACATTACCCAGCTTCCCTTTAACTATAGCTATGTAACTAAGTTCTGATCAATAAGATGAATGTAGAAGTTGTTGGATGGGCCTCCTGGAAATAAACCTCTAAGAAGGGATCAGATAGCTGAAGGTGTCTTTTTGCCTTTCTCCTGCTGATTTCCTACTTCCTGTCTGGAATGAAAATATGATGGCTGGAACTCTAATTGGCTTATTATATCATAAAGTAACTTCAAAGATGGAAGGCAATGTTGAGAATATAAAGACAAAGGAATGAGGCTGGGCATGGTGGCTCACACCTGTAATCCCAGCACTTTGGGAGGCCGAGACAGGTGGATCACTTGAGGTCAGGAGTTTGAGACCAGCCTGGCCAATGTGGTGAAACCCTGTGTCTACTAAAAAAATACAAAAATTAGCTTTGCATGGTGGTGGGCACCTATAATCCCAGCTACTTGGGAGGCTGAGGCAGGAGAACCGCTTGAGCCTGGGAGGCGGAGGTTGCAGTGAGCACCGAGATTGTGCCATTGCATTCCAGCCTGGGCCACAGAGCAAGACTCCATCTCAAAAAAAATAAATAAATAAAAGACAGACAGACAAAGGCATGAGGCTTTCTAACGAGGAACAATACTGGCCCTAGCTCAACTATCTTTGGACTTCTTTTCCGTGTGAGACTAAATTTCTCATTTGTTTAAGCCACTATAGCCAATTCTCCACTACTAGCAGCCAAATGCAATTCAAACTTGAGGCTTGAGGTTGGCAATGCTTTCTGATTTCTTTCCTATTGATTTTTCAGGGTCAAATGTCAAATTTTATCACAACTACCAGCTGTTCATTCCTTAGTGTTTTGGTTTAAATGAGCTTGATAGGTTTTCCAGATGCCTTCAGTGGGAAAAGATGAGGATCATATCCTATCTAGCCAAGGAACAAAACAGCCACAGGGACTGTGAGTAGCAAGAGCATCAGGAACAAAATCTTGGGTAACGTTTCTTGGTGGGAGAAGGAAGAGGATTTTCATCTTGTTGCCTTCGTGTGAGAATGCGGTTTCAGCTGAACATATTTTTCTTTGGCCACCCCTCTTCTAAGAGGCAGACATTTGCTCTTTATCTCTAGTGAGGTTCATTCTTCAAGCTCAGAGTGGTAAGTGCAATGAAAAACATCTCATTAAAGGTTTTCCCCTAGGCACACAAGTCAAGGAAGGTATTTGTGGGAGAATGGAAGATCCTCACCTAGCTTTTCACATTCGCTCATACCCTCTCTGCCCCCAATTAATGCAACAAGGTGCTTCTCCTGCTTGCTCCCAGTCTCCTATGGGATTCACCATCTCTGTCAATATTTAGTCGCTTGATTTTCTTGTAGATACCTAGCTGATCTGTGGGTCTCTTTTATCATCTGCAGTGCTTGCTGCCAAAAGGCAGTTGGAAAACTCAAGGCTGTAGGCAGAGAAGAAGGTTGGGTTTAGAGGTAACCATGAGAGATTCTGCCATATGGAGGAGATGGCACGTCACTCAAATAAGGCACATTGTCCTCATTAAGTAATTTCTCATCCCTCAGCTCCATCCAACCCTTCCGAATCTCCAATGTCTATTATTCTACAGTCTAGGTCCATGTGGACACATTATTTAGCTCCCACTAAGTGAGAACATGTGGTATTCGAGTTTCTGTTTCTGAGTTGTCTCATTTAAGATAATGGCCTCCAATCCATGCACGTTGCTATAAAAGACACGATTTTGTCCTTTTAATCACTAAAGAGTATTCCACTGTGTGTGTATATATGTATCCCACTTTTTAAAAATGCAGGCATCCATTGATAGATGCTTGGGTTGATGGCATATCTTTGCTGTTGTGAATAGTGCTGCAATAAACATATGAGTGCAAGTATCTTCTTGATATAATAATTCCATTTCCTTTGGGTAGATGCTTAGCAGTGAGATTGCTGGATTGAATAGTAGGTCTATTTTTAGTTCTTTGAGAAATTTCCATACTGTTTTCCAGGGAGGTTGTATTGGGTGATGGTCATGCTAAAAGTCCAGACTTTGCCACTAAACAATGTACCTATGTAACAAAACTGTACTTGTAACCCTTAAATTTATAACAACAACCAAAAGAGCAGCAGCAACCCAAGTGGATGAAATAACTGAGCACAGTCACAGGAAAAACAAGAAGCATAAGAACAGAATCCTGGGGGGTGGCAGAAGGAAGGAGATTCAGACTTCCATTTTCAAAAAGACAAATGGGGCTGGTCGCGGTGGCTCACGCCTGTAATCCCAGCACTTTGGGAGGCCAAGGTGGGTGAATCGCCTCATGTCAGGACTTCAAGACCAGCTTGACCAACATGGTGAAACCCCGTCTCTACTAAAAATACAAAATTAGCCGGGCGTAGTGGCGCATGCCTGTAATCCCAGCTACTCGGGAGGCTGAGGCAGGAGAATCACTTGAACCCAGGAGGTGTAGGTTGCAGTGAGCAGAGATCGCGCCACTGCACTCCAGCCTGGGCGACAGAGCGAGACTTTGTCCTAAAAACAAAAACAAAAACAAAAACAAAACAAAACAAAACAAAAAACGACAAATGATCAGGTTTTGAAAGAAAAGGAAGCCACGCTCCTGTGTCAACTTTGGAGGTAAGAGCTTTTTTCAGCTTTGTTCCAAAGCCTCCCCTAGAGGACCAAGCCTGAGGCAGTTGCTGCATGGGATTTACCCTAACTCCCTTCAACAGTTTGAGAGATAGGTTTTCACCAAAAATCTCACTATTTAAAGTTCAATGCTAAGTTCCAAATATTTCTGACTCCTAGGAAGGAGGCTAAGAAGCCGATTGCCTTTTAGAAAGAGAGACTTGTTTAGGTCGGGTGCGGTGGCTCATGCCTGTAATCCCAGCACTTTGGGAGGCAGAGGCAGGCAGATCACCTGAGGTCACGAGTTCGAGACCAGCCTGGCCAACATGGTGAAACCCTGTCTCTACCAAAAATACAAAAAAATTAGCCAGGCGTCGTGGTGCATACCTGTAATCTCAGCACTTTGGGAGGCCAAGGTGGGTGGATCAGCTGAGGTCAGGACTTCAAGACCAGCCTGACCAACACGGCGAAACCCTGTCTCTACTAAAAATACAAAATTAGCCAGGCGTAGTGGCGCATGTGTGTAATCCCAGCTACTTGGGAGGCTGAGGCAGGAGAATCGCTTGAACCCAGGAGGCAGAGGTTACAGTGAGCCAAGATCATGCCACTGCACTCTAGCCTGGCTGGCTGGGCAACAGAGTGAGACTCTGTCTCACAAAAAAAAAAAAAAAAAAAAAAGAAAAGAAAAAGACTTGTTTAATACTTCTTGATTTTTATCTCCTGGCATGCGGAAACGAAGCACTTATGTGTCCCCCACTGAGCACACCACAGCTGGTTCTTGCTTATTCTGGGTCAACTTCAGGTTGGACACTGACCAACAGAAGCCGCTCTTCAGAAGAGTATTCCAGACACAGAAGAAACTTTACACACTGCTGTGGCAGGGCAGAAAACAGTACAAAGGTTTAATATGATGAGAAAAACCAGGGAAGAGGAAAGCCCAAGATGGCTCTGTTACATATTTAAAGAGCTGCCACAAGAGGGATTAGAGTAATTTTGTGTGGTTCTGGAGAGTAAAATTAGAGCTGATAGGTAGGAGTTATCCTTTGAGCTCAAATGGTTTGAACGGTCTGAAACCAGAATGGGATTGCATGCATGGCAATGCTGTCCCTGTTGTCTTTTGCTCCCCACTTTTCCCAATAACCAGAGGCAGAAAGTCACGATAGGAAAAAGGAACGGGTATTTCTCCATCCACTGGGAGGTAAGATGAGGTGACCTCTAACAACCCTGCCAAGGCCACAATTCCATAATTCAAAGCCAGCTAATTTTTTGGATGAAGAGAGGACCTGAAGAAACTAAAGGCACTCATGTTGGAAGCCTGTATTTCTCAGCACAGCTCATATGACCGTAATGCTCTGGGAAGAACAGATTGAAAAGTGGGGATGAATGAATTAATGATGATCTCAAAGACTCTCTGACATTGCCATTTTTAGCAACTGTCAAACACCGCATAAGTACAACATACTCTGTCTTGAGTCTTGATCGTCAATAGTGACAAATGCAATTAAAGAGCTATTCCAGGAGCAACCTTACTCTACTTTTATTTTTCACTTCAAACTCTGGCGATTTCCTTCTCTACACTGCTAACGTTATTATGATATGGGAAATGACTAAAATGATGACCCTCAAAAAAGCAGGGATTTTTGTGTGTGAAAATGAGTACAATTTCCCATAGATAGGTAAGGAAAGAAAAGATTTTATATATATATATATTTTTATATATATAAACATATATAAAAATATATATATATAAAAATATATATATAAAAAATCTTTTCTTTCCTTACCTATCTATGGGAAATTGTACTCATTTTCACATAAATATATATTTATATATATTTATATATAATGTATATTTGTGTATAATATATATTTATATATAATGTATATTTGTATATATTATATATTATATATTTATGTATATTATATATAAATATATATTTATGTATATTATATTTATATAATATATATTATGTATATATTTATATATATTTATTTATGTATATATTTATATATATGTATTTATGTATATATTTATATATAATATATATTTATGTGTATTATATGTATTTATATATTTATTTATATATACATTTACATAAATAAATAAATATATATTTATATATGTATATATATAGAGTGTGTGTGTGTGTAAGGTGTTGTGTGTAAAGTGTTTCTATTGGAATGCTAAATATAAGTAATCTTAATTAGGTTATTTTAAATAGTAACTACAATTTACCTTATAAAATAATGCTAAAATGAGTATATCTAGGCCCATTTCTTGCCCATGGCAGAATGGGTTACCACTCAAAAAGTTACCAATGTTCCCCCAAATAGTCCTGCATCCCTTCAATATCTATAATGGGTACCTTAAAATTAAACATTTTCAAATTTGTATTTTAGGGCCTTAAACTTTAGAAGGGTATGGTATAATAAAAATATGTATTAGTCTTTGCCCCTGTTTCCAGGCACAGAGCTACTAGAACTTGTGGAATTTCCTGAGTAATAGGAGTTTTTTTTATTATATATAACGAGCCCCTTTGACCATACCTGGGTTTATGCTAATGAAGTGACCCTTGAATGGGGAAGGGCTAGGTAGCTTCAGGATGGCCCTGGTTACCAGAAAGACCAAGCACATGGTAAGAGGGTTGGAACTTTCAGCCTCACTCCCTACCTCTGGGGAGACAGGAGGTGCTGAAGATTGAGTTCAGTCTAAATCACCAATGGCCAGTGATTTATCAATGAAACTTACACAAAAGCTCGTATGAGATGCAGGGAGCCTACAGGTTGGTAAACACATTGATGGGCAGGGAGGGTGGTGTGTGCCAGGGTGGACACAGAGGTTCTGCACTCCCCTACACCCATACATTTCCCTATGCGTCTTTTCCATTTGAATGTTCCTGAGTTGATTCTTTTCTAATAAGCCTGTAATTATTAATGCGCTTTCCTGAGTTCTATAAGCTATTCCAGTGAATTATCAAATCTGAGTGAATTATCAAGCCAGGTCATGAGAACCATGGAATTTGCAGTTCGCTGGGCAGAAGTGTGAGCAGCCTAGGCAACTCATTTGTGGCTGGTGTCTGAGGCAGGAACAGTCTTGCAAAACTGAGCCATTGACCTGTGGGATCTGCACTAACTCTGCGTAGTTACTGTCAGAATTAAATTGGATTGTTGGATACCCAATTGGTGTTGGAGAACTGGAGAATGGACTTGGACAACTGACACATATTTGGTTACAGGGAAAAATGCAACAAAACCCACAAATAGGGTAAGGGTCATACCCTAAGATACAATGAAAATGTCTGTGTTCACCCTATCAATAGCTTTATGATTTTATAGACTTACATTCCCACAAGCCTTCACATTTCTCATATAATTGTTGTTTATTTATTTTCACTCAGCTAAATTTTGTGCACCAAACGAACATTGGGGAAAGAGTGAATTACATTAAAAATTTCTCCTATGACATGAATTAATTTGCCTAATTATGACATTAGAGACTTTCAACCTTTGAAGTTCTGTAGAATAGAAGCGATGATGGTGAACTGGGACACACAGCCTGTCCAGCACAGCATATGGCCACCACCCCAGGGGACTGACTGATGGGAGAGAAGGGAAGGTGCACAGAGTCAGTGTGAAGGGCTGAAGGCAAGGGATAGAGAAAGAATGAGGATTCTGGGTGCCCCTCCTGAAGGACTCGGGTTGGGGGAGAGGCCTTGAGAGAAGGGAGCAGCAGGTTTGGGTAAGTTCATTATATTGTGCTCTTTTCCACCTCTCCTCTCTAAATGGTGCTCAGATATCAGAACAGAGACACACACCATGAAGTGTCTCCGAAAGTCTCCAGTTTTGAATTTCATCTCATACCAAGGTGTCCACTAATCTGAGCCATTCCCCTTCCTTTATCCATGCTTTTAGCACATATCTCACTGATATTCTCAACATGTCACCAGTCTTCATTCTCAGTGACTTCAATATATGTGTTTATGATTTTCCAGCTCCATGGCCTTTCAGTCTGTTGATTTCTTCTCTAAGGGTTCTTGCTTTCCACTTGCCTCAGTATGCAATCCCATGGTCATTACTAGTAACTGCAACCTCCCCTAATCCCCTAATCTTAAATCCATGCATTTCACTTCTCTGTCCACTACCTTCCTCCTATCTAGTACCCACTCTCCAACAATCCTTTGATCCTTTGTCTGTTCAAGCACATTAGGCTTTCTATTTTCTGTCCTCCTCTTCATCCAGCTTAAATTCCATGGTAAATCTTTATAATTACCTCCTTACATATACCCTTAACTCCCTAGCCTGTTTTTGTTATACTCACTTTGCAAAACCTCACCTCTCATTAAATGCAACTTCCTTCCTATTCTTGGTTGATATCTGACAGCTGAATTTGGCTGGAGAAAAAGACAATGTGCTGATGGGTCTTACTGTAAATTCATGACCAGAGATCTCTTAATGCTACCGGGTAATCACCCCGCATCTCCCTGGTGCATCTATTCTTCCACTCTCCCTGGGAACCACCCCTCATACCTTCTCTTTACTCTTCAAACCTCTAGGCACCTTTCCCCATCTTCATTCCCAACTGATGATCTTGCTTCCTACTTCACTGAGAAAATAAAAGCAATCAGAAAAGGACCCCAAAAGACCTCTCTCTCCCTCTCTCTCTCCGAATGTAGGGGTGTGTGTGTGTGTGTGTGTGTCACACACAGTCTCTGCCCTCCTGTCTGTTGCTGGGGATGAATTTCCTGAGGCTGACCTTTCGCCTGCTCAAGGGCATTGCCTTAGAAATTGTCTCTCTCTTACATGTTCATAGCCCCCATCTCTATTGGATCCTTCCCATTGGTGAAGAAACAACCTGACAAGTTTCCTATGTTAACAACTCCTCTCTTGGCCACATTTCTGCTTCTAGCTAGCGTCCCATTTCTCTGTTCTCCTTTAGAGTAAAACTTGAACAAGTTGCCTGTATTGCCAGATCCAAGTCCTTTTCTCTCATTCTTTTAACCCATTCCAAAGAGGCTTTTTATCTTCAATACTTCATAGACACTGCTCTTGTCAAGGTCACCAATAACTAATGAGCTGCTTAATATAATGCCCAGTCTCAGTTCTCATCTTATTTACCAGCAGCATTTGAAACAGTTGGTCATTCTTTCCTTCTGGAAACTCTTTGTGAAGTTGGCACTCAGGATACAACATTCTGTTGGCTTTCCTACTGTCTCGTTGGTTTCTCCCTCTCAGTCTCATTTGCTGTTCCTCTTCTTCTACCTGACCTCTTAGTACTGAGGAACTCTTCTGTCTCTTCCTCAATCCTTTACTTATCTCATCTAGTCTCACAGTCCTTAAATGTGTCGATTACTCCCAAATTCATATGTCTACACCAGACCTCTCCCTTGAACTCTGAATCTTATATGCAATTGTCCATTCAACATTTTCACTTTTCTATTGAATAGGCAACTAAATTTCAACACGTCTGAAAGTGATCTCCTGATCTTCCCCTCAACAACCTCACTCCAACCTTGGCCAAATCTGATGTATCCACAGTCTTCCTCAATTGCTAAAAAGGCCATTCTTCCATGTACTCAGGCAAAATTCCTGGAATCATTTTTGACTCCTCTCTTTTCTCTCATTCCCAATTTGGAAATTCCAAGGGCTCTACCTTCAAAACAGACCCAGAATCTGATAACTTCTGGCAACCTTCACTGCTACCATCTTGGCCTCAGCCACCATCAACTTACAGAAAAACAAACAAACAAACAAACAAACAAACAAAAGGGCTGGGCAAGGTGGCTCACGCCTGTAATCCCAGCACTTTGGGAGGTCGAGGTGGGTGGATCACGAGGTCAGGAGATTGAGACCATCCTGGCTAACATGGTGAAACCCTGTCTCTACTAAAAAATACAATAAAAATTAGCTGGGCGTGGTGGTGTGCGCCTGTAGTCCCAGCTACTCAGAAGGTTGAGGAGGAGAATGGCGTGAACCTGGGAGGCGGAGCTTGTAGTGAGCCGAGATCGCACCACTGCACTCCAGCCTGGGTGACAGAGTGAGACTCTGTCTCAAAAAAAAAAAAAAAAAAAAAAAGAAGGCCAGGCGTGGTGGCTCACGCCTGTAATCTGTAATCCCAACAGTTTGGGGAAGCCGAGGCAGGCGGATTGCTTGAGCTCAGGACTTTGAAACCACCCTGGGCAACATGGTAAAACCCCATCTCTACTAAAATACCAAACAATTAGCCAGGCATGGTGGCCTGCGCCTGTAATCCCAGCTACTCACGAGGCTGAGGTGGGAGAATCGCATGAGCCCAGGAGGCGGAGCTTGCAGTGAGCCGAGATTGCGCCACTGCACTCCAGCCTGGGTGACGAAGTGAGACTCCGTCTCAAAAAAAAAAAAAAAAAAAAAAAAAAAAAAAAAATATATATATATATATATATATATATATATATATAAAATAAAACCTGGTAACATGCATATAACATAAAATTTGCAATCAGCGATGTTTAGTACATTCACGATGTTGTGAAACTACAATCATCCAGTTCCACGATGTTTTCATCACCCCAAAAGGAAAGCCCAGTGCTTAAAAAAAAGCATAAAGCAGTCCCTCCCCATCACTCTCTCCCACCCCTGACACTGCTAATCCACTTTCAGTTTCTATGGATCACATTCCACTCTTGCCTGGATCATGGAGAACCTCCCACTGGTCTTCTTCCTTCCCTGCTGCCTCCACCTCTTGCTACAGTGCTCAAAGAGTGAATCAGATCACATTACAGACTCCCTCAGAATCTCCAGGGGCTTGTTATCTGACTCAGAGTAAAAGTCAGAGTCCTCACAGTGGCGTCCTAGGCCTGGACTCTCGGCCCCGTGTTGCCTCTCTGACATCTTCTACTGCTCTTCCCCACCCCTCCCTCTGCTTCAGCTACACTGGCCTCCTTTTGGTCCCTTGAACATCCCAAACGCACTTTTTTCTTGGTGCCTGCACCAGACGTTTCCTCTTCCTGCAACACCCCCGCCCCAGATCTTTCTGGTTCCAAACGTTACTGACTTCAGGTCTTTGCTCAAATGTTGATTTCTCAGTAACATTCTATCTAAAAACACAACTCCACCCCACCCTGACCCTCCTAATTCCCCTTACCCCGCTCTATATAATTTACTTATATGGGTTGTTTATTGTTTATGCACCTCTCCTAGCCCCAGAAAGAAATCTCCCTAGGCCAGAGAGCTTGTCTTTTCTGTTCACTCCTATCGCTTAAAGCCTAGAAGAGCGCTTAACACACAGTCAGGCAGTATTGGTTGAAGGAATACGTTAGTGAACAGCAGAGGGGCAGAAGTGGGTCACTGCTACCTTTATTTGACCAACTTCCTCTGACCTGTGGTAGCCCGTAAGGATGGAGGAGATGGCCATGTCACAGACCATACAGAATCATTGCTCCAGGAAAGCAATGCCCAGAGCTCCTACAGCAGGAACCATTGGTGTTGGGAAGGAGAATGGTGGGGGCGGCTATCGCCTCCTTTATCTCACTGTTAACAACCCAACACCATCTTTCCATTTTATTCTGTTGCCTAAACTAGCCCCACAGAGGGGCAGACAGGCTCCTAGTGCTCTCCTCCGTACCTGTTGTTGTCCACGTAGCGGATCAGCATGGGGTAGAAGGCATAGAGATCTCTGCAGAGGACCGCGAACTCGTCCAGGATGAGGAGTTCTGCCTCCTGGGTGTCCCCTTTGCCATCGGCTTTCAACTGCTCCTCCTCCTGCACCGTCTTGACAGCCTTTTTCTTCAGCTTCTCCAGAGTTGGGATGAAGTGGCTTCTCAGCAGGTCGGGCCTGGCTTTGCTGATGATGGGCTGTGCATACACTGCGTTTACAAAGAGCCTCCCCGTCATTTCACGTATTATGGCAATTGATGAAAATGAAAGACATGACTGAAAGGTGAGGCCGTGGAATCCCATCGACTCAGGATGGCACCTGCCCCTTGTTCCCTTCCTCAATCTTCCCCTTGATACTTCCCTCTCATAGAGTCACCTTGAGGGATGGGGAACCGAGGCCACTATGGGAGAAGGTCCATATTCCTGCTCTGCTCTTCCAGGCCATGAGGAGCCCCTGCCTCCCTCGAACCTCTCATGCACACATGGCCTATGCCACACCCCTTAGCTCTTCGTGACAGACTATTTTGTATTATTTTATAGTCCATTCTTTTTGCTTTCGGCTCACTAGCAGATTGTAAACTTCCTGAAGGAAGGCTTTTATTAACAGCAAGTACTGCACTAACAGCGGGCACTCAGTATATGCTTTCTGGTTATTTTACAGAACAATCTGTTGTTAAAAGCACATTAACCCGACTACCATCCTCAGCCTCAACACTTGAAACCTGCCAACCTATTGCCTGGAGACTCCTCTGGGCTCTGAGGGAGGGATATAAGTCTGGTATCAATTACAAATGAACAAAAAGAGGCTGGGGTGATCACTAGAAGTTGAAAAGCAGAAACAAGCAATCAGAGAAAGAGCAATATGCCTTTCCATTGTTTTTGTTTGTTTGTTTTTGTTTTTTTTTTTTAAAGACCAGAGTAATTGTAAGAAAAAAATGAGTGAGTGAGAGTTGTGAACCACTGACAATCTACATTCACCTTTTCAAAGTGTCTTTAGCTTAAGGCATTTCAGCTGGAAACAGCTTGCATTCCAGCAATTTTCTTCAAAATATCACTTTATATTTTACTTTTATAAAACAGATACTTTTAGAAAGAGAAGGTTAATGGCACTCTCTGCATTCACCAAGAAGTTGTGACTTCTTAGCCTTCTTCAATGAGCAACTCTGCTTTAGATATGTAATTGGAATGGCTACATCTTATGTGGGTGATTTGGGGTTACTACTTAAAATTGACTTTGTTTAGTCACCAAGAAGTAAGTAGCCTGTCTGAATGAAGTCTAGATTCACCTGTGGAATAACAGGCCGAACTTCAGTTTCCATCAGTGGCCTTCACGTTGTGACACTTTCCCTCTGCGCACCTCTAGGGAGGTAAGGGAGGAGATTTTTTTGAAACCTTTCCTTCCCTTAATTCAGATTTACCAAGTAAAACTCATTGAAAAATTACCTTATGGTTAACAATATTTTAGGGCTAATGGGTAATAGAGGAACACCAATTAGCACCCAAGATATTTATAATTTTGATCTTAGTTCATCTGTGAGACAGGAAGAAGCAGTAACTTTTCTTCCTTGGTCCTGCAGAAGGACACTGATTCCTTTGTCCAGGAAAGTAAATACCAGTGTTGGATTAATAGTTCCCTTTAGCTTAGCCATTGTTTTCATGTCCAGGAGATTATATGGGTAAAGATGTTACTGGTGGACTCCACTACCTAAATCATAGGTCCATCAAAAGCAGTAATTTTGCCTTAGCTTCTATCTCCTTGGACTGTAGTTTGACACAGAGGACACAAAATATTTGTGGTTTCCTGACTGTGGAAAGTATAGTTATTGATTTTCCAAGCCTGTCCTTTTTTTGAAGTTGCTTCAGGAAGAGAAAATTGGCTAATAGCATTCATTGAGAGCTGGCTGTGTGCAAGTAACTTTGGAGGGATACAAAAGAAAAAAAAAAAACAACAAAGTGCCACTACCGTGAGCCCGCATGAGACAGTGTCTTAGAAAGCACAGAGTGAAATACAAATGCAGAGTGACAGTAAGGAACTTATAGTGTAGGTCAGATGGCAGTGAGTTTTATACAAGTGGAAAACACACAGGATTACTTACCAGGAAAATTCTGGACAATTATTACTGTAAGAGCTAATGGGATTCTTGAGTACCAAAATCAAATAAAGCAATGCTCATTGGATTTGAGTGGAGTTGATTAAGAAGGGCTTCCTGGAGAGTTGAGGGGCCTGGATGAGTAGGGGAGTGGGCCGGGAGCATTGGCTCCAGGAAGCTCTTCAGGGGAATATGTCAATTCTTTTTACTGTTAAGCAACTGGGGTGGGCATGGGGAGGTTTAAATATAGAATAGAGCTTGTGCAAAACCATCTTGGAATTAATAATAGAGATGAAAAAAGAATCCAGTTATCTTGGCCCCTGGGCTGGGGACTGGGGAGAAAGGGGTCGGTACCTGCAATGCGCTTCATCCAGGAGGCCTCATCGATGCCCAGGTTGTTGTTGATGATTTTCAGAATGTTGCCCAGGATGAGACTGAGGTGTTCAGAGGTGACCTTGGTGCAGCATGGCCCTGTGCTGGGGGGCAGGTTCTCAGGACCCCGCTCCCACCAGTAGGACAAGTAGTTGCAGAGCATGGGTAAGATCACCTCGATGACATGGGGCATCTCTGTGTACCGGGCCCCTGACTCGGCCAGGTCGTTGATTTCCTTCATCAGGCCTTCCAGCTGGGGGATGTCAGGACACATGTCTTCTACCGTGTCTGGCATCCCCAGAACTGATTGAGAGGAAGAATAAAGGGACAGAAATTCAAAAGCACAGTGGGTGCAAGCTTCCTTCTCTCTGCCCCTCCTTTCCTTTGGTCTTTAGGAATAAATTTCTAGAGCTTCACAGCAGTGAGCTTGGATGTGGAGTGGCTTTTGTCCTCCAGCTGTCTGTGAACAGAGTGCAGCTTCCAGAGGCTGCATTATCTTCCTAGATGTCGTGTTGAGGTGAGGTTAAAACAAACACATGGTTAAAGGAGTACAGCAGACACAAGGATGAGGGATAGTTAGTTCCTAAGACTATCCTGCGATGAAGCCAGTCTCTTGGCTTCTCCCTCTTGGCTTGCCTGCCTGGGCCTTAGTGTGTCCCCTGCAGGAAAATCAGTAATCAGAGGAGAAAAGCAACTGATCAGTGTTTAGTTCCAAGCTGTGGTGCCATTGCCTGGATCACATCTATACTCGGCTTAGAAAAGGAAAAATAAAAGTCCACTCATCTAATAGTCCTTCAGCTGGACCAGAAACAACAACTTTCCATCCAGCTGGAATTCTGGGGGGAAAAGCATCGCACGTGGACTGATTTCTGGCTTCACAATAGAAATGATGGATGACCTGAGGTGGCTTGATTGACTCCCTGTCAATCACTTAATCCTTTTTGTTTCCAAGGACTGATTTGTAAGGAATCGTGGGAGCCCTATCTTTTCCTCACCCTGAATGATTGAGGGTGCTGCTCTAGACAAGGACACACAGGCTAAAGTATCAACAGACAGAGTTCAATATTCAACCAGGGAGGGTTTTCAGATGCAAGAACTGTAAACAGAAAAATCCAGGGCTTATCTGTCCTGCTTCCCTTAAGGTAAAGGACACTCTTTCCTGCAAGATGGGAGGAAGACTGGAAGCATCCTGAAGTTCCTGACATGTTAGAGGATAACAAGGGCTCTGAGTGGAGGGACGTGGACAATTCTGAGTAAGAGCCACAAGCCCAAAGGTTTGCATACGCACCCATTGATCTAACTGCTTCCTACAGAATGTGTCTACTTCCTCCTCAGGCCAAACTTCTCAAACGGGGGCAAAAACATCCGGCACTGAAGGAGCTAGGCAGTCTGGGAAGCCACAGGAAAAATGTGGTGTGCTTTCCCAGAACATCAGTTCACTGGAAGATTTGAGGAAATTATTTTTGATATTTGGAATCAAATGCAAAGTTCTCATACATTTCCAAAGATAAAGCAGAAGACTGCAAATACAAATGTATGTTTAGTGAATTGGGTTATGCCTGCAAGGCCCTTTGCCATTGGGATTACCATTGGCTTGAGGTCTTTCTTCTCTAGATTTTCAGATTTTATATCCATTGGAATTGAAGGATTAATAAATAGGAGAGGCCATACCAAATTCCTTGGCCTTAAGGAACACTGGTCAATTGAAAGGGACTGTCTCAATTTCTCTCATGGTTATAGTGCATGGAGCAGAGATACAGAATAATCCCAGCTATCTTGGAGAGAATGAATCTGCAGCTGAGACAAGTGATTCTACCTGGACAGGATGTGCAGTTGCAAAGCAATGGATCCCAGCAGTCTCTATGCTATGGAATAGGCCCAGTGAAGCACTATTAGCCTTTCCGTAGTGATGACTTTTGTTGCTATCACTAGAGCCTTCTGGTGGATAGAAGGCTAAAAATCTCTCCTCCTTGGATGTCAGGGGTGGACCAATATCTTTTAAAACCCAGACAACTGAAAAGGATTAATAGCATGAAAGCCAAAGAACCCTGAACTCTTGTGATTTGCAGAAGGAAATTATGGGTCAGATATGGTCATTTGCAGATAATGAGTCTGTCCTGCATCTTGCAGCAGGACAACAATGGCCATGGGTAACAAGATCATGGGAGTCTGGAGAGACCCTTGCAAACAAAATAATTTTATACACATACTCTCAGAGTACAGAGGTAAACACAGGGAAGTCAAACATTCTACCTTGAGGTTCTACACACAGAACAATGCCACTGCCATAGACGCAACTGAAATTTACAACTATTTGCCGTGGGATTATAAACGATAAGGCTCAGGTGCGTTTGTTTAAATGTCACATAGACAATACATCATCATGAACACTTTTTGCCCGCTGCCTAAGAAAAACAGAGTTGCTTGAGGTTGCTGCACTGGAGCCATTATAATGACCTTTAAAAGTTATTTATACGTAATTGGCCCTTGAGTGGAACAAACATTTGTGATTCAGGGTGTTTTGTATTTCAAATGCCACAGCATAAACCCACAGAATGAATTCCGAGTTAGCTGCTAGAAAAACAGCCTCAGCTGTGTCCTCTTAGAATCAGACGCAAGACTGTTAGGGGGAATCTTTAGAATCACTGTCCTTTTAACTTCTAGATCAATAATTCTCAAAGTGCAATCCTCCTACCAGCAGCACCAGCATCACCTGGAGACCGGCTGAAAATGCAAATTCCTGGGCCTCACTCCAAACTGACTTACTGCATTAGAAACCCTAGGGGTGGGGCTCAACAGTCTTGAACAAGCCTCCCGGGTGATTCTGATGCGCGTTAGAATTCAAGAATCACCAGATTAGATTCTAAAGTCTTGTGTGCCTCACTTTAGCACCTCTTCTCTTTGCAACACAGACAGATGGCTTACATTAGAATTGGAATAATCAACCAAAGAGAAAAGAGTTCCAATAGGGTACAGAAGAAAAGCAAACTGACTGGTAATAGGATGCTTTGGTCTGACATCTAGTGTTCTGATTAATAGATCACTGCCACCCATAACTAAGGATTTAACTAGTTTTGAATAACTGACTCATAACAGTATTAAACTTTTTCTAGGTATATCTTAATAATTTTTGGATAAGGAAGAAAATGCACCAGGATGTTATAGGGCATCAAAGATACTAATCTGAGTAATTCTGCTGGCAAAGCATCAAGTGTCAATTAATAGAGATGCCCAATTAACTGAAGACATGATAAATCAGTTCATACTGTATTTCTAAATCACAGGCTCACATCACCTGTCACCTTATACATTCCTCCCCGCCCTTTATCCCTCAGGCCACCCACTTTGTAATGAATGAAGTCTACCTTCTTACAGCTCATTAAGCCAACAGTCATTCTCCGGCTCTAGATAAACTTTTTAAGAGCCATATACACGGTCAGCATCCACTCTTTGCTAAAGCCAGTGATGAAAGACATGGGCTCAGGGGAGCTGGACATAGAGTCCCATAGTGTGTCGCTAATGGATAAAGGACTGTGTCATCTCTAATTACAACCTTGTCTCTTTTCTTCCTTTGGAATATGCAATGGTGGGGAGTCATTTTTTATTTATGAATATGTCTTATCAAATCAATGCAAAGGTATATAGAATGAAAAGGAACACTTTTCAAATAGCTCTTGGGAAGGAGCACAATGCAAGAGACTAATTCCCCTCCCTCCCAAAGCTAACCTAGGCTTTCCTCTATCTTTGTCACATCCTCATTTCACCCTGCTACTGTGCCTTTATGAACTAAAGAGCAGAGGCAGTTTCTCTCTTTCCCCAGGTGAAGCTCTACACAGTGCTGGTATAGAGACAGAGATACACTATTTCTCAAGTCACAGTTGAAGCAGAATAAATGTATACATATCCAGAACTGTCATGACTGGGCCCCATGTCCCTTTGGAGTCAGGAAGCAACACCTGGGCTGGCATTTGCCTGGAGATGTCACAGCCACTTCTCAACTTCACCAAAGTCTGCTCTGCTGCTCAGCTTCCACTTTGGTGGAAAGCCAGGACTCATTTGGAATCAGGAGTGGGAAGTAAAAAAAAGGTTGGAAATCCCCCCCCCCTTTTTTTTTTTTTGCTAATTTCAAAGGGAAGAAAGGGTGAGATGAGGCTGAAGCGGTTGAGGAAAGGTTAACTTATAGATTTCATACGGGACTTTGGAAAGTTGAGGCATCTTGGCAATGTTTCTCTTGACTACCTCTGAGAACACTAGTCTCCACTGTATTCTAGCTCAGTGAAAGATTTTTATTAGTGGCCTTATCTGAATTGTCCTGGTGATCATTTCTGGGGGGCAATGTGCTCCTCTTACCTGAAGTAACAAGAAGCGAGTGGGAATAAAGCTGCCATGGCTTAGCACTTCGCATTTTTAGATGAAAAAAACAGCAGTGGCAAAGAAAAGTGTGGCATGAGCCCTTTCTTGCTCAGAATGCTTCTTCCTTAAATCTCATGGCAGTTTGAGAAAGGGGGCTTGAACTAAATGGAATTGCTACCACGTCCAGACATCTACTGGTAGTGTATAGCAATATTTTAAGAAAACATTGGTTCTGAATAGAAAAAGCTCTGGTTGAAAATAATTTACTGTAGCTTGTTTTCCCTTAATATTGATTAGCCTACAGTTGGGTAATTTTTGCTTCAGAATAGATGGAATCATCGCAGTTCTTTCTAGTTGGAGTCCAAGCTTGATTCAAGGCTCCTACTTGAAGCTCCTCTATTCTATTCCCTTATCCTTAGGCAGGATCACAATTAACCCAGATACAAGCACCCTCCAGAAGCAGATTTACAACCTGCCTTGGATTTTAGTTCCAGGATCATTTTACAAAAGAGGGTGGAAAACGTTTCCTGTAGAGGGCCAGATAGTAAATATTTTAGGCCTCGCGGGCCAAACTTTCCTGCCTCTACTCAACTCTGCCATTGTCGTGCTAAAGCAGCCACAGACCAAATGTACGTAAGTAGGTGTGGTTGTGTTCAAATAAAACTTTATTTACAAAAATAGGCAGGGGGCCAAATTTGCCCTGTGGTCATAGTTTGCCACCCTGTTGTGGAACCTAGCGTGTCAATATGTTTGCTAAGAAATATTCTTTCTTGTACACTTTCTCTTCCTTTTGGTGCTTTTCTATGTCTTATCTTCCATGAGGACAAAAATGTGTCATCAGCATCTTTAGAAGCACGCCTCTCCATGGACTTGAAGAGTATAACTGGGTTATTACTGTGGATGTGCACCTTCTGATACCACTCTGGAGAGGCACTGCAAAAAAGGAGTCACATCCCCAGGTGCAGAGGGGGAACTGAAACCCAGAGCAGACAAGAGACCCTGAGGTCTTAGGATGGAAAGGATTTCAAAATCAGCAACACTGACTCCTCACTTTAGAGAAGAGGAAACCAAAGCCTAATTATAACAAAGCCTTGCCCATGCTTATTTCTCCAGTAAGATGCAGACCTGCAACCTAGTCCCTAACCTCACCTCCTGGCTCCTCTCAGACCAAGAAAGCCACAGTGCTGCAGGGCTGCTGCTCCCTGCCTGTGTGGCTCCTCTCCTCTCAGCACATGAAATGGGTTGATGACCTTTGAGGGGAGATACTTACTAGACCTCTCCCTGGGGGTTTTGGTGTTGAAGACCGAGAGTGGATTGTAGCGATTAAGGGTGGGCTCCAGGAATGCCACTGGTATGGCAGCTGCCAGCGAGGCCAGACATTCTCCAAGGGCAGGGCGTTGCCTGGAAACAAAGAAGTCCATTGAGAAGTGTGGCCCCCCACATGCTGGCCCCATGCATTGGCAGATCAGGCCTTCCCCATAGATTAATCCATGGACATCCCTAGGCACTAGGCTCAGCAAGCTTGCATGCACTTCTTCCCCTCCTCTTTCTCTAGACACTAACCAATGCTCTCACTGCTTAGATCCTAGTTCTTTTTTTTTGAGACGGAGTCTTGCTCTGTCACCCAGGCTGGAGTGCAGTGGCGCGATATCAGCTCACTGCAAGCTCCGCCTCCCAGGTTCACGCCATTCTCCTGCCTCAGCCTCCCGAGTAGCTGGCACTACATGCGCCCACCACCATGCCCGGTTAATTTCTTTTTCTATTTTTTTTTTTAGTAGAGACGGGGTTTCGCCATGTTGGCCAGGATGGTCTCGATCTCCTGACCTTGTGATCTGCCCGCCTCGGCCTCCCAAAGTGCTGGGACTACAGGCGTGAGCCACCACGCCCGGCCAGATCCTAGTTCTTAACTGGTTAAGATGATATAACACACTGTGCGGCTTTGTCCCTCTCTCCCAGCATGTGTGAGAGCAAGTTCTGCTGGTATCCAAATTGAGATGGATCCTTCCCTGTTCTCAAAAATGCTTTGAAATCTGTGTAATTTCTCTGTGTCTCTTCTCTGCTATGGATGGAGCCTGTGTCCACTAGTGGGAACAGTAGGTAGCACACCAAAGCACCAATGAGACACAAAAATAAAAGACCTGCCCTTACAACAGAAACAATAGGTCCTAAAACCTACTGCTTGATTTACAGGAGAGACCTCAGATAACGGTTACTCCTTTCCCTCTTTTGTACAAATAGTTGACTGTCCACCATATCTTAAGGTCTGGTTCTTAAGTCTTCCTGTGAAGCAAGCAAACAAACAAAAACAAAAGGCTTGAGATCACACCATTGCACTCCAGCCTTGGTGACAGGGCAAGACTCCAACTCAAAAAGAAAAAAAAAGAAAAGAAAAGAAAAATTGTGATCTTAACTGGTCTTGAAGAAAAATGACTGCACAAGACTATGATAGAATCTGCAGACAGCAAATCTAGGGTATATAGAAGTGCTCTCCTTGAGATATAAATCTGCTGAACTAGAGAGAAGGAGGAGGGAAGGGTGGGTGAGTTGGCAGAAAGCTGTGCATTCCTTCGAAAAGCCACCCAGTCTTCATTCAAGTTACCAAACATATTTTAAAAAGTGATCTTTTAAATTACTATAAGGGGAAGTTAATATATGTGGTTTTATGTTTTATCTTCTTCTTAGGCTTGGCTGATAGCCTACTTGGCTATGAAGCATTTGAGCCGATAACTTCAAAATCAGCCCCCAGTCAGCAACACTGGATTGACAGGTCCTCAGTCAGGCAATCTCTTCTTAGCTGATGGCTCAGTCTTGTCCTTTGGATAAATGTTTGACTGCTAAAACCTCCCCACCCAGGACTGCTCCAGAGGCAGAGTGGAGGCCCTTGGACAAACCAGTCCTATTGTGCCCTGTGTATCAATGCTGCCCAGAGACGGAGACTGCTGAGACGCAGGTGATATTGGCGAAGCTTTCACAATGCAGCTTCACTTCTGGGCAGGCCCCAGGCCAGGCCTATTCCCCTGCCTTTCCTCCTCAGCACCTGCTCTTCCCCGATTATTTCTCTTCTTTACTAAGTTCCAGGTGGTGGCCAGGTGTGGGAAGAGGGGCATCATTTTAACTTCAGACCTGAGTTGCCAATTCCCTCGGTGACAACTGAGGATAGTGAGTGCCTCTACATATCAAATACAGGCATTCACAAGAGGCAATTTTTTTCAGCTAAGAGTTTTACCATCTTTACCACAGTGGCCAATGAGGAGAAATATGGTGTTTTCTCTCTTCAGTCTTGCTTTGTGAATTGGAGGAAGAAATAAGGAGATAAATTGTGAAAGGACAAGAAAGGCCACAGGGAGAGCATTGGGAAAGAAAACCTGGATGAAAATCAGGAATAACAAGGGGTAAGATTTCAAATCTGATAGCTTTATTTATTTATTTATTTATTTATTTTGAGACAGAGTCTTGCTCTGTCGCCCAGGCTGGAGTACAGTGGTGCGATCTCAGCTCACTGCAAGCTCTGCCTCCTAGGTTTAAGTGACTCTCCTGCCTTAGCCTCCCGAGTAGCTGGGACTACAGGCACGCACCACCACACCCGACTAATTTTTGTATTTTTGGTAGAGACGAAGCGTCACCATGTTGGCCAGGCTGGCCTCGAACTCCTGACCTCAGGTGATCCGCCCGCCTCTGCCTCCCAAAGTGCTGGGATTACAGGCGTGAGCCACCGCGTCCTGCCTGACAGCAAATTTTACACAGAGATGAACCTAGGAGACAAGGGGTCCCGAGGTGGCTTGGGACTGGATAGATCCATTATTCTTCTCTTTTTTTTTTTTTTCCTCTTTCTTTGACCAAAATTAAAACCATGATCTCCTGAAAGTGGATTTCTAGAAGGTTAGTCAGACACGAAGGCAGTCCTTGGGGTAAAAGGCTGTTGCTAAGTCTCAGTTCTCTGGTGCTGTGTTGACTCAGGGGACTGGCCCTGCCCTCTCATATTTTAATTACTAACAAACCTGACCACTCCACAAGCTCCACAACAGGGCATTTTCTACTCTGGGGTGCACATTGGTGCTAAGTAGCTTCTTATAAGAAATAAACAACAGCTCTCTTGGCCTAGCTGTTAAAAAGTTAAACCCAGGGGAAAAAAAAAAGTAAAACTGAGAAGTCTGTAAAAGTAAAACCCAGAAGTCTGCCAATTAATGCTCCTGGCTATGAAGTATCAGTGTGAATGACTTTGGTCCCAAAGCCCAAGGAGGGATTGAGCTAGGCAAAGACTTGCTGTTATTAATATAAGGCTCACTGGTCATTAGTGCTCCCCAGCAGGGAGTGTTGGTATGGGCCAAGCTTCCCACAGAGAAAAGCCTACAGAAACAGCTCCATAATAACCAGAGGATATATTGGAAGGGTTTATCATTGGATATGGAAACTCTCTTTATTTAGAGACAAGTTCTTGTTTCGTAGCCTAGGCTGGAGTGCAGTGCTGCTATCACAGCTTACTGCAGCCTTGAAAGCCTGGGCTCACACAATCCTCCCACCTCAGCCTCTTGAATAGTTAGGACTATGGCATGTGCCACCATGACTGGCTGATTTAAAAAATTTTTGTAGCCACTGGGTCTTGCCAGGTTGCCCAGGCTCGTCTGGTCTCGGTTCTCACTGCCTCATACAGTATTTTTCACACAATACATACTTGGTCAATGGTGACAGACTGGACAGTGTTCAGTTTGTATTTCAGTTTTTGTTACATCCTAATTTGACAAGTAGCACTTTCCTTTTCAATCTCTCAGTTTTATTTCCATGTATCTGAATCTTGCCTTTCAAAATCGATTGTTAGGGATATAGGAAAAGACAAAGTCATCAAAGTAATAATAATAATATCTTGCACGTAAATGGTGCTTTGCAATTTTGAAAGTTCCTTCATTTATATTCCAGAGGGTACTAAAGAGAGGAAATAACATGTAACAGAGAAGCAGAAAGCACAGTGGGGACAGGGCAGGACACGGGTCTAGACAGCAGTGATGGTGACCTTAGAGGTTTAGGGAACATTGTGCAATGTCTGATCAGAAATAATTGGTCAAAGGGAGCCAGACAGGATGAAAGAAACAAAATAGCTTTAAAGCATGAAGTAGAAAACTCAGTCTTCATTTGAAACAAAACTGAGACCCAGTGTTTAACGTTACCAAGTTTCAAGCTTTGCTTTCTTGAATAACCCCCATCAAATGCTCTTTAAGTTCATCAAAGTATCTCCAAGTTAAATAATTCGGTATTCTGCATGATTAAATGCACAAACCATTACCCTTCTCTGAAATTTTGTGTCTGCAAACTCCACTTGTCAATGACATTCTCAGTGTTGTTGTCTCAATTAGAAAACATTCCAAAAGAAATGTCTGTACTCTGTTTCAGTGACTTTGCCCCTCACAGTCAACCCTATCACCAAGGTGTCTTGAATCATTTCTATCTACAAAGCATACTCCAGGTGTAGCTGGAAAGCAAGTATGTAGTGATTCCCTTACATACGTTCATCAGTCAAGGAGACGCCAGCAAAAGGTGGTAGAGAAATGGTGGGTTCATTGTACTTTCCTCTGTGAAACCCACAAGAAATGAAAAGAAACTGGGAAGACATCTTGATCTATGCTAAAATTGGAAAATGTACGGTAACTCTGAACCCATAAAATATGAAAACCAAATCAAGTAAGGACACCGAAATGGAAACATACTTTCCAGACCTGGAAGAGGACTTTGGCCTCTGTAAGTGAATATAGGGGTTTTAAGGGGGCCAAAAGATAAGGTTTTGCCTGAAACAATGAGGATGAAGTGTGTGAGCAGGCCACGGGAGACCTGGTGGGCAGCATGCGTGTGGGGCCACGTTCCATTACAGAGTAGCAGATGGGAACAGAGTAGGGAAAAGTATACATGCCATCTGCCATTCTCATAACTTGGACTCCTAGCCTAGAGAAACCCTGGAGGTCAGGCAAAGCGAAAGAAGTAGCCCGTTTTGTGGCCACTGACTTGAGTTCTCTAAGTAGGGAATACAGTTACATTAAATCACTAAACACAAGTCTTATGACTCTAGGATGCACTGAGTTTCACCAACCTCTCACCTGGGCCAGCTGCTTACTTTAGCTGGGGGAGAACATGAGAGGCTGAGCGTTGGTACATTGCTAGGGCTAAACACACGGCTGATTTAGGGAGAAAGAGTTAGTCCTGAGCCAGGTTCTCAGATGCGAAGCTGCCTGCTGTTTCTTCCTGTTCATTCTCCTCCATTTTAAAACACACAAGCACACACATCCTTCTCCACTCCCGAGAACTAGCAATGTACCTAATAACCAACACACAGATGAGAAACATAGTTCAGGGGAAAAAATATTTAGGAAAAAAAATACAGAAAAAAGCAATAGGGACAGCCTTAACCTAGGGGCTTCTCCAAGCCTTGACTTCTACCAACATGGAGCACGAAGCACAGGCACTATTTTCACGGTGCTGCAGATACACAATCAACCTGGAATGAATCCATGAATAAAGGATAGAAAGTCACATGAAGAGCAGTCTTTTTCTGGTCTGACACTTCAGAGTTGACTTTTTGACTTTTTTTTTTTTCAAGAGAAGAATGCATAAGCTTTACAAAAAATTGTACCAAGAAACATACAGACATATGAGTGAATGTATACTTATATACATATAACAAGAGAATGAGAAAGATACTGAGGATGTATTTACAAATGCTCAGTGGGAGAAATAAACTAAAAACATCTGCCTCAAGTGAAATTTGGCATTAATAGAAAAATTTTTGGTTGATTTTTCTGTGATTTGGTATAAAATATGGATAAAACTTTGTCTGCCCAGTTCCTATCCTAAATTACAAATGATTTATCTATATTTTATGTAAAACAGTAAGGAAAGCCTGACAACTGTTAAAGACTTAAAATCATAATAAAAACAAACGCAGCCATTAGTTCCTCAATTTCTTGTATTCTGGAAGCTATTTAGAAGCCGTGATTATGAAGAAACAGACATTTCTACAACATTTTTTGGTTTCTAGTACATGACTTCAAGTCAGTAGTTCCTTAGTTCTTGAAGGGGCTGAAGTCTTTTATTTCATCTTTGGCTATATTGAGAAACTGCAATTTGAATAAATATAAGTTCTGACATGAGACGAGGGTTCACTACCAATTTGTTTGATAAAAGCATTATACATAGAGGCAGCACATAGAAAGCAGATACCGAAGGATTTTCGATTAAGTAATTGTAAGCACAGACCGAATTCTTTCCAGTTTGCTTGTTTGAAAAGGCAAGAAAGAAAACAAAAATCTTCCAAGGATAAGAGTAAGATCTAGTTTTGTTAATACTGTTTATCCTCCCAATCTTCCCCATGGATTAAACAGAACAACAACAGAACACAAGGCATTTGATGCTGAAAAGCAAGGGGTCACCGAGGGTCTCTGCTGTGACAAGCAGATTAGAGAGGCAAAACTGGAACCCACACGCTTCTGCAGTCAGCTTGCTCAGACTCAAGAGTATTGACTAGCATTGCTAATACCAAAGTGTGCACTTGTTGAAAACTATGGCAAATCCGACAGCCAAGACTGGTAAAAGTCCAGGGTTGTAGCACACAGAAACTCATTAAACACTAAAGCAACTGCCTCATGTCCCTTGAGCTTCTCAGCGCACTTTAACCTCAGAAACTCTGGAAGCTATTTAGAAGCTGTGATTCTGAAGAAGCAGACATATCTCCAACACATTTTGGTTATGAGCACCTGATTTAGCTTGGCTATATTGCTTCTCCAGCCACATACATTCGCCAGCTATCTCCACGGGAGTCATAAATCTCAATAGCCTCATCATTGCACTTCTTTACATTGCCAAAAGCATGTCATAAACAAGGCTCAAAACCACCATTCTGTATCAGTGAGCATTTTGGTCTTGCTGGATTGAAATGATATCATTAAGTGTGTAAAAGGCTGTAAGTAACATTTTACTATGCCTGAAAGTGTTAGCCTCTTCGTTCACTAATTACCTTTCAACATAAATGTTCTTTCCCGTCCCAAGGGAGTAGAGGCTGCACAGTATGTGGTAGCATGAAATCTGCACATCACCCACTGAAACAAAGAAGAAATATCATTGATTTGCATCAATCCTGAATACAGAAAGGATCCATGAAGAGGAAAAAAAAAATGCATGAGCATCAGTAAAGAGTAAAAGATCTCTCCCTTTCTCTCTCAACAAACATATCCCTTTTCTACCCAGATGCCAGTTTGCTAATTGCTGGACTAGGAAAAAAAAAATATAGGAAAAATCCTCCACTGAGCAATCCCAGTTCCTTTGTGGGGCTTATCATGAAGATTACATCGCTTCACAGGGAAAGGAATCATTTGACCAATGGGTCCTTCCATAATGCGATTTGGTTCGTTTCCAATAGAGACATTTTAGCCCAGTTTTATCCAGGGCAATATTTCCTTCCTTTGGAAGGATGAATGCAGAAAATCTGAAGCTTGAATGAGCCTTTTGCTCATTTCCCAGGAAGATACGTCCAACTGCTAGACTTCCCTTAGAGATAGAGCAAAATCCCTCACATCTGCCTATCCCAGGTTCTCTGCTGGGTGTTCTGCAAAAGGCAATTCAATAGTATGATTTTATCATGTTTCCTAGGGGAAGGGCATGTTTTGCTTGTGAATCTGGCGGCTACACATCCCTAGCCATGTCTAGAGCTCATACCAAGGCCGGGACTACTTTCAGAACTAATTTAATGTTTTCTTTTCCGACCAAGGAACTGCACTGTTTCTATGGCACAAAATAATGAGTTTGGATGTTCTTCCAGCCCCCACACAACAGAAATCACTGATTTTCAGTTGTTCAAGGATATGAAAGACATAGTCTTAGCTATCAACAACTGGTCAAATTAAATCATGTCCCAATATTTAAAGTGTAAAACTGAAGTCTGGTGGCAGACTATCTGCACAGGGGGCTGGAGGAGGTGGTGGCACTAAATATGGTGTTAATGCAAACTAAAATAAAACCAACCAACTTTGGTCTTCCGAAAGCTCAGATAAGGAAATGTTAGCATTTTTCCTTTGCTCCTGGTATCCAATGAATAAATTAAGTCTTCTTAATAAGAAAAATGATGTCTCAAAAACCCAGGAGCAAATCTGTATCTCCCACTGTATTACTCAGATAACCTTTGAAATTAAGCGAGAGTACAATAGCTGAGAGCTAGACAGGCAGATGGGAAATTCTGGTCCAGAACAAAAGTGGAAAAAGATAAATATTATATACTCAAATTAGGGAATTTCTTTCCATTCCAAGAGTATATTACTTCTTCTTCTTCTTCTTCTTCTTTTTTAATCTAAGAAAGAAAAGGCATGGAATAATTCTCTCTCTGCTCTGCCCTCAAGGTCAATGTAAGTGAATGGGCCCTGCACCTCCTATCTGGGGCCATGTGCACATACATCCACGACAAATACCAGTAGAACTCACAGAGTAGATCCATTCCAAACTGATGCTGAGTGACGTGCTCAAAGATGGACGTCAGGATGGGGAGCAGAGCCACTGTAGTGTAGTTAATATTCTGAGAAACGCCTTTAATCTGCGTTCGGGAATGGGTGAACTTCCCAAGTTTCAGGTTTTCTGAAGTCTTCTCCAAATCTTCTGCAGCATTTTCAAAGAATGCTCGTAACCCAGCCTTCACCAGCTCTGAGCCTGACTTCATGACAGTCCTGCAAGCAAACAATGTTCAAATCTAGAAGCATAATCTGAACTTTTGGCCAATCCCCTTCTTGAAACTGGCAGTGTCATCTGGGCAGACATTTGCCACTCCTGTCACTCAATGACACTGTGTCAGGAGAAAGGGAGAGAGCAGTTAACATCCAGGAAGAAACCTGAATCACACAATCCCAGAGGGGCTAGCCACTGGACAGTCTGAGGAAAACATTGCTCACCTCTTCAGGAAATGCAGAGAACAATTTAGAATGAAGCCAATATTGGTCACCCACTATTATCTACAGTAAGTTGCAACTGGCTAAAGTCTTCTGTAAAGATCTAGTTAAAAGAACAGGGAAATGAGCTTTAAGAAAAGTTGTGGGATAAACAACTTTTTTTTTTTTGAGACAGCGTCTCACCCTGTCACCAGGCTGGACTGCAATGGTGTGATCTCGGCTCACTGCAACCTCTGCCTCCCAGGTTACAGCAATTCTCCTGCCTCAGCCTCCCGAGTAGCTGGGATTACAGGCACCCGCCACCACGCCCAGCTAATTTTTGTATTTTTAGTAGAGACGGGGTTTCACCATGTTGGCCAGGATGGTCTCCAATTCTTGACCTGGTGATCCGCCCGCCTTGGCCTCCCAAAGTGCTGGGATTACAGGCGTGAGCCACCGTGCTCAGCCTAGATAAACAACTTTTATAAAGGTTAGCTAGAAACATAAACTCTTCCGATGTAAGACCTCTTAGAGGAAAAGAGCAAGGAAATAAGTCAACAGAAGCTTAGATTTCTGTTAGTTTGCGGGAAACGTCCTAGGTTGGATGAGGAAAGAGAAAAGAGACAACTAGCCGTTTTAAAGTAGACAGCTTAATCAGACCTCTGGAAAACACAAAACAAAACATTGAAATGTGATCTACAGGGATGAAGATCAGCTATGGAGATTTGAAGCCTTCCCTCAAAACTACAGTATTTCATAAAACTTAGAATTGGAACAAAGCTTACAAGTCATCTATAAGTTTTGTATTTCTATATCTTATTCAGAAGATTATGAAAGACTTGGTTCAAGGACAGATGCTTTTTATCTACATCATTTTCCTGATAATCATTCAACTCATCAAGACAATACAAACAAAGAAATAAAGTCAGTTAGGCTTGTTCTTATCCTATAAGTATTCATGGGCTATCTTTCTAACTTTTTTTTTTTGAGATGGGGTCTCACTCCGTTGCATAGGCTGGAGTGCAGTGACCTCTCATGAGAGCCTCCCATGCTCAGCAATCCTCTCACCTCAGCCTCCCGAGTAGCTGGGATCACAGGCATGTGCCATCATGTCTGGATAATTTTTAAAATTTTTTGTAGAGATGGGGGTCTATGTTGCCCAGACTGGTCTTGAACTCCTGGCCTCAAGCAATCCACCCACCTCTGCCTCCCAAAGTGCTGGGATTACAGGCGTGAGCCACTGCATCTGGCCCTTCCTAACTTTCTAGTCCCAGGTTTTGTCAGGAATAATTACTAAACACACCAACCTGCAACTGACCTTCATTTAAAACAAAACAAAACAAAATAAAACAAACAAACAAAAAACTGGACTCTCTCAAGACTTTTCCCAAGTTTCTTGGAGTAAAGATTTCTCATCCCTTTAATAGTCCTTATTCTCCTCCTTTTTTATAGCCATTCTCAGTTCATTGTGGATTTTCATCTTTGGGACGCTCTTTTAGTGTCCCACTCTTTTAGGTTGGTAACCTCTTTTGCATTGGGTCTTAGGAGGTGTGTCCTCCTCCCAATTTTGATAAAGACGTTTCTTTCTTTTTTTTTTTTTAAAGATGAGGTCTCTCTACATTATTCAGGCTGGTCTTGAACTCCTGAGTAGCTTCGACTATAGGCAGAAATCATGGTGCCCGGCTCTGACAAGGACCCTTCTTAATGGGCATGTTAAAGAAAGGTCCCTGTCAGTTCTTTCCACTGCTTCTCTCTTATTTATATATATTTTTTAAGACAGGGTCTGGCTCTGTCATCCAGGCTGGAGTGTAGTGGCGTGATCTCAGCTCACTGCAACCTCCACCTCCTGGGCTCAAGCCATCCTCCCACCTCAGCCACCCGAGTAGTTGGGACTACAGGCATGCACCACCATGCCTGGCTAGTTTTTGTATTTTCTGTAGATGTTTCACCATGTTGCCCAGGCTGGTCTTGAACTGTTGAGCTCAAGCGATCTGCCTGCCTCGGCCTCCCAAAGTGCTGGGATTATAGGCATGAGCCACCGCGCCTGGCCTGCGTCTCTCTTTTCAGTCTCATCATTTGTGTTATTACCAGAACTTATGTATTATTTTTTAAGACTTCTTCCCAAATCCCTAGGCCATGGCATCAACGTCTTTGTCTCTGATTCTTTTGAAGCCAGATCTCTGTGCATTTCCTTCCTTGGCCATTTTGAATTCAGAGCGCTGTGGTTCATCTTTCCCATAACATTTGTAGATTCACCACCCACCAGTGGGGTTTGCCACATTATATATTTTATCTTCTGAAAGACAAACTTCTTAGGAAGGAAAGATAAGAATTGATCAGGCCTTTGCATTCCGTCTATGCCATGGCAGTGGCTCTCGTTATGTGAACTGAGAAAAAGAGAGTGCTAACTTCTAGGGTCTTTGCCCTGTCTCTCCTCTCTTCTCAAAGCCTGGCAGCAGCGATCTGTCTTCTCTTCAGTATAATTAGTGAGATGAGAGGGTCAGAGAGGAAGTCATGAGAAACTATTGGGAAAAACTGGGCAGACTTACCTTGTGTCAAGTGTCTGAGCTAAGATGTGAAGACAGCTCACCATTGTAGTAGAATCACTACCTGGAATAAAAAAAATCATCTGTGATTCCCTCAAACCACTCAGCCTGTCTTTCAAATGCAGTCTTCTCCATATGCACAAGCCACAGCCCCAGCGTAATTAACTACCAACACATAAAGTCCTGGGCCTGTGTTCAGCGACAATGCATTAATTTCTAGCCTGACACAGCCTTGCTTTATGATGGATGTCAGAGGTAGAGCTTAAAATTTTCATTGGTGTGGAAAATCTGAGCAGTTAAAAGGGTAAAGAGGTCATTTATCATGCTTCAGATCAATTTTCTATGGCAAATTTAGGTGACACCTTAGTCCCAAGGCCCGGGTTGTCTGAGGAAGACACAAATAAAGGCAAAGTGCAAGTTCAAGATAATTACAGGGAGGAGCGGTACCTTGAGCAACACTTCACTTACCAAAGAGGGAAATTCTGTGTCTAACGAGAGCGGCAAGTTTGCAGAACAGGCTGAAGCAGAAAAGAAAGCAATTCAGAAAGTCACAGAGATTAAAGGACTCACGCTTTGTATCCCCCACCCCAATGTCCCTTACACTGTGAAACAGAGAGCACAGAGTGGCATTCTAGGGAGATGCACTATGTTCCTAGCAAAGAATCCTCTGGTCCACACTCAGGAACATGTGTGGTTCACACTGCCTTGGAGAATCATGAAAGGTACCTTGCAGGCAGCTCCATCTTTATTAAACACAATCCCTCTGAAACAGTTATAGTATTTTGCAGTGACCCAGTGCAAAGTATACTTTGCTATAGAGTACCATGTACTGAAACGTTCATTTGTGTGACATTCAGGGATAAATGAAGACTCCGGAAAAAAGCATGATTTTCCCCTTGTTGCAATGGATTGCAAACCATTTTGTAGCCTTCCATTGAGGGTATGAAGTTTTAGTTGGGAGGTTGGCAAGAAGCTGGGATTGGAAAAGTGTTAATGGTTCAGGTACAAGGTGAGATTGTGTTAAACAAAAACGTTTTAAGAATTGTGTATTCTCTGTCATCTCCAGTTAGTCTCCAGGCCTGACCAGGTCACTGTTCTAACTGGGTCCTTGGAAACTAGGAAAGGCCCATGTTGTATATTTTTGTGTTTTTTGACTCTCCTTTATGCTTTCACCCATATTTTCCACTGTGGAACCACTGAAGGTTCAGCTGTGCCTCATTGTTTGACTTTCCACAGTGCCTAATGAGGGCCTTGTGATGTCAGAAAGGAGTCCATCGCTGTTTCTGAACATGCTGCTAATGGACCTCACCTAGGGGCACTGTGGCCATCATTTGACCTGTGTTGCTGAGGCTCTTGGGAAGAGATTGCTCAGAACTGACATTACTGACACTGGCATGGCTAGACAAGAACTTTGCAGTTGCTTCAGAAAGCAGTGGAATAGAAAGAGGGAAAAAAGAAGAGAGAAAAAAGCCACCTGGATAGGCCACGGGGTCCCCTGGTGACACATTCCCAGTTTCTGATTCATAACTCATCACGGAGCTCCTTACCCCATTCAGGGCAGAAGTCTTCCATAGGACAACTCAAATGGGGAAGGAATATATCCTGAGTGTTGATGGGGATGAAAACCTGCTCACCTTTAAATGTTTTCAATAAATGCCCTGAGTCTTTTTGGACTGTCTACTGGAAAATCACAACAAAAGTTCCCATGGCTAGTTAATTGGTCTTGCAGTGGAAAAGAGTTGGGACCCCCTGGCCTATAGCTTAAGAGAACACACAATAAGTTACCAGAAACGTGGCAGCCATCTAGGGTGAAATTAAATATCGGCTGCTCTTTTTTTCTTCCCATGGTTTTTTTTTCAGAGACGGGTAGTTGATGCAAACTCATGGAGCTGAAGCGAGGGGCTAACCCTGTGGAATGTGGGCTCTGTTCCTCTGTGATTAGCTGGGCTGTCTTGGGGAAGCCCCTTAACTGCTCTGTGTGGTAACTTTCTCACTGTAGAGAGTCATCATAGGACTCGGGTTTCAGAGTTAGGGGCAGGTAAACTCAGGTATTTCTGGTGAAAATGCTTCAAGTTGGACACATGTTCTGTGTAAACACAAAACAATGTTTTTCTAACAAAGGCAGATATTTGGGTTGTTTGATCCTCATACTAACATGGCTAATCTCATTGTCAGAAGTGCTTTCTTAGGCATGCCAAGGCCAGGATCTGAAATTTCCAAAGGCTACTGCTTGTTCCCTATGGAACCTGGGATTTAACTGGAAGCACCGTCTTTAGCCCAGAGTTATGAGGGCCCCGAGTCCCCAAGTGCCTCTCCTCCATCTCAGAGTTTGAAGACAATAAATGAAAGGAATCTCAGGGAGAGTCTGAGACCCACGGGCAAAGGGCTGCAGATGCAGAAAAGGTGGCGCAAGGGCGAAGATTGCAAAGAAGAGAAATCTGGCAATGCAGACACATTCAGTGCAAACACGACTGCTTCTGTGGGAGGGCAGCAAGCACACTGATGGATTTGAAAGCTATTTGCAAGGCTGATCGGCTCTAGGTTGTATTCCAGCCGTGACAAATGGTGCCTGGTTGAACAAATGTTACATTTCCATGAATTAATAATCTAAGAAAAGTAGATAAAGAAAACAGACACACCTGCCCTCTGTTGGATTATCTGAATATCTCACTTTACTCACTGTTTCCCTAGCTTCTTACAAAACACACTGGTGCATCCTGCAAATGTTTAGGAGGTCTTCGGTCAGCACCTGATTTTAAGAGTATCTCATTTTGATAGCATGGGGCGTCTCCTGTCTTAACTTAGAGTAAGTAATTAGGGTGCAGGATAAATCATACTTCACGTGGATACAGAGGACTGGTTTTTCTTTTTTTCTTTTTTTTTTTTTCTTTTTGAGGTGGAGACTCACTGTCTTGTCCAGGCTGGAGTATAGTGGTGCCATCTCGGCTCACTGCAACCTCCGTCTCCTGGGTTCAAGCGATTCTCCTGCCTCAGCCTCCAGAGTAGCTGGGACTACAGGTGCGTGCCACCACGCCCAGCTATTTTTTTTGTTTTTTTAGTAGAGACAGGGTTTTGCCATGTTGGCCAGGCTGGTCTCAAACTCCTGACCTCAAGTGATCCACCCACCTCAGCCTCCCCAAATGCTGGGATTACAAGCGTGAGCCACCGCACTCAGCCAGGACTGCATTTTTATTCTTGTCCTAACTCAGAAGAGTCACTTTGGGTAGTAGAGTTAACCCAACTGAAATTCAATTTCTTCATCTGGAAAATGGAGATCATACTACACAGGCAGTTCTCAGAATTTAAAACATCATGATGTTTCACAGAGATTTTTACACAAATGGGCAATAACTCTTATATATAAAAAACTGTGCTCAATGCTAAGTGTTTCATAAAAGTTAGCTAAATCTCAAAGTTGAATATCCTCCCCAAGATGGTGATATTTAATGGCTGGGCCCTATAATGTACACTGTTCACTGGATGCTAGGGAAAGCGTTTTTAGACTATTTAGACTATTTTCTTTTTTTTTTTTTTTTTTTTTTTGAGACGGAGTCTCACTCTATTGGCGAGGCTGGAGTGCAGTGGTGCCATCTCGGCTCACTGCAACCTCCGCCTCCTGGGTTCAAGTGATTCTCCTGCCTCAGCCTCCTGAGTAGCTGGGACTACAGGTGTGTGCTACCATGCCCGGCTAACTTTTGTATTTTTAGTAGAGACGGGGTTTTATCATGTTAGCCAGGCTGGTCTCGAACTCCTGACCTCAGATGATCCGCCTGCCTTGGCCTCCCAAAGTGCTGGGATTACAGGTGTGAGCCACCGCGCCTGGCCTCCTAACTATTTTCATTAGGGTCTTAGCTTTTTGCTACTTAAAAGTCTAGTCCATTCCTGTATTTCTTTAATAAAATACAGAGAGAACCTGAGGCACAGTAGAATCCATCTTTTAGCCCAATCATGACCTATCCCCTCTTTTCTCATTTCTGTTAATGTATCTACATGTTAACCTAGTGGAATGAGTAGGAAGCCTGGTGCTTTTGATGAAAAATTTTTTTCCTATTAGGAATTTAAATTGAATTATGTTGTTTTAGACTACAAATTTCAGCTCACTCACATCAGGACTTGTATGATGTCTTTTTTTTTTTTTTTTTTTTGAGACGAAGTCTTGCTCTGTTGCCCAGGCTGGAGTGCAGTGGCATGATCTTGGCTCGCTGCAACCTCTGCCTCCCAAGTTCAAGCGATTCTCCTGCCTCAGCCTCCTGAATAGCTGGGATTACAGGCACGTGGCTTCACGCCCAGCTAATTTTTGCATTTTTAGTAGAGATGGGGTTTCACCATGTTAGTCAGGCTAGTCTCAAACTCTTGACCTTGTGATCCGCCTGCCCTGGCCTCCCAAAGTGCTGGATTACAGGCATGAGCCACCGTGTCCAGTCGATCTGAGTCTTTTTATAAGTTTTAATCTTATAGAGTTTGATAAGCATGGGATGGAAAGCAGTGTCCACCTGTTTATTCACAGTGTTACGTGTTCACTTTCCCCAAGCTTCAGAATGATCTTTGCCTTCTTCTCAATGTTGTCACAGGACAGATGCTCATTTTTTTTTTTTTTTAATTATGGTTTAAGTTCTGGGACACATGTGCAGAACGTGCAGTTCTGTTACATAGGTATACACGCGCCATGGTAGTTTGCTGCACCCATCAACCTGTCATCTACATTAGGTATTTCTCCTAATGCTATCCCTCCCCTTGGCCCCCACCTCCTGACAGGCCCCGGTGTGTGATGTTCCCCTCTCTGTGTCTATGTGTTCTCATTGTTCAACTCCCACTTATGAGTGAGAACATGTGGTACTTGGTTTTCTGTTCCTGTGTTAGTTTGCTGAGAATGAGTGTTTTCAGCTTCATCCATGTCTCTGCAAAGGACATGAACTCATTCTTTTTTATGGCTGCATAGGATTCCATGGTATATATGTGCCACATCTTCTTTATCCAGTCTATCACTGATGGGCATCTGGGTTGGTTCCAAGTCTTTGCTATTGTGAACAGTGCTGCAATAAACGTACACGGGCATGTCTTTATATTAGAATAATTTATAATCCTTTGGGTATATACCCAGTAATGGGATTGCTGGGTCAAATGGCATTTCTGGTTCTAGATCCTTGAAGAATCGCCACACTGTATTCCACAATGGTTGAACTAATTTACACTCCCACCAACAGTGTAAAAGCATTCCTATTTCTCCACATCCTCTCTCCAGCATCTGTTGTTTCCTGATTTTTTTTTTTTTTTTTTTTTTTTGAGATGAAGTCTCGCTCTGTCACTCAGGCTGGAGTGCAATGGTGCAATCATGGCTCACTGCAACCTCCACCTCCTGGATTCAAGCGATTGTCCTGCTTCAGCCTCCCAAGAAGCTGGGATTACAGGCGTGTGCCACCATGCCTGGCTAATTTTTTGTATCTTTAGTAGAGACGGGGTTTCACCATGTTGGCCAGGCTGGTCTCAAAATCCTGACCTCGTGATCTGCCTGCCTTGGGCTCCCCAAAGTGCTGGGTTTACAGGCATGAGCCACTGTGGCTGCCCTCCCGACTTTTTAATCATCACCATTCTAACTGGCGTGAGATGGTATCTCATTGTGGCTTTGATTTGCATGTCTCTAATGACCAGTGATGATGAGCTTTTTTCATATGTTTGTTGGCCGCATAAATGTCTTCTTTTGAAAAGTGTCTGTTCATATCCTTCACCCCCGTTTTTGATGGGGTTGTTTTTTTTTTGTAAATTTATTTAAGTTCCTTGTAGATTCTGGATATTAGCCCTTTGTCAGACAGATAGATTGCAAAAATTTTCTCCCATTCTGTAGGTTGCCTGTTCACTCTGATGGTAGTTTCTTTTGCTGTGCAGAAGCTCTTTGGTTTAATTAGACCCCATTTGTCAATTATGGCTTTTGTTGCCATTGCTTTTGATGTTTTAGTCATGAAGTCTTTGCCCATGCCTATGTCCTGAATGGTATTGCCTAGGTTTTCTTCTAGGCTTTTTACGGTTTTAGGTCTTATGTTTAAGTCTTTAATCCATCTTGAGCTAATTTCTGTATAAGGTGTAAGGAAGGGGTCCACTTTTAGTTTTCTGCATATGGATAGCCAGTTTTCTCAACACCATTTATTAAGTAGAGAATCCTTTCCCCATTGCTTGTTTTTGTCAGGTTTGTCAAAGGTCAGATGGCGGTAGATGTGTGGTGTTATTTCTGAGGCCTGTGTTCTGTTCCATTGGTCTATATCTCTGTTTTGGTACCAGCACCATGCTGTTTTGGTTACTGTAGCCTTGTAGCATAGTGTGAAGTCAGGTAGCGTGATGCCTCCAGCTTAGTTCTTTTTCCTTAGGATTGTCTTGGCAATGTGGGTTCTTTTTTGGTTCCATATGAAATTTAAAGTAGTTTTTTTCTAGTTCTGTGAAGAAAGACAATGGTAGCTTGATGGGAATAAAATTGAATCTACAAATTACTTTGGGCAGTATGGCTATTTTCAGGATATTGATTCTTCCTATCCATGAGCATGGAATGTTTTTCCATTCGTTTGTGTCCTCTCTTATTTTCTTGGGCAGTGGTTTATAGTTCTCCTTGAAGAGGTCCTTCATATCCCTTGTAAGTTGTATTCCTACGTATTTTATGCTCTTTGTGAGAATAAATGCAATTGCCAATGGGAGTTCACTCATGATTTGGCTCTCTGTTTTGTTTATTATTGGTGTATAGGAATGCCTGTAATTTTTTCACATTGATTTTGTATCCTGAGACTTTGCTTAAGTTGCTTATCAGCTTAAGGGGTTTTTGGGCTGAGTCGATGGCATTTCTTAAGTATAGGATCATGTCATCTGCAAACAGAGATGATTTGCCTTTCTCTCTTCCAATTTGAATACGCTTTATTTCTTTCTCTTGCCTGATTGCCCTGGCCAGAACTTCCAATACTATGTTGAATAGGAGTGGTGAGAGAGGGCATCCCTGTACAGTGCCGGTTTTCTAAGGGAATGCTTCCAGCTTTTGCCCATTCAGTATGATATTGGCTGTGGGTTTGTCATAAATAGCTATTATTTTGAGATATTTTCCATCAACACCTAGTTTATTGAGTGTTTTTAGCATGAAGGGGTGTTGAATTTTATCGAAGGCCTTTTCTGAGTCTATTGAGATAATCATGTGGTTTTTGTCATTGGTTCTGTTTATGTGATGGATTATGTTTGTTGATTTCTGTATGTTGAACCAGCCTTGGATCCCAGGGATAAAGTCGACTTGATTGTGTTGGATAAGCTTTTTGATGTGCTGCTGGATTTGGTTTGCCCGTATTTTATTGAGGATTTTCGCATCGATGTTCATCAGGAATATTGGCCTGAAATTTTCTTTTGTGTGTGTATGTGTCTCTGCCAGGTTTTGGTACCAGAATAATGCTGGCCTCATAAAATGAGTTAGGGAGGAGTCCCTCTTTTTCTGTTGTTTGGAATAGTTTCAGAAGAAATGGTACCAGCTCCTCTTTGTACCTCTGGCAGAATTAGGCTGTGAATCTGTCTGGTTCTGGGCCTTTTTTGGTTGGTAGGCTATTAGTTACTGCCTCAATTTCAGAACTTGTTATTGGTCTATTCAGGGATTCGACTTCTTCCTGGTTTAGTCTTGGGAGGGTGTATGTGGTGTCCAGGAATTTATCCATTTATTCTAGATTTTTCTAGCTTATTTGCATAGATGTGTTTGTAGTATTCTCTAACGGTAGTTTGTATTTCTGTGGGATCAGTGGTGATATCCCCTTTATCATTTTTTATTGTGTCTATTTGATTCTTCTCTCTTTTCTTCTTTATTAGTCTGGCTAGTGGTCTATTTTGTTAATCTTTTCAAAAAAACAGCTCCTGGATTCACTGATTTTTTTAAGGGTTTTTCGTGTCTCTATCTCCTTCATTTCTGCTCTGATCTTAGTTATTTCTTGTCTTCTGCTAGCTTTTGAATTTGTGTGCTCTTGCTTCTCCAGTATTTCTTTTAGTTGTGATGTTAGGGTGTCAATTTTAGATCTTTCCTGCTTTCTCCTGTGGGCATTTGGTATTATAAATTTCCCTCTAAACATTGCTTTGGCTGGTGTCCCAGAGATTCTGGTACATTGTGTCTTTGTTCTCATTGGTTTCAAAAAACTTATTCATTTCTGCCTTAATTTCATTATTTACCCAGTAGTCATTGAGGAGTAGGTTGTTTGGTTTCCATGTTCTTGTGCAGTTTTGAGTGAGTTTCTTAATCCTGAGTTCTAGTTTGATTGCACTGTGGTCTGAGAGACAGTTTGTTGTGATTTCTGTTCTTTTACATTTGCTGAGGAGTGCTTTACTTCCAATTATGTGGTCAATTTTAGAATAGGTGCATGTGGTGCTGAGAAGAATGTATATTCTGTTGATTTGGGGTGGAGAGTTCTGTAGATGTCTATTAAGTCCGCTTGATCCAGAGCTGAGTTCATGTCCTGCATATCCTTGTTAATTTTCTGTCTCGTTGATCTAATATTGACAGTGGGGTTTTAAAGTCTCCCACTATTATTGTGTGGGAGTCTAAGTCTGTTTGTAGGTCTCTAAGGACTTGCTTTATGAGTCTGGGTGCTCCTGTATTTAGTGCACATATATTTAGGATAGTTAGCTCTTCTTGTTGAATTGATCCCTTTACCATTATGTAATGCCCTTCTTTGTCTTTTTTGATCTTTGTTGGTTTAAAGTCTGTTTTATCAGAGACTAGGATTGTAATCCCTGCTTTTTTTTGCTTTCCATTTGCTTGGTAAATATTTCTCCATCCCTTTATTTTGAGCCTATGTGTGTCTTTGCACTTGAGATGGGTCTTGACTATCCAATTTGCCTGTCTGTGTCTTTTAATTGGGGCATTTCGCCCATTTGCATTTAAGGTTACCATTGTTCTCTGTGAATTTGATCCTGTCATGATGCTAGCGGGTTATTTTGCCCATTAGTTGATGCAGTTTCTTCATAGTGTCGATTGTCTTTACATTTTGGTATGTTTTTGCAGTGGCTGGTACTGGTTTTTCCTTTCCATATTTACTGCTTCCTTCAGGAGCTCTTGTAAGGCAGGCCTGGTGGTGACAAAATCCCTCAGCATTTGCTTGTCTGTAAAGGATTTTATTTCTTCTTCAGTTATGAAGCTTAGTTTGGCTGGATATGAAATTCTGGGTTGAAAATTCCCTTAAGAATGTTGAATATTGGCCCCACCCTCTTCTGGCTTATAGGGTTTCTGCTGAGAGATCTACTGTTAGTCTGATGGGCTTCCCTTTGTGGGTAACCCTACCTTTCTCTCTGGCTGCCCTTAACATTTTTTCCTTCATTTCAACCTTGGTGAATCTGATGATTTCCTTGGGGTTGCTCTTCTCAAGGAGTATCTTTGTGGTGTTCTCTGTATTTCCTGAATTTGAATGTTGGCCTGTCTTGTTAGGTTAGGGGAGTTCTGCTGGATAATATCCTGAAGAGTGTTTTCCAACTTGGTTCTATTCTCCCCGTCACTTTCAGGTACACCAATCAAACGTAGGTTTGGTCTTTTCACATAGTCCCATATTTCTTGAAGGCTTTGTTTGTTCTTTTTCATTTTTTTCTCTAATCTTGTCCTTATGCTTTATTTCATTTAGTTGATCTTCAATCTCTGATTTCCTTTCTTCCGCTAGATTGATTTGGATATTGATACTTGTGTATGCCTCATGAAGTTCTTGTGCTGTGTTTTTCAGCTCCATCAGGTCATTTATGTTCTTCCCTAAACTGGTTATTCTAGTTAGCAATTCCTCTAAGTTTTTATCAAGTTTCTTAGATTCCTTGCATTGGGCGAGAACATGCTCCTTTAGGTCAGAGGAGTTTGTTATTACCCATCTTCTGAAGCCTACTTCTGTCAATTTGTCAAACTCATTCTCTGTCCAGTTTTGTTCCCTTGCTGGTGAGGGGTTGTGATCCTTTGGAGGAGAAGAGACATTCTGGTTTTTGGAATTTTTTAGCCTTTTTGTGCTGTTTTCCCCATCTTCGTGGATTTATCTACCTTCGATCTTTGATGTTGGTGACCTTTGGATGGAGCTTTTGCATGGGTGTCGTTTTTGTTGATGTTGATGCTATTGCTTTCTGTTTGTTAGTTTTCCTTCTAACAGTCAGGTCCCTCTGCTGCAGGTCTGCTGGAGTTTGCTGGAGGTCCACTCCAGACCCTGTTTGCCTGGGTATCACCAGCGGAGGCTGCAGAACAGCAAAGATTGCTGCTTTCTCCTTCCTCTGGAAGCTTTGTCTCAGAGGGGAACCTGACAGATGCCAGCTGGAGCTCTCCTCTATGAGGTGTCTGTCGACCCCTGCTGGGAGGTTTCTCCCCATCAGGAGGCACGGGGCTCAGGGACCCACTTGAGGAGGCAGTCTGTCCCTTAGCAGAGCTTGAGTGCTGTGCTGGGAGATCCGCTGCTATGTTCAGAGCCGGCAGGCAGGAACTTTTAAGTCTGCTAAAGCTGCGCCCACAGCCGCCCCTTCCCCCAGGTGCTCTGTCCCAGGGATATGGGAGTTTTGTCTACAATCCGGATTGGGGCTGCCTCCTTTCTTTCAGAGATGGCCTGCCCAGAGAGGAGGAATGTAGAAAGGCAGTCTGGCTACAGCAGCTTTGCCGTGCTGTGGTGCGTTCCACACCCAGTTCGAACTTCCTGGCAGCTTTGTTTATACTGTGAGGGGAAAACGGCCTACTCAAGTCTCAGTAATGGCAGACACCCCTCCCCCAACCAAGCCCGAGTGTCCCAGGTCGACTTCAGACCGTTGGGCTGGCAGCAAGAATTTCAAGCCAGTGGATCTTCACTTGTTGGGCTCCATGGGTGTGGGATCCGCTGAGCAAGTCTACTTGGCTTCCTGGCTTCAGCCTCCTTTCCAGGGGTGTGAACAGTTCTGTCTCGCTGGTATTCCAGGTGCCACTGGGGTAGGAAAAAAAACTTCTGCAGCTAGCTCAGTGTCTGCCCGAACGGCCACCCAGTTTTGTGCTTGAAACCCAGGGCCCTGGTGGGGTAGGCACCTGAGGGAATCTCCTGGTCTGCAGGTTGTGAAGACCATGGGAAGAGCACAGTATCTGGGCCAGAATGCACCGTTTCTCACAGCACAGTCCCTCATGACTTCCCTTGGCTAGGGGAGGGAGTTCCCCAACCCCTGCACTTCCTGGGTGAGGCAACACCCCACCCTGCTTTGGCTCGCCCTCCTTGGGCTGCACCCACTGTCTAACCAGCCCCAATGAGATGAACTGGGTACCTCAGTTGGAAATGCAGACACCACTCTCCTTCTGCGTTGGTCTCGCTGGGAGCTACAGACCAGAGCTGTTCCTATTCGGCCATCTTAATCTCTGTCCCGATGTTGATTTAATTATATACATCTTTCCCAAGCCCCACGGGTACTCCCACACAGTATACCTCAATTGGTTGCTGAAATAATTCAGATATGTATGAATATAGTTTCTTTCGAAACTCAGATGACAAACCAAAACATCATCCAGTTTCATTTCTCCAAAAGACTCGCCTTTTAGTCCACAGGGACCTGGCATTTTAAGTAAATTGCATCAGCACCATCACCTTCCCTTTATCTTGTAGACTCACCCGGCCACCATTTCTTTCTCCTTATGGGAGGCATATCCGCTGCTGCTAAGGGGCTTCAGAGGGGATGACAAGAAGTAGAGGCAATGACTGGTGAAGTACTGGTCAACCAGCGGGAGGAGAACCTGGGAAACGCACCAGAAATCAACTTCTAGGAAGCTATCCAAAACTCTTCATTTGGTTCATTTAAAAGTGTTTATTTTCAGTGAGCAAAAAGCCTCTGAACCCTGGTCCTGTAATTTCCAGGAAATTCTACCCCTTTGGTCCCAGTTTCCATCGTATTTTCCTTTTCTATGCCTCAAACCAGAGTCCTTAAGGGCATGTGAAAGGAGACAGCCATGGACTAAGGGCCCAAAGAAATGTGTGCGCATTTGCAGAGGAGTCCTACGAGACAGCTGCACTCAGATAGGGCTTCTTGGGCGCTGCATCTAAGAGGCACTCAAGGCATGGCTTAGTGCCACTAGCCTCAAGCATTCTGTCTGCTTCTCAGAGCAAGGCGACTCAAGCCCTTCTGTGCCTTTAGTCCTCTGAGCAGGGCTGTATGGAAGAGACTGCTAACTTGAGCCCAAATTCATTCTCCCCTTCTTCCTTTTGGCAACAGGATCCCACTGTGTTTTAGCTGGATAGAGAGCCACCCAGGCAGAAAACGTATCACCCAGTCTCCCTTGCAGCTGGATGAAGCTCAAATGGAACTTAAACAGGTCCTGTGCCTTCTCCCGGTCCCTGAACTTTTCCTTGGCATTCAAGGTATCATATCGTACCAGAAGAGGGTACCATATGTACCATAAGGGTAAACCTGTCATCTCTCACCTTATTGACCCCAGACATACTGCCTGGGGTCAGTAAGGTGAAAGATGACAAGTTCTAGCCATTGGGATAGAACTTTTAAAAAGCAACAGCTTGCCTTCCCTTCTCCTTTTCCCTTTCCCACAGATGCAGTGCAGGTGAGCCTGTCTGAACCACGCACACAGGCCACACCTCCGGAGATGGTGGAGTAGCAAGAGAGGAAGAACCTGGGTTCCCAGGTGATGGTGTGGGGCTAGGCAGACTGCATCCCTCCTTGGACTGCCAGCCTCCCTTGGGACTGTTACACGACAGAGAAATATACATGTACCTCACTGAAGCCATTGGAGTTTTAGATATCTTCACTGGATCCACTTAACCTGTTTCCTAAATAGTAGAGATCCTAAGAAGAAAGTAATTTGATTAAGTGCAGGGCCACTTACTTTGGCAAAGAATTTGATCTCCTGGTCACGGGGAGACTTTTCAGTTTTCCCACTGCTGACAATGGCTTCTACGAAGACACAGGTAACACAAAGTTGGCCAGAGTTACGAAGTAAAAATCAGTCACAACATTTTAGAAACAGAGCAGCTTTTCTAAAGGCTATTTAAAAAGGCTATCTGATTTCACAAAATATATCTTACAAAGTACTTTACAACTGTCCTGGTTAGCTATTTCTTGTGTCAATTCTTTAAGCTGTTTCACTACCCTTTTTTCTACTTTAACAATCAGAAAGCAGCTTCAAGGCTGGGCGCGATGGCTAACACCTGTAATCCCAACACTTTGGGAAGCTGAAGCAGGTGGATCACTTGAGGTCAGGAGTTCGACACCAGCCTGGACAACATGGTGAAACCCCATCTCTACTAAAAATACAAAAATTAGCCAGGCAGGCGTGGTGGTGGGCACCTGTAATTCCAGCTACTTGGGAGGCTGAGGCAGGAGAATTGCTTGAACCTGGGAGGCAGAGGCTGCTGTGAGCCAAGACTGTGCCACTGCACTCCAGCCTGGGCAACAAGAGCAAAACTCCATCTCAGAAAAAAAAGAAAGAAAGCAGTTTCAGAGAGGTTGAGTCATATGTCCACAGTCATAAAGCAAGACAACAGGAAAGTTAAAATAGGATAAGTTGTGCGAAAAAATGACAAAAGGTTCAATCAAGTCCACTATAAAAACTAAGGAGTTTTTGTTTGTTTGTTTGTTTGTTTTGAGATAGAATCTTACTCTGTCCCCAGGCTGGAGTGCAATGGCACGATCTCACTGCAACCTCTGCCTCCCAGGTTCAAGTGATTCTCCTGCCTCAGCCTCCCAAGTAGCTGGGACTACAGGCGTGCACCACCACACTCAGCTAATTTTTTTTGTATTTTTAGCAGAGATGGGATTTCACCATGTTGGCCAGGATGGTCTCCATCTCTTGACCTCATGATCCGCCCGCCTCGGCCTCCCAAAGTGCTGGGATTACAGGTGTGAGCCACAGCGCCCGGCCGGATTGATTTTTTTTAAGTTGGGGGAAAAAAATTTCAGCCACTGTTTTCCCCCTAAAATCATGCACCTAAATGAATCATAAAAAGTTACAGTCTGAAAGGATTATTTCTTGATAAAAGAATATTGAATTCTTTTGGGTTATTTCATGATGATACTTACCTAAATGGGCAATAAATTCTTGAGCAGAATCAACGTATTTCAGGATCTTCTTCAAGAACTTATAGGCAAACCTCTTCTCCATGGAGGAGGCATCCAGCTCCATATCCTTCATACCCCTACGTTGGACATGGACAGACCCCAGGAAGTAACAGAGACAACCATGTCACTCAGGTGCACCACCAGTCCTACCAGTGTTGAATTTAATTTCCAAATGTTAGTGGTTATTCTGGCGTAGTGACATGACTCATCATTTGACTGATTTCCCCTCTCACTTGGAACCTACCTATGTGAGCACAGATTTTTCAGAAAGACCTTTATCATTCATACAATGAGTACTGAGCTAGAGATGTCTGAGGGGAAAGCAAAAATCTCTGCTCTTACGGAAAGAATTTACATGCTAGCTGTAAACAGAAAAAACAAAATATAAATTAGATGGAATCTTAGAAGTTAACACATTTTGTGAATAAAAGAAAAATTAAAGCAGAATGAAAAGGTCCAGACTGGTCCAGAACTGGTCCAGAAAGGCCGGCCACCGCGCCCAGCCTCTGGGTATATTTTAAAGGTAAAACTGCCAGGGTTTGCAGACTGTAGTGTTAAATAGGGTAGTCAGGGTTGGTCTCACTGGGAGACTGATGCTGCAATAAAGGCTTGAAGGAGATGAGGAGGTGAGCCATATGGACATCTGGGGAAATAGTTCTTAAGGTGGGGCGAAGAGACAGTGCAAAGGTCCTGAGGCAGGAGCATGCATGTTGCGTTGAAGGTTAAAGCAGTGTGGGGTAGGAAGTGGGGACAATCATGTACGTCCCTACAGGCCATCCTTAGGATTTTGCTTTTGCTCTGAGTGAGAAGGGAAGCTATTAGAAGTTTTCAATAGAGAAGTGACATGACATGACTTGCATCATAACAGGATCACTGGTTGCTGTGTTTAAAATTGACCATGGTGGTGAGTCAAGTGTAGAAGCAGGGAGCACAGGCAGGAGGATGAGGATAGCATGAAGTGGGTGAGAAGTGGTCAAATTCTGGGTATTTTTATTTTTGAGATGGAGTCTCACTCTGTCGCCCAGATTGGAGTGCATTGGCATGATCTCGGCTCACTGCAACCTCTGCCTTCTGGGTTCAAGCAATTCTCTGCCTCAGCCTCCCGAGTAGCTGGGATTACAGGCACGCACCATCATTCCTGGCTAATTTTTTGTATTTTTAGTAGAGATGGGTTTCACCATCTTAACCAGGCTGGTCTTGAACTCCTGTATCTTTCTTCTTGATTTCCTCCTATTTCCTTGACTTCCTTTATCATTACAGTAAACGGGAATTTTTCATTGCTGTGAGCAAGTTATTTATCAGCAAATCACACCACAGATTCATCTTGGTGTTAAGAACAGGATTAAAATGACGACGGGAGTCTTTCTCGAATGCTTCCCCGGAGGCTATCTCCTGCTGTCTGACCTTTCCTGTTCGACAACACGGCAAATAAGTCTTGCTATTTTTTTCATATGAGATACAATAGAAATGTTTGTACAGATTTTTATTTTTATTTTTGCCATTCGATGGCAAAAAATCTATAGGAAACTAGAAGAAACAGCAGCTTGCTCAGTAAATGTTTCTTTTAGGAAGAATGGCTATATCGGAATAAAAACACCGGCTTTTCATTTGACAAAGAACTCAGCAAGCATGATCCTACGTAGCACAGCCCACCAGCACCATTTGACCAGGGAGAAAACAGCCTGACTTTAAGATTTAAGCAGCCAATGCCATCCTATATAAAACATTCACCTAGATGATTTTGACTTATGTAAGTTTGAGATAAAACATCTTAGGACATCATGATGCATTCAATCTCTCCAGTAGAGTTGTATCTTCATAATAATCAATTCCCTTTGTTCCAAGACTGCTTATGTCAGTTATGCTTGCTATTATTACTATGTAATTTAATAAGATATCATATAAAACAACAAATAAAAGTATGAAGAGAACTGCTGACTCTATGAAAACTAAGATGCATATTTTGTAAAGACCTGCAATTGCAGGCTTCCAAATACGTAATTTTTGAATTAGGTATGGGTGAGAAAACTGTCAAAGATAAGGGAGGAAATTTGAAAAATATCTAGGGTACTACATAATCCATCACACAAACAGAACCAATGACAAAAACCACATGATTATCTCAATAGAGGGAGAAAAGGCCTTCAATAAAATTTAACATCCTTCATGCTAAAAACTCTCAATAAACTAGGTATTGATGGAACATCTCTCAAAATAATAAGAGCTATTTATGACAAACCCACAGCCAATATCAAATAAGGTATCAAATGACAGCTATTTATGATAAACCCACAGCCAATGGGCAGAAACGGGAAGCATTCCCTTTGAAAACAGGCACAAGACAAGGATGCCCTCTCTCACCACTCCTATTCAACATATTATTGGACGTTCTGGCCAGGGCAATCAGGCAAGAGAAAGAAATAAAGGGTATTCAATTAGGAAAAGAGGAAGTCAAATTGTCTCTGTTTGCAGATGACATGATTGTATACTTAGAAAACCTCATCAACTCAGCCCCAAATCTCCTTAAGTTGATAATCAACTTCAGCAAAGTCTCAGGATACAAAATCAATGTGCAAAAATCACAAGCATTCCTATACACCAATAAAAGACAAACAGAGAGCCAAATCACGAGTGAACTCCCATTCACAATTGCTACAAAGAGAATAAAATAACTAGGAATACAACTTACAAGGGATGTGAAGGATGTCTTCAAGGAGAACTACAAATCAATGCTCAACGAAATAAGAGAGGACACAAACAAATGGAAAAACATTCTATGCTCATGAATAGGAAGAATCAATATTGAGAAAATGGCCATACTGCCCAAAGTCATTTATAGATTCAATGCTATTCCCATCAAGCTACCATTGTCTTTCTTCACAGAATTAGAAACAACTACTTTAAATTTCATATGGAACAAAAAAAGAGCCCGCATAGCCAAGACAATCCTAAGCAAAAAGAACAAAGCTGGAGCCATCACGCTACCTGACTTCAAACTATACTACAAGGCTACAGTAACAAAAACAGCATGGTACTGGTACCAAAACAGAGATATAGACCGATGGAATAGAACAGAGACCTCAGAAATAACGCCGCATATCTACAACTATCTGATCTTTGACAAACCTGACAAAAACAAGCAATGGGGAAAGGATTCCCTATTTAATAAATGGTGCTGGGAAAACTGGCTAGCCCTACGCAGAAAGCTGAAACTGGATCCCTTCTCTACACCTTATACAAAAACTAACTCAAGATGGATTAAAGACTTAAACATAAGACCAAAACCATAAAAGCCCTAGAAGAAAACCTAGGCAATATCATTCAGGACATAGGAATGGGCAAAGACTTCATGACTAAAACACCAAAATCAATGGCAACAAAAGCCAAAATTGACAAATGGGGTCTAATTAAACTAAAGAGCTTCTGCATAGCAAAAGAAACTACCATCAGAGTGAACAGGCAACCTACAGAATTGGAGAAAATTTCTGCAATCTATCTGTCTGACAAAGGGCTAATATCCAGAATCTACAAGGAACTTAAATTTACAAGAAAAAAAAAAAAACCTCATCAAAAACTGGGTGAAGGCTTTGAACAGACACTTTTCAAAAGAAGACATTTATGCAGCCAACTGGCATACGAAAAAAAGCTCATCATCACTGGTCATTAGAGAAATGCAAATCGAAACCACAATGAGATACCATCTCATGCCAGTTAGAATGGCGATCATTAAAAAGTCAGGAAACAACAGATGCTGGAGAGGATGTGGAGATATAGGAATACTTTTACACTGTTGGTGGGAGCGTAAATTAGTTCAACCATTGTGGAAGACAGTGTGGCAATTTCTCAAGGATCTAGAACTAGAAATACCATTTAACCCAGCAATCCCATTACTGGGTATATACCCAAAGGATTATAAATTATTCTACTATAAAGACACATGCACACGTATGTTTATTGCAGCACTGTTCACAATAGCAAAGACTTGGAACCAACCCAAATGCCCATTAATGATAGACTGGATTAAGAAAATGTGGCACATATACACCATGGAATACTATGCAGCCATAAAAAAGGATGAGTTCATGTCCTTTGCAGGGACATAGATAATGCTGGAAACCATCATTCTCAGCAAATTAACACAAGAACTGAAAACCAAACAGAAAACCAAAAGCAAACATGTTCTCACTCGTAAGTGGGAGTTGAACAATGAGAACACATGGACACAGGGCGGGGAACATCACACCCCAGGGCCTGTGGGGGTTGTGGGGGTAGGGGAGGGATAGCATTAGGAGAAATACCAAATGTAGATGACAGGTTAATGGGTGCAGCAAACCACCATGGCACGTGTATACCTATGTAACAAACCTGCACGTTCTGCACATGTACTCCAGAACTTAAATAATAATAAAAAAATATCTAGGGTACTGCATTTACCCTGTTATCATGTGCTGCAAATTATCACCACTCTTTAAAGAAGCCCAAATTCCAAAGCTTTGAGGTTGTATTATGGATGTCATTTATAACTCCAATAAAGAGAATATACAAAGAAAGGGCCTTAGCCCATAGCACAAGGTTTGTGAATGAATGCATGTTTATATATTTTAAGTTACAATGAAATGTTTAAGGTATGTAGGTATAATTTGTAATAATTCTTTGTTGTCACTGATCTTTAAAAATTAATACCTAACATTTCTGCTTATATCAAAAAAAGAGGGCTTCATGTTCTAAAATAAAAATGTTCTCATTTTAAAAGACTCAATTGTTCTCCTTACTTGGATGGGTTTTGTAGGCACGTAATTAAATATCTAGGGAGGCACAGCCCTGTCCCACTAGCATCACATGGAAGGTGACTTACCTGGAAACTATGATGCCATTCACTTGGAGGAACTTAAACAGGTCCTGTGCCTTCTCCCGGTCCTTGAACTTTTCCTTGGCAGTCAAGGTGTCATATGGTACCAGAAGAGGGTGGCTGCCACCACCTGGGGTCAGTAAGGTGAGAGATGACATTTGGCTCTTCCTTTGCACTTCTGGGAGACCATAGCTGCCCCGGTTCAGCTTCTTTAGGGGATGCTGTGAACCTCACTCACCTTTGCTCTCCAGCTCCAGCTTCTTCTTCTTGGCCCAGATATTGTGATAGTTCTCAGCCACGACCTCCACCATTCCCTGTGTCCCACCAAGAAGAGCCAAGTCAAAAAGAAAGAAAGCAGGCAAGCTGGCTTCATAGCTGCTAGGTCATTTCAGGCAGCCTCGGGAAAAGCACACCACTGAACACTAACAGCAGACGGCCAAGGGCTTCCCATCATTAATTAGTGTGTGCTTATGTACCTCATTAGTTTCCTATCCTCCCATACACATAGAAAACAATTTCTAACTCTGTCCTTCCCTTGTAACTTATTATTCTGGCAGTTTGATGCATTTATGAGAAACATCCATTTCCACTTGAACCCGCATGCTGGCAGCACATCATTTTTCACAGCAGCTTGGTATTGTACTCCTGACCTCAGACGGGGAGTTGGGAGTGCGGGCCAAGAAAAGTCTAGAACCCCCGAAAGCCTATAGCTTAACAAACTAAAAATAATCACGTCTTAAAGGAAAGTGCTGTAAATAAGATTTCTCTAGTAGAATCCATCTTTGTAAGGCTTGTAAAACAGTGACTTAGAATGAAGGATGTACTTTGGAAAGAAACTTTCTCGAAGGTCCAAGGGGCTGGTCTGATGGACTTCCAGAGGGTGAGTGCTCCAGGCTAGGGCAGGCCACAGCCACCAGTGTGTACAGGAGGGGAGCAACGGGAGGAAGCAGCTTAGGGCTTTCAGTTTCAACCCCTTGGTCTTACATTCCTATATCCTGCAATGATTGCCTGCCTGCACCATCACAGGGAGCTCCAGCAAACCCACTGTGGGACGTGTGGGCTGTCCTTATGTTTTGGGGGCCTTACAATGACCAGCAAGCACCTCCATTGAGGTGCTAAATTTCACAGATTTTGTCCTAGCTGTCTTATTTATTTTGGTTTTTGATACAGTATAGTCAGCCTTCCTTAACCATGCGTTCTGCATCTGTGGATTCAACCAATTGTAGCTTGAAAATATTTGGAAAAAAATGTGTCTGTACTGAACATGTACAGATTTTTTTCTTGTCATTATTCTCTAAGCAATACAGCATAACAACTATTTATATAGAATTCACATTGTGTTAGGAATTATAAATAATCTAGAGATAATTTAAAGTATATGGGGGGATGTGTGTAGGTTATAGGTAAAACTATGCCATTTTATATCAGGGACTTGAGCGTTCGTGGGTTTTGGTATCTGTGGGAAGTCCTAGGGTAAAGCTTTCATGGATGCTGAGGAATGACTCTAGTGCGCTGGTGGTGCTTCCTACTGAGTCAGCATCCATCATGAAGTCCTTAGAAGAAGCGCAAAGCCTCCCCTTGGAGGATTGGTTCACTCTGCAGAGACTTTCCCTGTGGCCTCTGCACAAGGTGACCGTCTTCAGTTTTGAATTTTAGTGGTGATATGTTCTAGGCATTCTTTCCCTTTTTTCCCCCTTTAACTCTTTGGAAGGTAATGCGTCCTGCACTTGAAAGCAAGTCATGCTGGACCTGGGGCACTGACCTGGAGCTCTCTGGAGAGCACAACGTTTGAGAGGTCGAGGGGAGCAGGACTGTAGCTGTTGCCCTAGGAAAGCAAAGGCAGAGTCACTGGGTTGCCATTATTTTCCTTGTTCTTATCAGGCATCCCCAACTTCAGCTGTCAAAAATGTGTCCTGAAAACTCCCCAGGGTTCATCTTAGATGGTCCCACCTACGATGCCCCAGGCAGAACATTCCCAGATTCTCCATGGCTTCCATCGGCCCAGCGTGGGCCTCTGGGTGTGGTGTCATACCTGGTTGGCCTGGGACACACTTCGAAGCTTCTCATTTTCCCGCTGTTGAACCAAAGCTTCTCCCTCTTTGGTCCTCTCCACAGTCCAGCCCACAGCCAGCATGGTTTTCAGGGACTCTCGCGCAGGCCAGCGATAAATTTCCTTCTCCTAGAAGAGAATTTGAGCAGAAGCACTTTGCAGAACACACCCCAGCATTCTCCCTGGCCCATCTCCGCATGGAAGGTGCATCCCACTGTGGGTGGGGGTGCTAGTTAGCACCAGCCTTCTCTCACAAGGTCAAAACATCCTTTGTGGCATCTTACCCGAAACACAGTCTTTCTGGTGTTTTTAGATATAAGACCCTACGGTCTTTCCTGCCCTGGGAGGAAATGTGCCAGACATTATTAATGACATTATCTACATTCTGTAGACGAAGAACAGGAATGGGAGAGTGGCTCCTCATGTTCTAGTAGTTGTTGAAGATTGTCAAAATGCATCTGCATAAAGCTCTCCTGTGAGTTTGGGAAAGATAATTTCTTAGATTTAGAATTCTTGTGGGCTGGGCACGGTGGCTCATGCCTGTAATCCCAGCACTTTGGGAGGCCGAGGCGGGTGGATCACCTGAGGTCAGAAATTCGACACCAGGCTGGACAACATGGTGAAACCCCATCTCCACTAAAAACTCAAAAATTAGCTGTGCGTAGTGGTGCATGCCTGTAGTCCCAGCTACTCGGGAGGCTAAGGCAAAAGAATTGCTTGAAGCCAGGAGATGAAGCTTGCACTGAGCCAAGATTGCACCACAGCACTCTAGCCTGGGTGACAACAGTGAAACTCTGTCTCAAAAAAAAAAAAAAAAAAAAAAGGGTGACAACAGTGAAACTCCGTCTCAAAAAAAAAAAAAAAAAGATTTCTCTTTTGGTCTATGTACAATTTAATAGGTAGTCAACATGAATGCAAAGATACATACACCAGCCTTTACATGTGACACTAGGCCTAGGCCTAAAGCTTACTAAGAATCTTACAGATTGCAAGATAAGAATTCAGAGTTGAGTTAAACCAAATACGTTAATTAATTAATTTTTTTAAGCAAGAGATGCATTCTCTTAACCATATTTTCTTGAGGATTCTCTTCTCTATTACCTGTATCTTCCATGTATTAGAAATCATTTTTGGCTGGGCATGGTAGTTCACACCTGTAATTCCAGTGCTTTGGGAGGCCGAGGTGGGAGGATTGCTTGAGGTCAGGGGTTCAAGACCAGCCTGGCCAACATGGCGAAACCCCGTCTCTGCTAAAAAATTACAAACATTAGCTGGGCATGGTGGTGCATGCCTATAGTTCCAGCTACTTGGGAGGCTGAGGTGGGAGGATCACTTGAGCCCGGAAGGTGGAGGTTGCAGTGAGCCGAGATCACACCACTACACTCTAGACTGAGTGACAGAACGAGACCCTGCCTCAAAAGAGAAAAAAAAAAAAAAAAGAAGAAAGAAAGAAATTATTTTTGTCTGAATTTTTTCTTTTTCTTTTCTTTGAGATGGAGTCTCGCTCTGTCACCAGGCTGGAGTGCAGTGGCGTGATCTTGGCTCACTGCAACCTCTGCCTCCCGGTTTCAAGCAATTCTCCTGCCTGGCTAATCTTTGTATTTTCAGTAGAGATGGGGTTTCACCATGTTGGCCAGGCTGGTCTTGAAGCCCTGACCTCAAGCAATCCTCCCACCTTGGTCTCCCAAAGTGCTAGGATTACAGGCATGAGCCACCACACCCGGCCTTGTCTGAATTTTCTCCAGCAATTTCACCGTGCCTTCTCCCTGCCCCGCCCTAACCAAACCCCTTCCTGGTTCAGTTCAGTTGCAGAACTACAAATGCATTTTGGCCCAGCCTCAAAGTGCTGAACAATGCTTCTTTCACCAATGGCCTCTCAAAGCCAAAGAACAGAAAGTGAGGCTGGGCTCTCGGAAACTGGTCCTGAGGCACTTGCCCACTGGCAAGCTTGTGAACAGTTTACTGAGTCCTAGATGATGATGTTGTAGGGACGTGAGAGTGAATGTGCTCTGAACTCCTCTGATAAAATCACTCAAGGAAGGAAACAGCATGGTCACACAGTGTTACCAGAGGCCTGCTTCTTACCTTCTCCGTTAATGTCTTGAAAGGCCTTATCAGTGGGTGGGTCTTCACATTTTCATCCAGGGAAATCCCATATTTCCATCCACTCTGACTCTGTAGAAATGTTCTCAGTTCAAATATCCTTGGCACGCAAAGAACCCCGCTATGTGACCCAAATCCCTGCTTCTATTTTCATGGAGCAAGTGGAGTAATGGATAGTGACAGGGCTTAGAAATTCTCCTCAAAAATGCCTAATTGATCTTTTCAGGCCATCAGGCTCTCCGCCTCCTGAATCTTGAACTCTGCTCTTTTATTCCTTCTTGTTTCAGTTGCTGTCCTCTCCACTTTCTCACTTGTATTTCAGGCCCTCTTAAAACAGCATGTTTCAAAAGGCCCTGGGAATGGTGCTTCTCAGGTTAGAGTACTCCCCTCGCAGGAAGAACAGAGGCTAGGACTGGAAGGCCTGGGAAGACTGGACCTATTGCCACTGCCTAGAGGGGCCATTTGCCTTGCAACCCTTGCCTGCCAGTGCCAGAGCAAAAGTGTAGTGATGTGTGCTTCCTAGAGTCACAGAAGTTTAAGAACTTTTAGGGTTATTCAACAAATATTGGGTGAATGTCTTCTATGGTACACACCAGACTCTGTCCGAGGCACAGTGGATACAGAGATAAGTAAGAGCCCCTGATTTCTGTAACTTCACATCCCCAAGACTCCTGGCTGCTCTTTCTCAATCTCTGCTCCTGTCCATTTGTTAAATGTGTATATTTCCTAAGTTTCTGTCCCTTCTCAAGACATATACTTCCTGGGTGATCTAATTTAGGCCCTTGGTTTCAGTTACCACCGAGAAGAGGCTAGTATCAAATCAGTACTTCCAGCGCAGAAACTCCCTCCTAGTTTCAAACCTATTTAAGCTTTGCTTGGATGTTCCACAGGCACCCCTCAAATTACTTCTCTACATGTCTCCTCGTGGGTCCCCTGGATGAAGTGGAGTGAACAGCCCCAGCTTATGCTCACTTTCCAAGCCAATGACATGGGAGTCCTCCTTGACACCACTGCCTGTACCCCTCCCATCATTTGTCTGTCTGTCTGTCTGTCTCTCTCACCCACTTCCCTGCTAGTATGTTAGTTCAGGCCACCATTAGCTCTCACTGGGGTTACTGCAAGAGCTTCCTAAGCAGCCTCCCAGCCTCCAGTCTTGCTGCCTCTCCATGGATTCATTTTCTACACTATTGTCAGGGGATAGTCAAAAATCACAATCATTTGTGGGCACACTACTGACTTCGAATGTTTCCAACAGCAAGCTGCCATCCTGGTAAAACCCACATGTTTTCAAATGACCTGTAAACCTAAAAAGGTGATCATGTTGACCTCTCCAGACTTATCTCTCACCCTCTGTACCCATCCTACTCCATGTCCTAGCTATACTGAACCATGGTTCCCTAAAGCCAAACTGTCTCTTGCCTCCCTGGGTCTGCACCTGCTGTTCCCAAGGCCGGCAGCGCGCTTACTTCCTTGTGACAAATGGCTCCCACTCATCCTTTAGCAAATGCTGTAGATGTCACCAACTCTGGGAGGTGTCCCTGGACCCCCGGTACTGGATTAGGGACTCCTATGTGTTCTAATCCTGTGCTCATGCTCACCATAGCCCTGAACAAGCTGCCCCACAATGGCTGGTTCATTTTGTTTCTCCCACAAGATCATGAGGCTTTTGAGGGCAAGGAAAATACTCTTTTTCTTGTGAGATAATCAGCGCCGCCTGGTACTGGTGAGCAGCATGTATCTATGCCCTCATGAAGCTTACAATCTAGTGGCAGAAAGAGATATCAATCAAATAACCATACAAGTGAATGTAAAATTGATAAATAGAATAAATGTGTAGATGTTTAACTGTTATAAATACAAATACCTAAGCGTGCTACGAAAGTACTATGAAAGAGAAGAACAAGGTGCTAAGAGGGCCCAGAGCTGAGAAATCTGAAAAATGCCATCCTAGGAATTCATGCTTGGAGTGATATTTGCAGGATGAGTTGGTGAACGCTGTGAGAATGTGTGTGAGTACAGGCGGGTATCTGGCAGGCTCAGGCAGAGGAGGGTCTCTGGCATGTGTAGTGCATATGAGAGAGTGAGTCTAAAATAAGGGGAGGTGGCTGGAGGGCAGAGGGCAAAGGAGGAGATGAGGCTACAGATGGTAGCAGAGGTCAGATCAGGCAGTGCCTACCAGGCCATACCAAAGATTTTGACCATTGTCTTCAGAATAGTTAGAAATTATGAAAGGATTTTAACAAGGAGAGGGGCTGGGTAGGAGAAGCAGTGGTAGAATATGTATGATTCAATTTGTGTACTGAAATTCTGACTTGCTTGCAGTATGAAGAACAGACTGGGCAAATGCACTTGAGGAGACCTGCAAGGAGCTTATCCCAGTCGTCTGGGTGAAAGACGATGGCAGCTTGGACTGAAGTCATAAGAACAGAGACAAATATACAGATATAAGAGAGACTCGGGAGTTCAAATCCACATGGTTGAGTGATGGCTTGGCTAATGCTGTGGGCTCCTGGAGGTGACTCTTCTCCCTAATTCACAGGCTGGCCAAACGGCCATAAGCAAGGAGTTCTCAGAAAACGCAGATGCTCTAGAGCAAGGGCCACCTGGCTATGCCCCCTAAGCCAAATCTAGCTGGCCACCTTTTTTTAATTAATAAAATGTGATTGGAACACAGGCACCCACTTTTGTTTATGTTTTCTCTATGGCTACTTTTGTGCCGCAACGGCCAAGTGGAGTTGTTGCAATGGAGATGGTCTGGCCCTTGCAGCCTCAAATGTTGACCATTCAGCCCTTTACAGAACAGATTTGCCAACTCCTGTTTTAGAATCATGAGGTATTAGCCCGTTCTACAGTTACAATGATAGCTGTTATCATCAGCTCCCAGTAGACTCCTGGAAGGACGAGCTGAGCCTACATCCACACAGAGGCTGAGCTGGTGGTTCAAGGTGTCCCTTCTCTGTGGGCACATTGTATGGAGGTGGTTTTCTGTGGCTTTGCTGTGGACATGGGTCCACTGTTACACACCGTAGGCTGCAGCTGAGAAATGGCCCCAATCCTTAACTGGCTGCCCACAGGAATCCTGGATATCCTTGGCACAGTCTTCCCACTTTGCCTGCCAGTGTTAAAGGGTTGACACAGCAATGAAACTTATTAAACAGCCTGACCTCATGTGGTGAGGAATTTTAAACACCAGATGGAGAGCCTTATTAATAAGGGAGTGTCTGGGAGTTCTACCACTGCCTACCATAAGAAGACGATTGCATGTCTTCCCTAGAATAAAATCCAGCCTTCCAGAAACATGTAAGGGTTAGGCTTTCAATTTCATTTTTTTTTTCCAATCTGCATTCAAAGACAAAAATTAAATAGCAGCCTTCCCATTCCCATTAAGCATTTACGTCAAACACATACAAGCCTGTGTTTGGGCACAACTCCAGTAAGTAAATGTTAAGAAAGAAGTTAACACTTCCAGAATTGATCATTTTCTTGAGAAATACAAAAGCAACACCAGCAGCTGCTGTCACCTATTTCTTTGACCTCCACCAACCCTGGGAAATTGCTGCTCAGAAATAATGAATGCTCTCGGCATGGAAAATCTGTTACTTAGACAAATCAGGCAGATTTCCAGGACTGGGCCCTTTAATGTTCTTGGGCTGTTTTTCCTTCCTGACGATTGTCAGTTGGATGATAATCCCTACCTTGTCACAGGCCCATTTATCATGTGAATGCTCAGCATACTTGGTGACGATGTATTCCAATTTTTCAGGCAAGGAAAAACTGTGAAATGAGGAAAAAAAATTACAACCTCCCCAAGCACTTCAGCCAGACATAGTAGAAGATAGTCAGAACTACCAATCAACCAGCTGTCAGAAGGTGGATTTGATCAGCCAGCCAATCCCAAAGCTAAAGCTGGACTCCAGGCGCAGTGACATTCCTGAGTAGGGGTGGCATAGCCAGGGTTAGGTCACGGACGCACCCAAGTCTAACCATGGAACATCTCTGCAGGAGCCTTGGCTGGGAAGGCCTCCTGCCATGTGCTCCAGGGTCTCTTGGCTCCTGGGCCAGACCTGTCTTGGTTAGACAGCGAGAATCCAAGGTAAATGGCCTGTCATCCTCTGGCTACAATCTGGAAATGGTAGAAATGGGTAGCCAGAGAGCCGTATGTTATGAAATAGTGGTTTTCTACCTTTTGGGGCTCAGTGGCTCATGGTAAAATACTCGAATTTTGGGGCCGGGCGCTGTGGCTCACGCCTGTAATCCCAGCACTTTGGGAGGCCGAGGTGGATGGATCATGAGGTCAGGAAATCGAGACCATCCTGGCTAACACGGTGAAACCCCGTCTCTACTAAAAATACAAAAAAATTAGCCGGGCGTAGTGGCTGGTGCCTGTGGTCCCAGCTACTCAGGAGGCTGAGGCAGGAGAATGACGTGAACCCAGGAGGTGGAGCTTGCAGTGAGTTGAGATGGCACCACTGCACTCCAGCCTGGGTGACAGAGTAAGACTCCATCTCAAAAAAACAAAACAAAACAAAACAAAACAAAACTAGAATTTTGGCAGTACAGTAGACACCTGCTATTTCTGTTTTCCCAGAAAACAGCTCTTGTCCCTTCTGTTGGTATCAGCACCTACATTCCCTTTGCATTGCACAGTCTTATATTGCATGCAGTGTTATGTGAACTGTCACCAAGGATGGGCATATGACTGGGCAAATCAGACTTTCTCTCCACGGAATTTAAGTCTTGAGTTGGGTGAAACTAGGGCAGTAAATTCTTCAAGGTGATTTACCCAATGGGGACACCTGAAGATTGTCGATTTCCTCCCTGTGCCTGATTGCAGTCCTTCCCTGGTGACTATGCGTGCTAAGGCCAGGTTGGCCTTTCACTAGGTCTTGATAATGACCCCATATTCTTGCAATAAGGTGCTTTTCTCCTTAAGCCAGGGTTAGTCTCCATTCCTCACATTCCTCAAGGAACTATGTTGATGTCACAGGTACACTGGAATAAATCTGAACTCTCAAAATAACACAGAGCCATTAACACACAGTTGCTAGAGTATAATGTTTTCTCAGAACGTTTTCAAAAGCATCCAAGTTACTACGCCATTTGCTTTGTCTTTCTTTAGCACTGTTCCCTTTTTATAGGCAGAGCCCTCCCAAGTCAGCACCTGCCTTCTTTGGCCCAAGCTTGATGGTTCACCATGCTTCTTACCTCTTACTTAACAGCAGTTTCAATTCTGTCTCACCATCCCCACAGCTCAAAGCTCTTTCCAACGGAATGTGTGTTTAATTGTCCCAAAGACGAATGTTACACATGATCAAAGCAGACAGTCCCCCTGGGAAGGGTTCAGGCTTTCATTTGAGAACTACTGCCATGAAGGACAGGTCCAAGGGGCTCATATAGGCTCAGGCTTACTTTCCCTGCTCACTCTGAAGCAGTTTTAGAGCTCTTCATTTAAAATGCACCTGGAGCTGACTGTATACCCTACAGCGCATATTCATAACTGGGCAGAACTACCACAAGCCAAAACTTAGCAATATTTTGCCCAAGGGATAAGCACACCTCCATGGCCTAGTCAACACCAGTGAGAAATTCTGGAAAATTACAGGGAGAAAGTAAAAGGTGCAATGGTAGGGCTATTCTGAAGCTCCAGCATCCCTCGGCATGGCAAAGAGCAGGTCCAGCTTTTCCAGTGAGGACCCCACACTGTTCTGCCATCACACCGCAGCCTTGCCAGGACACAGCTGAGTGTTATTTATGGAGCTGTTGTGATGTATGATGCTATTAGAACCATATGAGCCTAATTCACCATGAGCAAAGATATTGTCAAAAAGCTCATTAATAAATTAATTGCATAATTTGTCAGGGTAGTTCTCTCAGTGCCTCAGGAGATATTTATGTGTGGGAACGTCTATCTCTGGTAAAAAATAAACCAACCCTTTCCTCCCCCACCAAAAACCCAGAATATAATAATACAGATATGTATGGATTAAACCTTGTGCCTGATGGGACTTGACACATCAAGAGAAATGATGAACAGTGTTGGCAGGAGGGAAAGAGGTAAAGCTCACATTTCTTGCTACCCTCTGGAAGAAAACATTGGCTATTGGACAAAATACAGCACCAGCTCAGAGATGATTCTGGACTCACTTCATGGTGTTAATAGGTTTTGGGTCAAAGTTGCCATCCGCATCCACTGAGATCTGTTTCTCCAACGTGGCTGTGATTCTGGTATCTAAATAATCTGGTGGCAAGGCCCCAGCTATAGCACTGAGACAAGGCAGGGCCATTCGGAAAAGATCTGGGTCATATTTCTGTGAGGGAAAAACAAGGCCACATTAGTAGAGAAAGCAGAACCATGCCTTTAGACAGAACCAATCACCAATCAGCTGAAAACAGAAATAAAATACGCGCATTTATCCAGGTTAACCAAAACGGGAAATGTGTAACCCCTTAAATATTTTCTGGTGGAAATGCAGGTATCCTTGGAAAATGAAATAACACTATAAATCCTCAAGTCACCATTTGCTTTAAGTTGAAAAATCTTAAAACAGGCTTAAATCAATATCTCCTAAATGACTAATTTCAAGACTACCTAAGGGTTAAAGTGACTAGGCGCTAGGCCAGAAGGTGACTATAAACTTGTCTGCTAAGGATGGTCACAGAAACGGACCCAACTTATAACTGGAGAGGGCACAGTAAGCTGTGCCAAGCTCTGCAGTAGCTGATATGGGTCATATGTTGACATCATCAGCAGGCTGCTCAATATCCATCATTCTCTCTTGAACCCAGCCAGAAATGAATTTCAGTCAAATGGCATGGGGTTGGGAAGAGCTTTTGATCTGCTTATACTAGACCAACGAAATCCAGGGGTAAAGAAAATTTAAGTGCAGGTGAACAAGCTATGTGCATGTTCTAGATTTCTCTAAGAAAACCAGACCTACTCATTTTCTACCTTTAAAGCTCCTGACCTCACAAACTGGGTTAGGGGAAGTGGAGCAAAGTCTAAGAGTCAGAGCTCTACTTCAATCACACCGTTCAAGTAAGGCCTGGGATTCAGAGGCTCTCAGTTCTCACTCGAAGCCTCCTCAAATGAGTGCTTGCAAAGAACCTCTCCCAGAATGGCTTAAGGTCTTCTGGAAATCCCCTGTCCCACCATCACAGCAGATGTCAGGACTTTTCCTCTTGGCTCGAGCCTAGTGAAGGTTGGCAGACAGGAGCCACACCAAATCAGGGGGAAACGAATGGGGAGGTAAGACATCAAAGACTGACATCAGATGATCTGTGTGGAATTCACTCTGGTAGTCACTTTCCCTCGTACAGCTTTGTGAATGTGAAAATTTATTCAGCTACTCTGAGGCTTTTCTTCACCTGTAAAATAAGGATTTTGAGAGTTTCCATTTCAGAGAGATGGGCAAGGATTGGCGTAATATGCTTGTGAAGTACTTAGCACAGGTCCTGGCAAATGGAATGCTAAACAGATGACGGCTGTTATTATCTGTAGATGCTGGAGCACTGAGATGCTCTCTTTTTGTTCAGAAAGTACTGTCATTACCTTATGGGAGAGCGAGTCAAAAATCCCCCAGAAAAGCTTCTCCGTTAGGTGCAGCTCTTCTTCCACAGCTAGCCCGTAGCTCCCCCATCCTGAAGGCAGGCAGTAATACTTCCAACACTGTTCATAGTGATTCGTCAGAAGCTGGGAGGTGCAGAACAGGACAGACCAGCGGGGTGGCATAGAGAAAGTCCACAGGCATCAAAAACATGCAGGAGAGAATCAAGTAGTAAGCAGAGACCATGAGAATGAAACATGCGAAACAGCTGGGCTGTCTACAAAGAGGCCCTTCAAACACCGCTGGGAACAGTCTGCTCTCAAGCTGGGAACAGTCAGCTTGAGCCTGAGCGGATCTGCCTGATTAATTCTTATGCCTCCTAATGTGCCCCCTAGCAGTTACTAGGAAATGGAGAGGAGCCGTTTCTAGTTCACACCAGAAAGTGCTACCTTCTGAAAGTAGCCACTGTGAGCTGTTCTAGCCAGTCAGGGGTGGAAATAATTTCTTCTGGGACCTTTGCTTGTAATTCTGGAAGATCTTTGGGGGATGCTGATATGGGGAGAGGATGGTGGGCTGCAAGTCGTGGGTCTGAAGATTTTCTCTCGTCAATTACTACCCGTTGTTTCCTTGCCCCCACTCCCCGTGCCCGCTCCCTCTCCCCTCTCTCACACCCCAGTGACTTTACAGCAGTTTCACATCTCGCCAGTAGAGGGCAGAAGTTACCAGTAATGTTTCCATCCCAGCAGGTGTGATCCATGTCCTCCAAGAAAAATCCCACAGATTTGAGAGGTAAAAGTGAGCTTATTGAGTGATATCAATAATGCCTCTTCAAAGCCAGTATCCAGCTGGCAGCAAAGGCTTGCAGAGGAAGCAATACCAAATTAAGATGGTAATACTTTAACTATGGTTTTCAGTTAAAGTATTTTTTTGAGATGAAAACTGGGGCTGCTAGAGAGTAGAATTAGCCCTTGGAGGACTGTGGAATCTCTAAGAACATACAAACTGTTTTCTGCCTGGCATGAAGACAGGGGATTGAACTAAAGCCCTCTGGGAATTCTTGTTAGCACAGTAAAATGCTGCCTGAAATGCTCGCTTGGACTATAAAGGAAAGTGCTGTTAAAATCATTAGGTAGGATTTTCAGGTGTGGCTAGCCATTGCTAACACTTTTGCATATGGGAATATGGCAGGTGCCTCAGAGATAAAAGGTAAAAAACACTGTCTGCTTGGGTGGATGACTGATTCTGGTGTCCTCCCACCAGGCCCAGATGCCTCTAGTGATAAAATATTTGTAATTTATGAGAAAACCAGAAACAAGACAATAAAAAAAAGGGAAGGCCAGGCATGGTGGTTCACACCTGCTGTAATCCCAGCACTTTGGGAGACTGAGGAGGGAGGGTTGCTTGAACTCGGGAGCTCAAGGTTGCAGTAAGCCGTGGCTGTGCCACTGCACTCAAGTGTGAGTACAAGAGCGAGACTCTGTCTCAAAAAAATAATAATAAAAGAGAGGGGTCTGTGGTCTTTTTGTTAAGAAAGAGAGCCAGGCACAGTAGCTCATACCTGTAATCCCAGCACTTTGGGAGGCTGAGGCAGGTAGATCACTTGAGGTCAGGAGTTTGAGACCAGCCTGGCCAACATGGTGAAACCCCATCTCTACTAAAAAACAAACAAACACACAAAAATTAGCTGGGCATAGTAGCATGTGCCTCTAGTCCCAGCTACTCAGGAGGCTGAGGCAGGAGAATTGCTTGAACCTGGGAGGTAGAGGTTGCAGTGAGCTGAGATCTCACCACTGCACTTCAGCCTGGGTGACAGAGCAAGACTCCATCTCATTTAAAAAAAAAGTAGAAAACAAACAAACAAAAAAGATTTCTTACAAAGAAGAAAAGCACAAAACAGTATGGAATAGAAAAGGGACATTTTAATCAATTTAATGAAAAACCACAGGGCCTTCAAAGCTTTTTGAGATGAACACAATCTGAAAACCTAATTACATTGGGGAAGCACAAAATCTAAGTCCTCGTATTAAATGCAGCTAAATATCAAGCAGTCAGTGGAAAGCAGTTAAAGAAAATTGGAGCAATTTTCTTCAACCTCGGCATTCAAGAAAGGACTTGGTTTTGTGGGATCTATCTTGTTAGCTAACCATCAACTTAAGGGAGTAAAACCCATTTAGCATGTATTTTTCCTTCTAAATTGTGAAGACATCACATATTACAAGGCAAGTTTCCTGTGCAATAGACTGTATTTCTGTAACAATAGTGATGTTTACCTTGAGAGGCATTTTGCAGTATTCATTGAGTTGCGGCACATCAAAAACGAGGCGTCGCAGGAGTTGCTGTAACATGGAAGGCCTCAAGTGACTGCAGTATGAAATGACAAACGTAGATAAATAAAATGAAAACATAATAATAAAGGAGGAATGAAAGAAACACTGAACAATAAGCATATTACAGCCAAGCCTCAAAACAGCTCCTAATACACAAGATCTCGGATAAACAAGAGTAGATGATGAAACACTTGAAAAGAGTACAGTTAAAATTCAGAAAAAGAGTGCTAATGAATTGGGATACCCGAAGTGGAATTCTAATTGCTATGTGACAAAATGTTCTAGGATATATGCATACTCAAAATATAGTCACTGATTATGTGCAAAGAATATAACAGAAAGAAGGTGCAGTTCATTTTCTAGTCATCTCTAAGGTCCCCTGAACTCTGCAGAGGGAGAAACTGGCGTTGAGCAGCTGCACAGGTGGAATCTGAGGCCACCTACTGGTGCGATTTGAAGAGAACTTTAAAGCCCTCCGCCTTATGATCTGGGCCATGAAATTCTCACTACTGGAATCATTTGTTTGGGGTAAGGCTTTGTTCTCAAAACAACTCCGTTAATAGGCAAACACAGTAACTATTTAAAGAATAATCTATCAAATTACAGAGTTCATGGCACAAATAAATTTTGAGGTAGAGAAAGGAGAGATAAGCAACACGAATTTTGCTTTTTTTACATTGCCAAACTTTAAAAAAAACCTAGTGGAACCTATGGTTTTCTCCAGAGAAAGGTGTACACACATAAACACAATTTGGTATATAAGTTCAGCTCATGAATCCCTGGATTTTTTCCACTATTGCCTAAGGAGCTAAGGAGGTAAAGCTGACACCCCTTTGTTAAATGTTGGAATGCCAGGGAAGAAATCCTTGGAGCATCTACAATAAGAAGGATGTATGCAGATGGAGAACAAAAGTCGTCTGTTTCACAACTGTTTCTGGAGCTGGCCTTGTGATAAAAAGCCCCAGGGTGAAAATACACAGCAAGTAAGTAGCCTTGTCTCAGAATCCAATAGTTAGAATGCAAAAATCACTCAATGTTTCAATTATTCAGCTAATTAGCAATTGTCACCTAAGATTCACTAACTTGAATACAAAGAGTGCAATAAGTCTGTAATTCTGTGAATTCCTGACTTATTAAAATAAACAATGAAAAAACCTAGTTAAGTATCAGTTTGCCTGCTACATCTAGAGCTCAAGTGATCAAGAAGAAAAGCTCTAAAAGTACAGTAATAGGGGCTGTGAGCTCTACTTTTTGTTTGATGTAAAATTCCAATTTCTCGGCCAGGCGCGGTGGCTCACGCCTGTAATCTCAGCACTTCGAGAGATCAAGGTGGGGTGATCACCTGAGGTCAGGAGTTCGAGACCAGCCTGGCTAACATGGTGAAGCCCTTTTTCTACTAAAAATACAAAAAATTAGCCAGGCGTGGTGGCGGGTGCCTATAGTCCCAGCTACTTAGGAGGCTGAGGCAGGAGAATTGTGTGAACCTGGGAGGCGGAGTTTGCAGAGAGTGGAGATGGCACCACTGCACTCCAACCTGGGCGACAGAGCGAGACTCTGTCTCAAAAAAAAAAAAAAAAAAAGAAAAAAAAATCGAATTTCTCCAAAGTCTGATTCTTTAGAAATATTTGCAGCTCAAATCAGTCTCACCAATGCGACTTTGTTATTAGGAAACAGCTTATGTTGGGAGGCAGGGGTCCTTGGTTGATGTGGTTTCTAAAATACACCTGGAGTTCAGCTCCAGCAAAAGGTGGAACACGATCGCAGCTGTTATTGATGCATTACCAACCAATTACAAATTAAAGCTGATGGAAACGATTTCTTTTTGTGTAAACTCATTATTTACTCCATTTTCTACCGTTAAGAAAATAGAGGCTCATAAAAACAAATAATGGGGCATTAATCTTCCTTTTGAAGCGGCAAAGTGCAAAACCTAGGTACCTTATTAATTCCTGGAGGTTAATTGGTGTGTCCACTGAAATTTGTCTCTCTTGAAAGATCAAAAATATTCTAATTAGCTTAATTGTCTGCCAGTTATCATAAAAATCTTGTGTTGAATGAAGCAGTAACATAATATTAGGCCTGGTTTGGGAAGGAGATCTCTGGGAGAAAACCCTTTTTGGGGCCTGGGTCGAGGCCTCCTTCCCATCAACCAGCCTTTACTCCCCACCCCAAGAAAATAATACCATGCAATGACACAGCTTGTTCCATAAAGCAGTTAAAGCCTGTAGGCCTTAGACAATACAAAGACAGTAGATACAGCTTAATTTTAAAAAGCATTTTAAACATAGTGATCATTGTTATATTTGAAATATAAGCATGAGATTATCCTTTTTACAACATTTTAAAACTGTTTTGTAACAGGCTTTATTTTTCAGAGCAGTTTTCGGTTCACAGCAAAATTGAGCAAAGGGTACTCAGAGTTCTCATATATCCCTGGCCCCATACAGGCACAGCCTTCCCCATTATCATTATCCCTCACCAGTGGCACATTTGTGACAACTGATAAACTTATATTGAAACATCGTTATCACCCAAATTTCATAATTTACATTAGGGTTCACTCTTGGTGTTGTACATTCTATTGGTTTGGACAAGTATTTAATGACATACATCCATCATTATACTGTTTCCACTGCCCTAAAAATTCTCTGTGCTCAGCCTGTTCATCTCTCCCTCCCCCAACCCCTGACACCACTGATCTTTTCACTGTTTCCTTAGCTTTGCCTTTTCCGGAAAGCCATATAGTTGGAATCATACAGCATGTAGCCTTTTCGGATTAGCTTCTTGCACTTAGTAATATGGGTTTAAGGTTCCTCTATGTATTTTCATTGCTTGATAGCTCATTTCTTTTTAGCACTGAATAAATTCCATGGTCTGATGTACCACAGTTTATTTATCCATTCGCCCACTCAGAAACATCTTGATTGCTCCCAAGTTTTGGCAATTATGAATAAAGCTGCTACAAGCATCTGCATACAGGTTTTTGTATGGACATAAGTTTCCAACTCATTTGGGTAAAAAAACCAAGGAGTAAGATAGTTGAATCATATAGTTAAGAGTATATTTAGTTTTGTAAGAAACTGACAAACTACTTTCCAAAGTGACTATACCATTGTCACTCCCACCAGCAATGAATGACAGTTCCTGTTGTTCCACATCCTTGCCAGCATTTGGTGTTGTCAGTGTTCTGCATTTTGGCCATTCTGATATGTGTGTAGTGCTATCTCATTGCTGAGATTACCTTTTGGTGTGATGTTCTACTCACATCGATGTGAGGACCGATGAGTTTTTTTTTCCAGGTAGCCCTAGCTCCCCAATGCATAGTAATTTCATCTGTGATTAGAAAAGAACTCATTCAACAAGAAATCAAGACCATACTCAGCTGGCCCCTAAAGGGGGAAGGCTGTTGATCCTCTCTCTGGAGTGCCCTACAGCAGTGATTCCTAATCTGGACTACATATTGGAATCACTTGGGAAGCTTCAAAAGCCAGAATCTTGGGTCCCATCCCTAACAGTTTTGACTTTTTGGGCTCGGATGTGGCCTGGGCACTGGGATATTTATTTCGTAACTCATCAGGCATTTCTGATATGCAGGTGAGAAGGAAAAACACTGGCTGAAAAATAGCAGATCATAGTCTTGGCCTGTGCTGCTAAGACCTGTTGAAAGGGTCGTCTTCCTTGGATTCTACCAGACTTGACTTAGATTCCTGAAGACCCAAGGCTCTTGGGGTGACTTTACCTTTTGTCCTCAGCTGGCTCTGATGCCCATCTGCAGTCATAAAAATTATTGCCTTTAATTCCCCACTGTGACTGGAGGTTTTTTCTTTCATTTGTTGCTGGTCTTGGGAGGCCTAGAGGTAGGTCGCTTTTTTTTTTTTTTTGAGATGGAGTCTTGCTCTGTCGCCCAGGCTGGAGTGCAGTGGCATGATCTCGGCTCACTGCAAGCTCCACGTCCCAGGTTCACGCCATTCTCCTGCCTCAGCCTCCCGAGTAGCTGGGACTACAGGCGTCTGCCACCATACCCGGCTATTTTTTTTTTTTTTGTATTTTTAGTAGAGATGGGGTTTCACCGTGTTAGCCAGGATGGTCTCGATCTCCTGACCTCGTGATCTGCCCACCTCGGCCTCCCAAAGTGCTGGGATGACAGGCGTGAGCCACCGTGCCCAGCCGGTAGGTTGCTTTTATTCACACTCAGAGTCTGGCTTCTATGTAAGATATGCTCATGTAGAGGACAGACACATCTGCTTCTGGCTCTATCTTGAGAATGAAGAGAATGAAGACAGCCCTTAATCTGAACAGTTTAGGCCTGAAATAGTCTTCTGGTCCATCAACCGTAATGGGTAAAGCCTGAGCTGTGCCCTCTCCCTTCCCCCAAAGGGAAAGATGAGCCTCAAGGAAGAGCCTGTGGCAAATAGGGGAGCCGAGCACATCCTATGAGATGTCTGGGGGAGGGCTGGTGTATGACAATGGCCTGGAAGCTTCCTTAGACTAGACCACCAGTTTTTAGATTACATAGGAAAATGCAGTTGACCTGGATGCATACACAGAAGTAACAACATAGGATATGTACTTACTTGCAAATGGCAAGCAAACATTCTTCTATAGTGTCCCTTTGTGCTTTGGTGAGGGAACGTCCCTTGGATAGCCTGTATATTGTCTGCAGTGTGGAATCAATCAGAGAGGTGCAGTGTTCTGTTCCGGCAAAGAGAGGGGCACATCTTGTGAGGAGCGGGAGCACAGCAGAACATATATACCTATTTAGTGCAAGCGCAGCCTCTGTGGTGCTTAGGGAAACCTAGAGAAAGAAGATTGGGACACAGGTTAATTGCCCTGAGGAACAGAGCAAAGCTGGCTCTGCACAGAGTTCCCATGTAGCAAGCTGTGGGAGCTTATATATGTCCACGTTGCATAGCAAGGCAGTGAACAACTTTCTACCTTATCGGCAGTTCTATTTTTCTTTTTGCATTTTCAATGAAAAAAAATCAAGTTAAAAGAAAGAACAAAAAAAAAACACACAAAAAAATCATAACAAAGGCTAGCTGGCTCTAAGTCTTCCCAAATGATCCTATAAATATCTGTTCCCTTCAAAAGAATTTTGAACTCATTAAAATCAGCTGATGGCCAGTCTAACCCAACATTTTGATGCTTGCAAAGTCTAGTTGCCAGGATACTACATTACTATTCTGGTTTTCGCTCTCTTTTCTCACCTACCAGGGACTCACACACTGTAATTTTACAACTGTAAGATTAGTGAATGGTTATAGGCCAAGCAGTTTCTCAAATTCACCAGTTTTGTGAAAGCGAAAGTGGAACTCTGACTCCTTTCAGTTAATTGGTGAGCACTTCGAGCAATTCACAATCAATACTGACATTAGAGTAGACCCCACTAAAGGGAACCTGACTCTGCATGGGCAACGTGGAAAAGGAACAGAAACTTGGGACCTTCTGTACAACTCTAACATAGTTCTTGCTTACAATGCTCTTTGATGTACATTTAGACGGATGAATGGAATACAAGGAAAACCCATTTAGTGACACTAAGTATAGCCAAAGCATGCTTTACCACCATCTTTGAAAACTATAGAACTTTCGAAAGAAACCTTGAGATCCACAGAGATGAAATATTGCCATTTCCTGTGATTCCTGCAGTCATTCTATCTGTAACACACTTTATATAACTTATGATTTGAAAAACCATTTTCTTTGAACTATATACATGTCTCATTGTTCCTATAAATTATCTAAATTATCAAGTTTGTCTCCTAGAAACTTCAGTAATCATGCTGGGAGAAACAGCTAATCTTTCACATTTATCACTTTAATATACAGACTTAAAACGAGAAAGGACAGAGCTTTGATTTCAGTAGATTATAAGTTTTCAAAAGAGAATGCATGAATGTCTATGTGTTAATGAACTGAATATAACACCTTTTTGTTGTAGATGGTGTTTGGACAAACATGTGATTGAACACCAGATACTAGAATAGCATTTGCTGTTTATTTGATTTATAAAAACATTAAATTATTTGATCAGGAAGCTTGGGGAGATCCCATGAGTTAAGAAAATTATTTTTAAAATCAAATAATTTATAGAAAAGTTCAAAACAACAGCAGTGGCAGAAGCATTGTTTTAATTATTCACAAATAATTATTCATAATTATTCATTATGAATAAAAAATTATTCATTGTTTTATTATATCAAAACATTGGGTTAGACTGGGTTATTCAGTATTAGGGATCGTATACCCTAATACTGTCATATATACCATTTATCATCACCATACCACACATGGGAATGCAGCTCCCACTCAGGTTGGGGCTCATATTTCTTTCCATTTCTGGATAACCCATGCAGGTGGAATCCATCCAAGTTAAGGTATTTGCCGCTGACAACCCATCACAGAGCTCAGATTTCTGTCTCTGTTGGACACCAGGTGGAGCCTTTGAGAAATGTTATAACTAAAAACAACACTAAACTGGAAAGATGTTTTTTAGACTTACGCAGATCTAGTTTGTCTTTTCTCCTTGGACCTATGACTCCTGGTGTACCTTTTTCTGCTTAGTTCTGACTTGTGGCATCTCGTATCTGAGCTTTGTAACTCTAGGGGCCTCCTCTCTTGATGTTTGTTGATGGTGAACTACCTTATCTATCTCACCCTTGATTTCCAAACTTATATTTGCCTTTGTCCTCTTGTATTGACCTTCGTCAGGCCCCTGGCTTCAGACCTATCCATCCTGGTGGTCAGTACATGAAACTAAGAAGCGAGAGTGTGAAGAGTAATGTCAGCCTATAATGTTGCCAGCCAGCCTTTTTCAAAGGCAATAGAGACACGGTCTCACCAGAGGGTGATTTTGTCCCCGAGGGGACATCTGGTGATATCTGAAATTGATTTTGGCAGGGATTCGCGGTGAACTGGGGTGCTACTGATATCTAGTGGGTAGAGGCCAGGGATGTTGCTACACGTTCTACAATGCACAGGATAGCCCCTTAACATTTACTGTCAAGGTTAAAAAAACTCTGCAATTGAGGGAGTTGGATTTGGGGTCAAATTGACCTATATCTAAGTCTCTGGCCCAATAAATTAAGATCTTCCATTTCATGATACCTCTATTTTCTCACCCATTAAAGTAAGCTATTAAAATGTAATTGGTGAGTAAAGAGAAAATATTTGCTTCGAAGTCCAACATTACTAATTTCACAATGATGGGAACAATAATTTTTTGTTATTTTTGCAACTTACTGTATCTAGAGAGGCAGAAGCTCTTAGGTCAGGTAAAAATCCAACCTCCAGCAAGTGGAGCAGAAAAGTTTGATCCTTAATGCCATAAACGCGGTCCAAGAACAGCACCATAGGTGCCTTGTGGTCAGGGCAGAAATTGGCCGCCATATCTGGCTCACTGACCGACCCATCTGAAAGACACATAGAAAATGTAATTTCCCTTTTCCTGTCTCCAAAGTCTCAAAAGATAACACAGAGCTTGTCTGTCTATAGCTTATTCTCCCTATAAGGGACAAGAATTTTTGGAAAAATACAGATTGAGCATCTCAAATCCAAAAATCTGAAACCTGAAATGCACCAAGATCTGAAACTTTTTGGGCACCAACATGATGCTCAATGGAAATGCTCATGAGTATTCTGGATTTTGGATTTTCAGATTTGAGATATGCAACAGGTAAGTATAGCGCAAATATTGCAAAATCCAAAAAAATCCAACACGCTTCTAGTCCCAAGCATTTAGGATAAGGAATACTCAATCTGTACAGTGCTGCGCTGAAGGCAGCTTGTACTTTGTTGAAAAGCCAGTTTAAAATTCCAGCCAGTTGTTAAACATGCTCATTATTAAAAATTAGAATTTACAATTAAGTAGATATTTAAAAAAGGTAACAAATACTAGAGCTTATTACTTCCTAATTATTTCACTGTGAACTATACTCTTGAGGTTTTTTGCATCAATTGTATTTGTGTGTTAGGAATACAATCTAATGGTGTGCCATGTCCATTTTCTTCCCAACTCTGTGTTCAGTGACATTACATTGGTGGCTTGAAATTGGCCATGGTGAGAAAGTTTATACTACAGAAATGGGCAAATGCTAGGAATCAGGGCTCGATTTATTGCTTTGTTGATTTGAAACCTAAGTAAGTGAGGGAGAAAACATGAATGAAGACAGATTAAGTTTAATATGTCATGTCTGTAGTTATTACATCATAAATAGAATAAACTTCGAGGACATACTGTTGCAATATTTGGAAATAATCGTCTGATTTAGGTGAAATGTAAATCAGGTCATCCAAGAATTCTAATCTTAATCAAGAGGTTCAAAGGTGAAGTGGGGAAATACTATGAAGAAAATAAAAACTGCTTGAGCTGGAGAATAAAGACAGGATTTCGAGTGAGGATAGAAAACAATTTCCTCTTCCTGTTTTGTTGACACTAAAAACTAGGAAAGAGGACCCCCAAATGAGCACGCTATAGCCACAGCATATTTAAATACTGTACCGGAAAAGTGTGGGACTTCATAAGGAACCCTGAGAGGACAAAAATTAAGTCCGAGCCAGCCCAGACTCTCGTCCTGCCCAGGAATCAGCGTCAGGTTCCAGCAGAGCCAGAGAGAAGGGGCCTTCCAGACTGCAGGCTGCGGCCTCTCCTGCCCTGAATGGCTGAAATTGACTTCCTCTCTCATGCGTGCCTGGTGTGGTGGGATATTAGTTAGTGTTTTATGTTTGGGAAACACTGAGTTCAACATCTATTTGCTTTATCTTAAGTTTTCTCAGAGATGTAATCATTTTACTGTGCTTATACTGATGTGATGTATTCCACAGCATTTCCTAAACTTATTTGACCCCGGGTCCCTTATTAATATGCACACCTATTAATATCTCCCACAAAAACCTTCTGTGGAATATCAGTTTGGGAAACATGACAACGGTTGGAATCATATGTTTTCAATTCTTCCATTAGCCTGGATAATGGGTGAGGCGACTCAGAGAAACAACACTTCGAGGAGAGTATAAGTTTTGCAAAGATAACACTGACTGATGTCAAATGTCACAGGTAGCACTGGGGGAAAACACTTTTATGATCCTCAGCCCTAAGGCATGCGACTGTGGCTGAAGACAGGCTGTGTGGGGGCCCGTCTGTGCCCCAACTGCCTACACAAGCTGGGGGACCCAGGGGAAAACGAGAAGGGAGGCCGTGGTGAGAGCTTTCGCTTGTCCCATTCCATCAGCCTCCCTCAGAGGGTTGGCATGCTCATAGGAGGACAGCAAGGTCTGTCTGTACCTGTGGGACACAGGGTACAATTGTCCTGACACAGACAAGAGAGCAGATTGAAGTCATTACTTCCGAATTATTTCACTATGAACTATACTCTTGAGGTTTTTTGCATCAGTTGTATTTGTGTGTTGGGAATACAATCTAATGGTGTGCCATGTCCATTTTCTTCCCAACTCTGTGTTCAGTGACATTACATTGGTGGCTTGAAATTGGTCATGGTGAGAAAGTTTATACCACAGAAATGGGCAAATGCTAGGAATCAGGAGTCGATTTATTGTTTTGAGATTGCTTCTTGAGAAGACAAGAGAGCAGCTGGCTAGAGCCTAGAGGAGAAAACTCATCACAGGAAAAAGAGTGAGACACTTGCCCTGTGCAGCCCGCCCTGCAAGTCAGGGCCTGGGGGCCACTGTGCTGGGGACAGAGTCCTGCCCCGAGCCAGTGGCTGCTGGGAGACTGCTGCTGCAGCCTGCAGTCACTCCCCTTACCTTTGTTGAGGGAGGGCAGTTTCAAGGGGATGCTGATGATCCCAACCAGGTCTTCTGTGGGGACCAGGGAGCGCAGGATGGACCTGATGCGGATGGCTTCCCCCTTTCCTGTCTGGATGAGCTGGAAGATAGGGTTGAGAATGACATTAGATAAGTGAGGTTCCCACACCTCCCTCCACCCCACCTCCAAACCTCTGGCAGTAAAACGGCTTAAGGGCAGGGGTCCATTTCTATGTTTCCCTAATTGCTACAGACACTTGTGGCCACAGGGAAAGAGGAGAGTGGCATCTTGATTTTCCAGAAGAGTGCTACTGATGAAATAACTGACTAAAGACGTTGCTTGATTCCTTTGCTGTTATTAAAGTGGCCATGAGGTTGTGGTATCAGGCCCCAGGAATAACTACACGGCCTGCTGGTGGCTTCTCAATGTGACTGCACTGCCGGAAGTGCTCAGTGGCCACGACAGAAGTGTTGACAGCGTGGCCACAATGCCAGACTCTAGAATTCTGTTTTTTTTTTTTTTTTTTTTTGGGGGGGGGGATGGAGTCTTGCTCTGTCACCCAGGCTGGAGTGCAGTGGCGTGATCTCAGCTCACTGCAAGCTCCGCCTCCCAGGTTCACACAATTCTCCTGCCTCAGCCTCCCGAGTAGCTGGGACTACAGGCGCCCGCCACCACACCTGGCTAATTTTTTGTATTTTTTTTTTTTTTTTAGTAGAGACGGGGTTTCATCATGTCAGCCAGCATGGTCTCGATCTCCTGACCTCGTGATCTGCCCATCTCGGCCTCCCAAAGTGCTGGGATCACAGGCGTAAACCACCACGCCTGGCCTCTAGAAATCTGTTAAACATAGAAATGGCTTATGAATTTCAATTTCTAAGAGTTTGATTAATGCTGGGGATGATGACTGGGCAAAAAGGGTGTAGAGAATGTCAGAGAGAACTTGAGGGGCTCAGCGGAGTTATCCCGGCTTGAGTAGCCCGATCCACCCCGACACTGATGGGCCAACCAGCACGTACAATGGTGTGCATGCATATCCCCCTGCACAGGCAGTCTCTGGCGGGGTGTAGTAGGCGTTCAGCTGGGAACTGAATGTCATAGGGTCAGACTGTCCCCAGGTGGGCTGGATGGTATGCTGAGATACGATGCTTGGTGCCACCAGGGAAAGGAGAAGGCCCGCCCACGCACCCTGGTGCCGCCTCCATCTCCAAGGGTAGAGAAGAGGTGGTTGGTGATGATGGCATCCTTCCCTCACCACTGATAGGGCAGGACCCACAGGAGGGGTCCTAAGAAGGGATGTATATATGTGTGTGTGTGTGTGTGTGTGTGTGTGTGTGTGTGTGTGTGTGTGTGTAAGGTGTTGGAGCAGAGAGGCAGTAAGGAAGGAAGAATGGGGCACCGCAGATGGGGCTCTGGTGACTGAGCTATCCCATGCTGCCTTCTTGAGAAGCAGCAAACTATAATGTGCTTTCTGATGTGATGAGAGGTGATCAGGAAAGCTAGAGTGCGAACACACAGGGGTCTCTGACCCTCTCCACCCCCGCCAAGACTGTAGAACACCTTAGTGTTTTCTGGGCTCCCTTCCAGGTTTCCTGCATTTACTTAAAGGCACAGAAATGGAAAAACAGGCCTAAGTGGGTAAGGGTCCTTTATCATAGTAGGAATTGGAATCCTAGGAATTCAGATCAGCCTCCCTTATCAAGATTTAGAGTTGCTTTTCATAGGAAAAGCAGCTATTTCCTCTCTTATGATGTCAGACCTTATATGAAATAAGGCTTATTCTTTCAGCCCTCAGTAGAGGTGAAAAAAGAAAAGAACATACTTTCTAGTTCAAAACTAGAAGTCTGAGAAGACATCTCATAAAATAGAACCATCCTTTTGTGATGTTTGCAAACTCTACCTCTGGGGGAAAAATTCAAACACCAACCACAGGAAGAGTCTGCCTTCCTGGGGCCTAACGCCACAGTCATCAGGAAAGGGATCTTCTACATGGAGCATCCTGATGGCCATGATCCAGAATCAAGTTGCTCCCATTTTGACCAAATTGAGGCATGTCAAATGGGAGGCTTTTGAAATAAACTGTGCAGAGGACATGCTCAACTAGTGCCACAGAGAAATCACACAAGACAGGGATCTGCCCGGGAGTCCCTCCCTAGAAAGCAGCAGAGTCACGTATCAGAGGTGGAAACTACTTTTGAAACTAGCTAAAAGGGACCTAGAAAAAGGCATGTTAGCAAATGCCAGAGACAGAGGAAGAAATGAGGTTCAGGAAATCTATAGTGTTCTTGGCATAGGTTTCTCAAAGCTGTTCTCTGGAAGCTGTATCACTTACGTGCATTTCAGGAGCACAGCGGCCCAGTAGATCTATAAGGGCCGAATAAAATGACATAATTGCATTGCCCATATGCACGATTTCTTCTTCCTCTTCATCGTCCCCCGTGCTGCTGAGAGAACCAACAGAGGGGAGGTGTGAGGAAGGTTGGCAGGCACTGCCATGCTGCGAGACATAAGCTGCTTGATATGGAAGCACTCTGCTCTTCTTGCATATCATACATCCTTTCCCTTGGAACCTCGTCTTCCTCTAGAAGTTGACAAAGTGGTTTCATTCATTAAGCTCAAGGAACCCAAATTTTTGTCCATGACATTCACAGGATTCCATGAATCTTAAGGCATGAGTACCGACATGAGCTGATCATCAGACCATAACTCCTACCAACCATTCATTCCCTTTTCCTCTCTGTGAGGGGAAGATACATGGAAAACACATTGGACCAAGAGTCAGGAGGGCTCAGTCCCTGTCCTGGCTCTGTTGCTAATAAGCTATATGACCTTGGGCCTCAGTTTTTTTCTCATGTTGCTTGAGGAAGTGGCGAAAGCGTATGTGTAGGGTCCTTTCCAGCTCTACCAGGTCTGATGACAAAGAAAAAAGCCAACCGTCTAAAGAGTTTCTGCTGCTGGGTTATGCCCACTCTCTAGATTCTACGGTCTAACCTAAAGGCTGTGATAAAGAAAGGGACATGATCATGAGACTTGATAAAGGGAAAGTAAGACAATCAGACAATCTACCAACTATATCCTTAACATTTAAATAACAACATTACAGTGCTGCGACTTTTCACATTTTGCAGCTGGTTTATTTATTTATTTATTTATTTTTAGAAGTCAAATCGAAACACTTTCTTAATTAGTCCTCATGCTTTCAGAAGAGGAAGTGGAGGCACTATCTGTTTTTACAAATGAGGTATGGGACGAGACACCGTGGGACAAAATACTGAAGGAAACATGCTGAAGTTAGACAAGGAGTACAACCTTGGTCCAGACCTTTAGCTTCCTACCCCATGGTGATACTATAGGGAGGCCAAGAGTTTGCCCACTTTGTGATTTCCAGCTGCGCTGAGCAGAGTAGAGAAAATGGAAGGGGGTGAAGGTGATGCTGATCACTAGCCTTACTGGGAGAGTTAAGACAACACTGTTCTCGATGAAGGGTCAATGTTTTAGCTGTAACTGTTAAGAACATGTGCTTTCTCTATTACCTCCTAAATCATCCGTATACCAATAATATCTGAGAGCTCACCAACCGTATCTGTGCCGGAAGGGAATTCCATTCACTTACACTTCTCTTTTGTATCCTTGAGAGGGGAGGTCGAGCGCTGGGTTCTCAGAGATCTTAATGGCACCCTGCATGGCTGCCAAGAGCCCGTTTCCCCCCTCACCCCGCAGGGCCGGGCCGAAGCACTCTGGGCGTCTGATGAGCAGCTTGACCACAACGCTGGCGTTTTCTTCCACACTCTCACCTGAGGAAGACAGGCACTGTTTCCTTCTCAATGAAAAGGACAACCCCAGAATTTATTTCTAGTTGATGAGGCTGGGAGAACAGTATTTTGTTCAGCTTATCACCTACTCTGTTTTTGGTTTAGGCCAGTCAAGTGGGCAGTGGGAGTGGAGAAGGAACTAAGACATCTGTAACTGATTGTGGTCAGTTAGTTATAAACCCCACTCACTGCACTTGAACCAGCCTCATCTACTCTTGAGATTAGGAGTTGACACTGATGGAGAAAAAGGTGGCTTTGATAAATTGGGTCAGGATCTGTTTGTTTAAAGTATTAAGATCCACCATTACAGAGCAGGTTTTTACTCTTCGGCTCAGGATTTTGTACTGTAGAGATTATTTCCATATATTTAGGTCCTCAGAGGGCAGTTAATAAACTACTGAGTCTACCATGGAATACTGATTCATTCACAAGTGACTCAGAGAACAGAAGGACTTTACATCTTGATTACCTCAATGAGGGCATGCAAATCTGCTTCCTTCCTTGAAAGGAAGGCAGATGGTTACTCAAGCTGGTGTGCTTCAATTAACGTTTGGGGAAGTGACATATCAGCTTCTGACTCTGTTACCCTAATACTCTCACAGAGTCTAATACCTAACCTAGGACAGCCAGGTTTGTATGGAGGGACTTCAGGTCATTTCTGGAATCATGTATCCAGATGAAGAATCTCCTTGGTAAAGTTTTATTGGTTATTCCTAAACTTGTTCTGTGGGAAGGCAGAGGTTAGAGAATTGTATTCTGTGGCATTTGTTTTTGGATGAACCATAGATAATGAAGATAGGGTCTCATTTCCTGATAAAGTGATTAAGTGGTAGAACTGGACACTTAGGGATAGCCATTCTTTCTTAGAGCCAATACATATATTCAAAAGTGGGTTGGTAGCTTGTTCGAACAACTTAATAAAAAAAAAACTCTGTCTCAGATGAAATCCTAATTTGTATCTGAGAATTCATCTCTGAGCCAAGACTCAAGAGCAAGACTTTTTTTCATGTTGTGTTAGCTAAAGCCTAAAGAAAAACTCTACAAAATCATAAGAGGTACCTCATTTGTGTCTGAGAATTTATCCCTGAACTCAATACTCAAAGGCAAGACTTTGATGTTATGTACTGGAAGCTTGAAGAAAAACTTTTCTACAGAAATACCCTAGGTATTTCTTGGAGAACTGAGCGATAATCGAGGTTACAATGTGATAAGCTGTTGTATTATTTATTCTCGTGCAAAAAATTCCCTCAAAATATTGGCAGGCTAGAACAATAAATATTTGTTATCTTGCAGTATTTGTATCGGTCAGGGATTTTGAAGTCGCTAAGCTAGGTGGTCCTGCCTTGGGATCTCCCATGAGGTGGCAGCTGCCGTCTTCCGAAGGCCTGTCTGGGACCGGAGCATCAGTTTCCACGTTCACTCACACAGCTGTTGGCAAGAGGCCTCAGTTGCATACTGGATGTTGGGTGGAGGCCTCAGTTTCTCACCATGTTGACCTCCCCATAGGGCTGCTTGAGTGTTCTCATGATGTGGCAGCTGGCTTCCCACAGAACAACTTATCCAGAAGGACAGTAAAGCGGAAGCCAAGCTGCCTTTAATAACCTGGTCATTTATTGTTACTTAGTCATATCCTATTCATTAGAAGTGAGTCACTAAGTCCAGCTTACATGTAAAGGGAGAATTAGGCTCTGTATTTTGGAGGGAGGAGCATCAAAGAATTTATAGACATATTTTGAAACAATTTTAGCAGTTTAAGTTCTATTTAATACAACATTTTATGAATCAACTTAGAAGTGTTGTGAGTAAAGCATTTTTTTTTTTAAGAGACAGGGTCTGGCTCTGTCACCCAGGCTGGAGTACAGTGGCATGATCTCAGCTCAGTGCAGCCTCACCCTCTAGGGTTCAAGTGATCCTCCCACCTCGGCCTCTTGAGTAGCTGAGACTACAGGCACATGCTACCACAACTGGCTAATTTTTGTTGTTGTTGTACTTTTTTGTAAAGACAGGGTTTCACCATGTTGCCCAGGCTGGCCTCAAACTCCCGGACTCAAGCAATCCTCCTGCTTTGGCCTCCCAAAGTGCTGGGATTACAGGCGTGAGCCACCACACCCTGGCAGAGCATCTGAATGAGAACCCAGAAAATCTTCTTGTTCCAGCTCTTTAGCTCATCACTGTGTGAATACACACACTGCACAATCTCACTGGATCTTTCCCCTTTTCAGATATGCATGCTCCATCTAGTTTTAGAGTGACTCTATTAGTCTAACTCAGATGCAGAGATTTCTCCCATGATGCTCAGAGGAATGGGGATGGGGTGGGGTGGCAGCTGAGCTTGCTGTCCGAATGCCTGTAATTAACTCAGGCTCACCTCTCACACCAAACTCAATCTTGAACATACCGAATGTGTCTCACAGCCCTGAAGAGTCTACCTCAGACCACAGGTGTAGTCCAGTCCTAGAGCTTGGCTTGCTGACATCCTCTTTTATCACTCAAGCTTTTGCACTGTGGGCAAAATCCAAGATTGTAAGCATGTACCACTCTAAGTTTTAGAGTTGCGTAGCTCAATCCAGAAAAAAATTTATTAGACTGAATTTAAACAGCTAATCAGCTTCCATTCACGGTTTTATAGCTCAATCCTTCAAGAGTCTAAAATTTTTGTAAAGAAGTTTGTCTTCAAGTTCTATCCAATGTATCACACACTAAAAAACAATCAGTTTTTATTAAACCAGAATCCATGTGAAGAAAATTCTCAGGAGATACTAAAAGGGTAAAATTATCATAATAATGGGATGGTGGAAGGAATCAACATATTCTGGAAAAAGAGAAACCAAGGAGAGGTTGAAAGACATTGTACAGTTTGTAGAAGACCAGAGAAGGGTATGATGTCAAGTGCTATGCCCATGCTCTCCTATCAGTTGAACCTACCATTTATACCTAATACAGTTTACTCACAGGAGGGATACTTACAGAAAAGCCCCAGGAGAATCTACATTTCTAAAAGCCAGTGGTCTCAGACATGGACGTATCTCACAGTTCACTACTTTCGAATGGTTTTGGCCTCCAGTACTTATCAGGTAGCACATACATCAGCCCTCTCAGTTGTAATTTCTCACTACAAGAATAATAAAGCTAAAACGTTGAAATTTTAAATATAAAAAAATGGAGGAAAAAACCCAACTCTGTTAATCAAGCTTATTTGAATACTATAATTCTTTCAGTTACCTGGTGGAAATGCTTGTGGGTCAGCCACCGATTTTACCAGCATGTTGAATTCAACTTAGCCTTTCCCACAGTGATTGGCATCACGAAGTTGGTGGGATATAAAACCACAATATGCAGAAGTTGAAAAATCAGACTGTGAGTTCTACGTTGAGCTTGCGATTGAAATTCATTTGCCCAATTAACCTTATTTTATGAGTCTCAGGCCTTCAGAACTGAACTAATTGGGTCTGCTCCTGCAAGTGACCCAGGAAGCCGGCCCTTGATTACTGAATTGTGGACATCTGTGGAGAATGCAGAGCACGCTCTAAGACGAAGGAGCTGAAGTGCAACCATTGCTGCTAATTAGACAGGGGACCAAGGAAAAGAATTTCCAAAGGCTTCCCAAGGCAAAGAGGATGGCATGATTAGGAGGGAGAGACAGTCTCTTCCTAATTACCTGTAGCTCAGCAAGCTTCACTGCTAACCAAATCCATTGTGGTAAAGCTAGATATTGACCTTGAGGGCATTTTTCAAGGGGGAGAGAGAGAGACTTGAGGTAAACTAGTTTTGCCCAAGGGCTTGCAACAATGCTTTCTGCTTGAGTTCTAATATGAATAATGAGCTTAATAACAGCATGAATGTTCACAGTGCCTTTCTTCAAAGGCTTCAACACTGTCTTCATGTTACTGTTTTCTTTTCGATGTTCCTGAATAGTTGGATGGAAATGGAAATGATTCTCCCCATTTTACCCTGGTAAAACAGTCATACCCACCACAGGGACAGTTAGCAGGGAAATAATTATTTAACCTTCAGCCCATCACTTTTCTCACTCTCTGTGTTCTAACTCTAGTTCCTGTTTTAAAGTTCCATTGTCTGGAACACTGTTTTTCTTCCCATTCTTTTGATGTAAACCCTCAACTTAGGTAACTCCATTTCATCCTTCAGGAGGAGCTTAAACATGGGAACCCCAGAGGACCTGTTCCTCTCAAACACCCTGTCCTCTTCCTTTGTGCCTGCTTTCCCCATTAGACTGTACATGCCATGAGAACAGGGCCTTGTGTCTGAATTATCTAACACTGTGTGCTCAAGGGTCTTGCTAACATCTGGCATATCACAAACATTCAAAAAATATATTTCTTCAATAAGTCAATAGACTTTATTGAGACTCAAGGCAGAGACTTGGAATGACTGGATGGAAAACCAAAGGTGGCTACCCATTGTTCCATTATCCCAGGCAATTATCAGCCTCTGTTTACAAGAGCCTGCATCATCTACTACCTCAGATTTCAATTAGTCCTAAAGAAAAGAAACATATTCCCAATCAAGTCCCACCTCAGTAAGAGAGAACACGGGGCTTCAGCATGAATGAATGTACTGACACTCATTTAATTAATTTAGAGAATCACAGGGGCAGGGTAATGGCCAGGATCCAACACCTCTATTTGCTAAATGCCATCTTTGATAGGGTGCCAGGCAACTTGTATGAACTAAGTGATTCCAAATAGTAAGGACATACCATCTTCTTTTTAGGGCCTTCCAGCCTGGGAAGGGATGGACTGGAGATATGTCTAAGAGCCACTGTGATAGCACAGAGAACAAACCAGGAATTGTTTGCCCATTTATTAATGAATTCAACTATCCATTGAGTCCACACTACATGCTAGTAACTGACCTAGAGACAGCAGACAAGCAGTAACCAGGACAGTCAAGCTTGAACTCCAGAATGAGACCAGTGGAACAGAGCCACCCCCGCAGACCTGTGGACCTGCAGCAGAGCTTTCCCACCACCTTGCAGATATGTAAGAAATAAATGCTTATTATTTTATGCCTTTGAGATTATGAAGTTATTATGTAGCAGATGCAGGCCAATATAAGAGAGTAGAAGGAGGGAATTCAGTTCCTCCTACACAACTTAGAGTGGCCCAGGTATAAGATAATAACAACTTGGAGTAGAAAGTGGCCAGTGGAGATGGAGAGAAGATAGATTTCAGATATCTTTTAGATGCTGAATCAACAGAACTTGGTGATGGACTGGATGTGGGAATAAGGAAAAAAGTTGATTCAAGGATGCTGTCTAGACTTAGTCTGAGTATCTGAAAAGTTGGTGGAGCTAGTTAAGGAGATGGAGAATCCTCGGGGAAGAACGGGTTTTGGGTGGTAATTACATACTCAGCTTTAAGATGTACAAAATTTAAGATGCGTATTAAACCTTCAAGTAGAAATACCAGGTAGATAACCAAGATATACAAGTCTGGGGCTCAGGGAAGAGGACAAAGCTGGCAAAGTACATCTGGGGATCATCAGTGTATACGTGGAATTCAAAGCCATGAAACCATGCAGGGTGGATGGTGCAGTAGTAGCCCAGATATTTTGAAGGCCAGTATTTAATCGCAGAATTGTGCTAAGATTTTGCCCATGTGTCTAGAGTTTGGGTCTATGTAGCTTTTTCATGAAATATGCCAAATAAAACTTGAATGCCATAGAAACCTGAAGTCAGAAGGTGTGCTCTGACAAAATATGGGCATTCTCAATAAGATGATGAAAATCAGCCTTTGATGGGCACAAGGATCATAATACTGCCATTTTGTGTGAATAATGTTGATGAAGTGGATTTTTTTTTTGTTTCATTCAGCTTAATTCTAGTTTTATTGAAGTATCAGGCTTCACTTACTACTCTTATCAATGAAATGGTTGATGAAATCCACATACGTATATTAAGTAGGTTCTGGACTTTTGAGTCCACTGCCAAGACACTCAGTTATCACTATCGTTGGAATCCCACAGGGGCCTTGGAGGCAAGCTGCTGAGAAATTCACTTAGGGTGAAAAGAATGTAGCTGATATCCTTTCACCCCAGCCAGCTTTCCTCATTTTGGTGCTCTGGGCCTAGGTTTGCCATTGGCTTCTTTATTTGAGGAATTTGTTTTCTATTACTGGTACTGTTTTGACTGTCTGCTTATTTCTGGACTTTGATGCTGTTTCACTTTGAATTTTTACAGATGGAGGCACATTTCCTTGCCTCTGTCACTAGAAGCCCTTTACCTGTCTGATAGATTTCCTTTCCTTTTCTCAGGTATAAAGATTCCAGGGAGTCCAGTGGGAGAACGAAGAAGGTAGGGTATGCAAGACTGTACACGCTTTATACTATGGTTTGAATCATGGTGCCTCCTCCGAAATTTATGTTGAAACTTAATCCCTAATGCAACAGTGTGTTAGGCCATTCTTGCATTGCCATAAAAAAATACCTGAGGCTGAGTAATTTATAAAGAAAAGAGGTTTAATTGGCTCATTGGTTCTGCAGGCTATACAGGAAACGGTGCCAGCAACTGCTTGGTTTCTGGTGAGGCCTTGGGAAACTTTTACTCATAGCAGAAGATGAAGGGGGAGCAGGTGTCTCAGAGAACGAGAGAAAGAGTGGGAGGAAGGTACCACACACTTAAGCAACCAGAGCTTATGAGAACTCACTAGTGTGAGGACAGCACCAAGCCAAGAGGCATCTGCCCCCATGATCCAAACACGTCCCACCAGGCTCCACCTCCAACATTCGGGATGAGAATTCAACATAAGATTCAGAGAAGACAACATCCAAACCATATTAAACAGTATTAGGAAGTGTGGCCTTTGGGAGGTGATTAAGTTATAAGGATCTCTGCCCACATGAGTGGGATTAGTACCCTTATAAAAGGGTTTAAAATTGAAGGGATGGTCTCTTGCCCTTCAATTGATTCTGCCATGTGAGGACACAGTGTTCCTCCTCTCCAGAGGATGCAGCAACATGGTACTATCTTGGAAGCAGACAGCAGCCCTCCCAGACATCAATCTTACTGGTGCCTTGTTCTTGAACTTCCCAGTCTTCAGAGCTGTGAGAAATAAATTTCTGTCTTTATAAATTATCCAGTCTCAGGTATTTTGTTGCTGCAGTATAAATGGACTAAGATACCTTACAGTTAGTACAAAGGTGTAACATAGATGTTAAGAATCCAGCTGCAACTAGCCATATCTCAAATGTACCTTATATTCTACCTTCTTATCACTCTAGCATGATTGTATCTCCTGAGTACAACATTGCGATGTTGTTCCTATTTGTCTTAAACTGTTATTTAAATCTTTTGCCATTGGTTAATTTTTCAAGAGCTTGCTGAATCTTTTCAACTGTTTTATAAATTTGAGAACAAAACTATGTGTCACACATTTAGTCCTAACCATGCCTAGTCTAGTACCAATCACACTGAAGAATGGTTAACATGCCCTTTCTGACTCTAAAAACATGAATACAAGGGCAGAAATAAACCAGATGATTCTTAAGTGTCTACACCTTGTATGCCCTTCAAAGCTAAGATGACACTTTGTACTCTCAACCCTAAAAGATGTATGTCTCCCAGCACAACAGTCTATCCATATGCTCTCCCTTTAGGACTTTGTTAAACTATATCCATTTATTTCAAGATGTTATTCAACACTTGCCTTCTTCCTCATGCATCCCTTGACTAATTCTACCAGATTCCAATAAACACCATCATTTTGGCATGCCAATGTCTCATGTGTCACTATGTAGGTAGGTGTGGTTGATTACAAAGTTTTTAGTAATTATTCCATACATGTTTCTGATCACTCTACTTGGGTTTTCTCTGTTTCCTGCTTTGAGTTGTAGGAAGTGACTTCTGGGCAGGACTTCTAGAGCATCACGTTTCACAGCCCCTCATAGACTCTTCACATGTCACATGATGGATGTCCAAGTTATGGCCACTGATAATAAATCTACCTAGGAAAGCAGATTCAGCAAAGCTAGGAGATATTATGTTCCTTAAACTAAGTTTGTAGTCTGGGGAAGATATCGCTATAACTCTCCAAGGACTCTAAGAAAACACAGAATAACTTTTCCCTTTTTCTTGTGGATTGATAGGAAACCTTTTCCTTCTCAGAGTCTACAATAGGAAGGGATTAATCACAGACACCCAAACACATCTGTGCTTAGCCTGGCTACAGTGCCTGCAACTGCGGGGAAAATAGAAGCTTAACGACTTCATTACTTCCAGAGTTAAACACAACCCAAGGCTTCTCAACAGCTAATAAAAATAAAGTGAAGCAAATTATATGCCTTAAAACATTTTCTTAAAGACAAATATTTAAGAAGATTTACTACAAACATTAAGAAATAATAGTAAATTAATGTTAGAAAGAGTTTTCTAATTCCATTATTTTGATATATTAAAAGCTTTTGATATGGCTTAAAATTTTTAAAATTAGCACCAAACAGTGATTAAATAATACCACCATTTTTGACAAGCTCAAAGGAGAAAATGTTGTTTCTCCTTGTTGATTAGGGAGACAGGAAGACAACAGTGCACAATGGTTCATAAACTGTGGCCTCTGGAGTCAAACTGCTTGATTCAATTTCTGGCTTTACTTTCTACTACCTATGAGACTCTGGGCAAGGTATTTAATCTAAGCTTCAGGGTCTTCATCTACAATATGAAGATAATTGTATCCACTTGCTATGGTCTGAATATTCGTGTCCCCCCCACCCTCCAAAATTCATGTTGAAATCCTAACTGTCCAGGTGACGATATTAGGCAGTAGGGCCTTTGGTAGGTAATTAAGTCATAAGGGCAGAGCCCTCATGAATGGGATTTGTGCCACTACAAAAGAGGCCCCAGAGAGCTGCCTTGCCTCTTCCACCATGTGAGAACAAAGTGAGAAGGCACCATCTATGAACCAGGAAACCTCACCAGACACTGAATCTGCCAGCACCTTGATCCTGGACTTCCCAGCTTTCAGAAGTGTAAGAGATAAATTTACGTTGTTTATAAGCTACCTTGTCTATGGTATTTTGTTATGGCAGCCTGAACAGACTAAGATGCTTCCCTCATTGGATTGTCGTATAATTAAAGTTAATATATGTAAAAGTGTTTTGAACAGTGCCTGGCACATGGTAAATGCTCAATAAGTGTTAGCTGTTATCCTCACCACAACCCTCACCACCCCCATCATCACTCACCATCATTCACCACACTCACCCTTATAACCCCCCTATATGACCATGCACCACCCAACCATCATATCCCATCATCACCATCATCATCAGCCACCACCATCACCATGTCTACCTTCACTAACCACCACCCACCTCAGTCACCCTACAACTCACTATAACCACTGACCAACTATCATATTCCACTATCACTAGCATCATCACCATTCATCACCCACTATCACAATTCCCACTACCACTCACCATTACCCACCATGAACACCCCATCACCCACCATAATCATATACCACCACCCACCATCATCTACCATCACCCACCATGAATACTTCCATCATCTGCCACGATTCCTTATATCACTTTTATCTTACATTGCTGAGCAGAGTTCACAAAGGTATTCAGAAAGTCCTTTTGAATCACCTTTTAGACATAAGGACTTATAAAGGGCTTTGAGATTCCAAAGAAATCTGTTTATTACAGTTTTCCCATTTCAAATGCCCTACCACTCTCGTAAAGATCATGAACAACAACTATCATAACTACAAGTTTATAAGGTTTGTGGCACTGGGCTGATCTAAGTTTTCCATGGATTATTTCATTTAAGCCTCACAACTCTGTGAGGCATACATTATTATCATCTCTGTTTTACACATAAAAAAGCACTGAGGTTAGGTATTTTGACTAACTTGCTTCAATTCACACAACTAGTAAATGATAGAGCCAAATTTGAACCCAAGTTACTCCATTCTCTACTCCAAACTCTTCTGTAACATTCTGTTGTGATTGAGCCACTATTCCTCCTCCTAAGTATTCAGAAATATTCTCATTTTTCTTTTTCATACTCTCCACATTTTTCTTTTTCATGCCTTCACCTGTGGCAACCTACTGTGAAGCATTTGAGCTACCAATGGACTGCAAATCTACTTAGTTCTAATCTGTTGATTGATTTCTATCCTACAAATTCAATTAGGGGTATCTCTATATGGGTACTGTACACAGAAAAATCAATATAATGTGACCCAAGCCAAGCTTATTACCTTCCATCTCAAACCATTTTGCTTCTTCTGACATCCTTATTTCTTTCTCTCTACCCTCAAAAATCTTTAAGCTTCAATGTGACCTCTGTTCCTTTTCTCTCAACATACCTAGGCTCAGCCATCATCATCACCATTCAGTCCTTGATACAGTTTGTATATTTGTCCCTGCCCAAATCTCATGTTGAATTGTAATCCCCAATGCTGGAGGTGGGGCCTGGTGGGAGGTGTTTGAATCATGGGGACAGATCCCTCATGGCTTGAGGCTGTCTTCACAACAGTGAGTTCTTAAGAGATCTGGCCATTTAAAAGTGTGTGGCACCTCCCCCTTGCCTTATGCCTGCTTTCACCCTATGATGTGCCTATTCCCCCTTCACCTTCTGCCACAATTGAAAGCTCCCAGAGGCTTCACCAGAAGCCAAGCAGATGCTAGCACCATGCTTCCTGTAAAGCCTGCAGAACCACGAGCCAATTAAACTTCTTTTATTAACAAATCACCCAGTTTCAGGTATTTATTTAGAGTAATGCAAGAATGGACTAATACTGAACATTTGTACCAAAGATTGGGGTATTGCTATAAAGATACCTGAAAATGTGGAAGCAGCTTTGGAACTGGGTAGGTGGCAGAGATTGAAAGTGTTTGTAGGGCTCAGAAGAAGATGATAGAAAGTTTGGAACTTCTTGGAGACCAGTTAAATGGTTGTGACCAAAATGCTGACAGTGAAGTCCAAGCTGCTGAGGTCTCAGGTGGAAATGAGGAACTTATTTGGAATTGGAGCAAAGGTCATGCATATTACACATTAGTAAAGAACTTGGCTGCATTCTGTTCGTGCCTTAGGGATCGATGGAAGTTTGAACTTGAGAGTGATGACCTAGGGTATCCTGGTGGAAGAAACTTCTAAGCAGCAAAGTGTTCAAGAAGTGGCCTGGTAGCCGGGTGCGGTGGCTCATGCCTATAATCCCAGCACTTTGGGAGGCCGAGGCGGGTGGATCACGAAGTCAGGAGATTGAGACCATCCTGGCTAACACGGTGAAACCCCATCTCTACTAAAAATACAAAAAGTTAGCCAGGCATGGTGGTGGGTGCCTATAGTCCCAGCTACTCAGGAGGCTGAGGCAGGAGAATGGCATGAACCTGGGAGGCGGAGCTTGCAGTGAGCTGAGATCATGCCACTGCACTCCAGCCTGGGCGACAGAACGAGACTCAGTCTCAAAAAAAAAAAAAAAAAAAAAAAAAATGAAAGAAAGAAGTGGCATGGCTGCTTCTAACAACCTATGTTCAGATGTGAAAATGAATAAATGACTTAAAGTTGGAAATTTATTTAAACAAGAACAGAGTGTAAAAGTTTGGAAAATTTGCAGCCTTGCCATGTGGCAGAGAAAGAAGAGGCTTTTTCAGAAGAGGAAATCAAGTAGGATGTAGAGCAACTACTTACTAGAGATATTTGCATGACTAAAAGGGAGCCAAGTGCTAACATCCAAGATAATGAGGAAAAGGCCTCAAAGGCATTTCAGAGACCTTCATGGCAGCCCCTCCCATCATAGGCCCAGAGGCTTAGGAGGGAAGAATTAACTTGTGGGCCAGGCCCAGGGCAGCCTCATGATATTGCTCCCCATATATCCTGGCTGCTCCAACTCTAGCTGTGGCTCAAATGGGCCCAGCTAAAACTTGGGCTGCCACTTTGGAGAATGCAAGCCATAACTCTTGGCAGTTTCCATGTAGTGTTAAGCCTGTAGGTATGCAAAATGCAACAGTGGAGAACACTTGTCAGCTTCCACCTAGATTTCAGAGGATGTATGGAAAAGCCTGGGTCCCCAGGCAGAATCCTGCTGCAGGTGTGGAGCCTCACAGAATACCTCTACTAGGGCAGTACAGACGGGAAATGTGGGGTTGGAGGCTCCATGCAGAGTCCCTCCTGGGGTACTGCCTAGTGGAGCTGTGGGGAGCCACCCTCCAGACCCCAGGATGGTAGAGCCACTGGCATGCCTATAGTCCCAGCTGCTCGGAAGGCTGAGAAGGGAGGATTGCTTGAGGCTGGGAGGTCGAGGGTGCAGTCAGCTAAGATTGCACCACTGCACTCCAGCCTGGGTGACAGAGCAAGACCCTGTCTCAAAAAAAAAAAAAAAAAAAAAAGTGTATGGCACCTCCAGCCTCTCTACTCTCTCTCTCTTCCTCCTGCTTTCGCCATGTGACATGCCTAGTCCATTTTTGCCTTCTGCCATGATCGGAAGCTCCCTGAGGCTTCACCAGAAGTTTAGTAGATACCAGCACCATGCTTCCTATAAAGCCTGCAGTACTGTGAACCAATTAAACCTCTCTTCTTAATAAATTATCAAGTCTCAGGTATTTCTTTATAGCAATGCAAGAATGGTCTAATACAGTCCTGTGAATTCCACCTCAGTAATTTCTTTCAAATGTATCTCTTCTAGTCCATTTTACCAACACCATAATAATTTAGAAACTCATTATTCTAACCTGAGTACAGAACCCATGAGTGGGTATCAACCCATCAGTCTCTCTTCTGTTAAAAAGTTTTACAGCTCTCTACACGCTGAATCAATACTAAACTTTTCAACTTGGCATTTAGGTTTTCCCCATTATAACCACCTACCTTTTAAACCGCATGTCTTACCAGTGCCATCCATGCATCTACCCTCCAGACTAAGGTATCTTAGTCTGTTTTGTGCTGCTATAACAGAATATCAAAGACTAGGTAATTTATACAATATAGAGGTTTATTTGGCTCATGATTCTGGAGGCTGAGAAGTCCAAGATCAAGGAGGTGCATCTGTTAAGGGCCTTCTCACTGCATCATAACATGGCAGAAGGCATCACATGGCAAGAGAGTGTGCACAAGAAAGCAAGATGTTGAACTCGTGGCCTCCAGCCATTTTATAATGGGCATTAACCCATTCATGAGGTGTTGGGTCCTCATGACCTAACACCTCCAATTAGGCCCCATCTCCCAACTCTCGGGATTAAGTTTCTAAAACATGCTTTTTAGGGGACACATTTAAACAATAGCACTAGGTTTCCTGAGCACAGCATGCTTTAGCCTTTCAGCTACTGTACATGCTGCTTCTCAACTGAATCTATGTATTTGGAAACTTGACCTTTCAAAGCTTATCTCTAACATCACCTCCTCCATTAGGCCTTTTCTGATCTCCTCAATAAGATATAAGTTTCCCCTCTTGAACCCCTTCAGTGCTCTCTCCCTGCCTTACTCCACTTACTTTTATTGTAGTGATCTCTGTCCATGTCTGCTCCCCTTAAAAGACTGAAAATTCTTTGAAAGGAGAAGCTGACATCCTTTGCCAAAACTAGACACGGCTACTGTTAGATATGAGCTCTAAATTTCTTTTCAAAGAATTAATATGTCATTATGTTCAATTCTTTGCCTTCTACTTTCAAACCTAACTTCCTCCTAAAGCAAACTTTTTCGATTACCTGCTCCACCCTGACTCATTCTGATCACCTGCTCCACCCTGACTTATTCTGATTACCTGCTACCTGCTCTGTCCTGACTCCCGCCGAAGCACTCACCCCGTCATTCTATTTAAATCGGCCAATGGGAATTAGTTTAGCCTGTGCGGTCTAACCCTAGCCAATAGGGGAACGACACAGCAGCAGGGGCCACGTGCATCAGGAATAAGAACCCCCTCCCCTCCTTTGTCCAAGTGTGTGCTCACCATTGCTCCATCTGTAAGGGCACACCCTTCTAAAGAAGTACCTTGCCTTGCTGAGAATTAAAAAGAAAATTTTATATTCAAGTGCTATTTCTTTTGTGGCACCGAAACTTTATATATATAACACTATTATAGAGACAAACATTAAACTGAAATCCACAAATATTTCTATTGATGGGCCAGTTTGCCAGAGTTTGTTGCATTATAGAATTGTAGTGCAGAAAATATATTGAAAAGATATAAAATAACCTGAAAACAAAAGGGGTGGACCAAACCTTTTGGTCTAGAGTTTAGTTCAATATTGTTGTACCTAACCCACAAAAGCAAGTGTTAGAATTTAGCAATCCGGGTAGAAGAAGAGCCAGTCGATTCCTTTACCTTCACGATCCAGGTAGATGGTCTCATAAAATGACTCAAAAAGCTCTTGATCTTGACTGTGAAGGTGACCAAGATGAATAAATTGGTTCTGCCTTGATCAGATTTGTCTGCAAACAATCTATTTACATAATTTGGCGAGCTGTATAAATTCTTAATATCCATTTCATACACCCACAAATTTGCTTTACTCCTACAGTAACTCCGTGTTAATTCTGGACATGTGATAATTTGGATACAAAGTGAACCAGGCTATTAGAGGATACTCTAAAACTGCCCTCAAGAGAAGAAAATGGAGGTTAGCAAAGCTGGTGATAAACAAGAAGGATGCAGTGATGAATACGCAGAGAGAAGCAGAGAGAGTTGATTAGGAAGTTGGCTGGGTGGGTTCCAGGGATAACAAGCAACCACCTCAAGGCCTGCAATCTAACCAGGACAAGGAGAAAAGAAACCATTTAAATATTAAGACTATAGTATAGTACAGTGAAGAAAAGTAAGCAGGTGAAATGGGAGGGTAGAGAGACAACAAGAAAAGCACACGGGAATATAATGATCACATTATATCAACATATTTTGAGACAAATTCTTAGAACAACTGGCATGATTGTGTGTTAGCTGCAATCTCTCTTTGAGATCACCTAACCTGCTTAGTGCAATTTGTTAGCCTGGAACCCCAAACTGAGAGAACAGAGAGGGACTATAACTATAATGTCAATACAAATGAATTAGTATTATAACAAAAATTCTTAGGAGGCAAGGCTCATTTTCAAGAAAGTACCCCACTTATTTACATAATATTCAGCATATTATTCCAGAGCAACTAAAGAATTCTGGTTGTGTTGGAATTCACTATAAATGGGAGGTAGATTGTATTATGACAAATAATATTTAGGGTTGTTATAGCAATTTTTTTCTCCTGGGAGTTTACTTATCTTTTACAGCTACTCAGTTATACTTGATTTTATTCATTCATCCATCCATCCATCCAACAGTCCAGGGATCTAGATGTACATGTGCATTTAGCTCTGTGAAACAGGTGAGGTATTAATGATGATATTCATAAGGCCCCCTTTTACAGTGCAGAGAGATGACCTCTCTGCGGTGAGTTTCTTGCTGGACCTGGGACTAATGCTCAGTGCTCTGTTCACTGGACTCTACTCTTTATCCTTGTCTGGCCTGATTCTGAGATTTCTCTTGCCAGCCACCAAACACCTGTGATTCTCCCTAAGATTTCTCTTGCCAGCCACCAACCCCCTATTTTCAGATAAGAAGCAATGGAAAGGATATCCTTTTCCTTGTAGGTATCCACGATCATGCTATTCTGGGTATAAGAGGTATGGAAAAATGTGGGACTCACTGTTCACGAAGACAGCAAACCTCAGGAAGGACAGGTAGCGTTCCCCTTCAATGGGGTTCCAGCCGACATCAGGGTATCCTTTGGCCAGAAGCATGGGGCAGCTCTGTAGGCCACAGCCTGCCAAGTAGGTCACCACCTGCCAGAAACAGTACAAAAGTGTTCTTTCGCACGCATTAGGATGGCTATTAAAAAACACACCTCAAAAAATAACAAGTGTTGGTTGAGGATGTAGAGAAGTTGGAACTCTTGTGCATTGCTGGTGAGAATGTAAAATGGTACAGCCACTGTGGAAAACAGTACTACAGATCCTCAGAAAATTAAAAACAGAATTGCTATATGATCCAGCAATTTCACTTCTGGGTATATACCCCCAAATAATTGAAAGCTAAAATGTGGAAGCAACCCACGTGGCCACTGATGGATGAATGAATGAATAAGCAAAACGTGATATATACGTACAATGGGATATTCAGCCTTAAACAGGAACAGAATCTTGATACATGCTACAACGTGAAGAACATTGAGGACATTCGCTAAGTGAAATAAGCCAGTCACAAAAAGACAAATACCGTATCGTTCCATTCATAGGAGGTAATTTGAGTAGTAAAACCCATAAAGACAGAAAGTAGAATGGTGGTTGCCAGGGACTTGGGGGAGGGGAGGGAAGAATGGAAAGTTATTGTTAAGTGGGTCTAGAATTTCAGTTTTACAAGATGAAAAGAGTTATGGAGATAGATGGTGGTGACAGTTCAACAACATTACAAAAGTATTGAATACTACACATACAGTTAAAAATGATCAAGATAGTAAATTATATATTTTGTGTATTTTAACACAATAAAATTTAAAAATAAATCTTACACGTATGTAAGAAACAAACAAAGAAAGAACTGCTCAAGTTTTTATTTTTTTTTTTATAAGATAGCTGTGAGGCCTGTGAAATTCTAAGAACTGAAAGGCTTCCATTTCCCTGGAGGCTAGAAAGAGCCTCCAATTCATTTTTTGTTTCCAAGTGATTAACAAGATTGATTATCATTGTTATGTAGGAACACACCATGTACTGTCAGTTCCTGGTTTTTCCAGTTCTGGCAAGAGGGAGCTGTCATTTAAAAATAAGCCTAGCTAGCGTACATCTGGGGAGACAACAGTGCAGGAAAAGAAGGGCCCACTGGGGGCGGGCCATGTTCACTTGGCCATGGTATTGCAAGGCTACAATATTCAGTCACTGACTGACCCAGAGTGGGCCCTTGAGTAATCAGGGGTGTCTACTCTCGTTCTGCATCCACAACAGCTGTCCAAAGTCAAAAGCCAAGATGTTGAGGTTGGGATGGCCAGAAAAAGAGATCCCCATCCATTAAGGACTGGGACTGGTGGTGGTCTCTTTGCTTCCAGGTTACCAGACACTTATCACGAGATCTCTGTGCTAGGATCTTACAGAAGATTTTAGATTCTGTTCTACTTTTCAGCAGCTTTCAGGCAAAAAGCCTGGCAAATATACCTTTGATTAAAACGCAGTTGCTATTCTAATTTCACCTTTGATATCTTATGTATACACAGAGAAGAGGAGAATCCACAGTGCTCCAAAATCCTCAAAGTCAGAGATGGTGTTTTTTAAGATTTTTTTTAACCTCCAGGGCCTAGCACATAGTAGCTGTTCAATAAATGTTTGTTCAATGAATCACTTACTTGCTGATGTCAAATATTCTATTTTGCAAGTATAATAAAAATAAGGCCAAACTCAGCAAGAATCTATCACCACACTTTTTCCTTCTTAAACCAGTAAAGATAATATTCTGCTTAGAGTTCAGATTTGATTTTGTCTTTAAAATGTCAGGGAAGCATCAATAAGGGCCAGAATTGGGCAGAGTTTTCAAGATTGCAGGTGCAGACATTTCACAGGCTGCTATAATTGCCCATATGAGAGAGAGAGAGAGAGAGAGAGAGAGAGAGAGAAAGAGTGTGTGTGCATGTGTGTGTGCATATGCGTGTGTGTATGTGTTGGGGTAGGGCTACTGTTCAATCCTAAATGATCTAATTTCTGGCGTGATCAATAGAAGGAAGAAACTCCAGCATACCAGTCCTTTGCTGTTCTTTCCTGTGAACCAAACTTGGGTAATTTCCTGACATTGGGCTGAATAAAGTCTATAGCAGTGTGCTAAGCCACCCCAACTACTTGAAAACGGTGTGGCAAACCTCATCCCCTTTACAGATTTCCCAAAGCGCCCATTTCTTCCCTCTCCAGCTTGCTGGCCTGCGTTAATCACATCTGACTTCTTCCAATGGAGGCTCCATGTCTTTGCTGAGCAACACTGTTTCAAAAGATGAACTGAGGCTGAGAATAGGATATGGAGTTCAAAACCTTGTGGCATTGCCTTGTCCAAAAAGACCCATTCAGCTGCTTTTCACACAAGCATCGGTTATCGTCATACCACCTAAAACACTGAGCTATTTATTGTCATCTAAATGTACGAATAACAGAGTTTGGCTGAGGTCTCTCCCTCTAGATGCAGAGACCATGAATAGACACAGCATTTATGGAAGCTCTCACGACAGGTGGCATGGTGCTTGAGTCTTGTGTGTATGCAGGAGGTGGCTGGTACCCTTCACAACACAGGCCTACAGAGCCTGGAGGAGCAACTTCTAACATTTCCCTCTGGTCTGGTCATTTTCACTTACTCCGTTTGCAGCTGGGATTGCTTATTAAAGTTAACCGTAAGTTATATTGACTGGGACTTCTTTCAGCAGATTTTTTTCTTTCTTTTTTTTTTTTTTTGAGACGGAGTCTCGCTCTGTCACCCAGGCTCCCAGGCTGGAGTGCAGTGGCATGATCTCGGCTCACTGCAACCTCTGCCTCCCGGGATCAAACAATTCTCCTGCCTCAGCCTCCTGAGTAGCTGGGACTATAGGCACCAACCACCATGCCTGGCTAACTTTTGTATTTCTTTTTAGTAGAGATGGGGTTTTGCTATGTTGGCCAGACTGGTCTTGAACTCCTGACCTCAAATGATTCACCTGCCTCGGCCTCCTGAAGTGCTGGGATTACAGGCGTGAGCCACCATGACTGCCCTCTTTTAACAGAATGTTAAAAAGCAAGGTTCTTCTATTATGGTATTATTATGGTATTGGGTTGTTTGATAAACATCATATTTGATAAGGCCAGTAAATAGATTCTTTCCTTGATTCCTGCTTTTAACTTAATGATTTATAAGGGACCCAATGAAGTCCATTGGAAATACTGATTGAATCTGACAAAATAAAAAAAAATGCTTTCACTTAAATTTGTCGCCTCAAAATATTATTGTAAAAATGTCTGATATTTCAAAATACTTTAAAGAACAAAATAAAATGACCAACTCAAAGACAAACCCCTCTGTCATGGGCTAAATTGTCTCCCGCAAATTTCATGTGGAAGCCCTAACCCTCAATATCCCAGAATGTTTCTGTATTTGGATATAGGGGCTGTAAAGAGGTGATTAAGTTAAACTGAGTTGTTGGGGTCATGTCCTTCAAGAGGAGGAAATCTGGACACACAGAGAGATAGCAAGGATACGTGCACACAAAGAAAAGACTACGTGAGGACACAGCAAAACAGTGGCCATCTGCAAGCCAGGAGGTGAAGCCTCAGAAGAAACCAAACCTGCGCACACCTCGATCTTGGACTTCCAGCTTCCAGAACTGTGAGAAAATAAATTTCCGATGTTTATGTCACCCAACCTGTGGTACTTTGTTATGGCAGCCCCAGCAAAGTAATATCCTCTCTGACTACAAGGAAAGTTCCTCCCATTAGAAATATGCTGCACAAACACGGGCGTTTTGTCTGTCTGGTTCATGATAGGCCCTCAGTAATTATCAGTTGAATGCATTTGAAATAGAATTTACTAACTGAAAAATGTCAACGAATTATTGGTGGGTAATTATCATCTCATCTTAATAGATCAGACATGGTTTTGCAGCTTGGCCAATGATTCTCTGCCAAGGCCTGAAACAGCAGAATCTTCGTGAGTGGTAAATCTGTGTTCTGTGTGGCTGCCTCAGCTAGAGGAAGGCCATCTGCTGCCACAATCGTTTAATCAAGACAACCCCTCTCTCTCTTTCCTCACCCTGTCTTCTTTGAGCCACCCCACGTTCACTATGCGACACGAAGAAAAAAATGTGTATTTATTTCTCAATTTTCCCTCTCAGCTTCTCAGATACTAGATTTGCTGGGTTTTCTCATCCTTTTGGCTGCTCCTCTTCCTGTTTTTTGTTGGTGCCTTTTCCTCAGCGACTCCCTTAAATATGCTGGTGGTCCTCAGGGCTCTGGCCTGGCTATGCTTCTTTTCTTGCTCCAGACCAGCCCTTGGAGTCACCTCATGTACCCCCAGCGCTTCAACCACCCTCTGTGTGCTCTATCTGCAGCTCAGAGAGCTCTCCTGAGATATACTGCCAGGTCGTCAATTCCCTACTTGACAATGCCATTTGGGAGCCCTGGGGCCCCTTAAACTTGACAGACCCCAAACTCATCGCCGGCCTCCTCAGATCTGCTCTACCTCCTGCACTCCTTGGAGGAAAACATGGGCTGAACTGATATCTAATTAATGGCTGCAACTTGTCCTGTGATAGATCGGTCCCCTGGCTTCAAACGCTTCTCACACCCACTGCATCAATATTAATTGAAGCCAGCACAGTCTTGGGCTTTGATTACTACCAAAACTCTCCTCCTTGCCTCAAGACTTGTTTCTGTTCAGTTCTTCTTACTGAAACTGGGGTGTTTTCTAAAATATGAATTGTATCGTGTTGCCCCTTTGCCTAATACTCTCCAGTGGTTTCCACCACTCTTGGCTCTACGGTGACCTCCTGTAATAAAATGGGTAGGAGCACTGCCTCCACAGCCCAGCGCTCTCGATGCCTGGCTGTGCCACTGACTAACCGCATGACACTGAGGATGCCACCCAATCTCTTTATGCCTCCACTTCCTTGCCCGTAACTGGCAGGCAACAATGAAAGGGCTTGGTCTGAGGGTCACGTGAGTTCATTTGTGGGAAGCATTCAGAATAAAGCCTGGCACAGTGTATGAGCATGAATTTCTTTTAGTAATAGAAATGGTAGCATAAGTTCAATTCCTCACTGCTTCTGCTGCATTCTCACCACATCCCCCAGGTACTCTGTGCTTCAGTCATACCCAGTCTCCTATTCCCCAGCACGCCATACTCTCCTCTCGGACATGCAAACATCCCTGGCATGCTTCCCCAACAATGCGGCTGATCAGCTTCTACTCATCCCTCAAGTCATGACTGTTTCTGAGTGACCTTCCCAATCCCCTAGTCAGGCTCAGGTGCCCTTTTCCGTGTGCTCCCAAACCCCCTACATAATGATGACCTTTGATTTGTCTTTGACTTGCCCACGTCCCTCCTCTCCACCCCCCTCCCCCTCCAGGTTGCTCTGCTCCACTCAGAAGGTCACACTGTGAATCCTGTCAGCCCTCCGGTCAAGGACATCATTTAAAGAAAGGGATGGGGAAAAGACGTAGTGAGGCCGCCTCAACCAGCTCCACCACCAGGAGCTTCATCCACACTCCCAGCAGAGGGCAGCTCAGTTTGTCTCAGTTACACATGGAAAGGACACTGATTATACAGTATTCTGCCATGTCTCTTCCTTCCATAGGTAGATTTATAAATCTGTAAATTACGCAGAACTTTATTAGGAACCACCGGCATCTGGTAATGTTCCATGTAGACCAACGAGGCTGGGCTTCCACACACGAAGAACACAAATGTCCACATGTCTCTGAAGTTGGCTACCTGTGTTCACAGGAGATCCCTTGGTCATAATCGTTGTGCTGCTACCGGTTACTCACATTCTTTCACACTTTCCCTACAAGCCCACCAAGATGACGATACAGTGACAGAGACTCCATCCGTGGTCTGCTTATCCTTAGCTTAGCTGCACTACAGGCCGAAGAGAACACCACACTGCCACCCCAAGGGCCGGTTACCTTCTCGAGGTCTGGTTCCTCTAAGCTCAGCGCTAACTCATTGTTGTCCATCACAGAGGAAGCTGCCACATCCAGCGGGGTGGATCCCCTCATCGACGGGGAGGCTGAGGGAGGAGGGGAGAATTAGCAAGAAAAGGACAGAGGAAGACACTCAGTGCTGAGCTGAGACTGCAGTGCACGTAAGCGGACAGGAGAGGGCAGCAAACACACTGAAACCTGGCTTACATGACCGTTCTCCAATGGGACAGTCCGCTTGCATTAAGAACAGCTCTATTAGCTATCCTTCCTCCCCACATTCATTGCCGTGAATACGAATTAATACAAAATCGGTTCACACTACCAACCGGGACCATGTATTTCCAAGTGCTTTTCTAACACAAAACTTCTTGAGGCCCCCATATCAGATGCCACTCGACCAACTAAGCCCAGTGGAACCTGTATATTTCTGGGGCTACCACCTAGAGTTTAAAAATAGCATCAAACAGCATTAGCTCATATAGTTTCACCAGGTCACCAATGTTGTTTTTGACTTGTTTGTTTGGTTCTCAGGCTAGAATTAAGAAAAACTTCAGGTGGCATTTTACAAAAAGGTTAGTAGCCTGAGGTTGCATTTGAGAAATAAAAACCCGTGAAACTTCAGTTTTCAAGTGCAAGTATTTGTGTATTACACACATTCATTTCGTTTATACCCAGAACAGTGAGTAAGGCATATGCAGTGACTTGCTTTTCTAGTGGTAGTGGTGGATTTACACTGTTTATCCACGATTGCTCTTGGCCAGTCTGCCTCCCCGCTAAGGAAAGCACTTGCTGGGAGGTTGATGGACAGGTATGCAGCCTGCAGCCAGCCTGCCAAGACGAGATCCGATCCATGACCTTGGTCTCATCAGCACTGCTCCCTGGTCAGTTGAGTGGGCTGGGAAGAGCTGTGCCCCCAGACTATACCTGCAATCCCAGGGGCATTTTGTAAACCATGGGCCACTGGTCCCAAGAGAGATGAGGTAAAACTGTACGACTATGCCAACACTAAACTGTCACCAATCTTGGCTGGTAGCAACATCTCTACTTCTGTTGGAGAACGTTCTTGTGGCATCGTTACTTCAATTGTTTTAAATCAGGCAGAGTCTCTTCTAGTATTTACAAATATCACAGCGTGCATGTGGCTCCTTTCCCTGTATTTTCCTAAGTGGTCAAAAGGGGGAGTGTAACCTTCGAGTTTGGATGTGGAAGTTACAAGAAGACTTACGCACCTAGGCCAACACTGCTATTCTCCAGAAGATAACTCAGATGCTCAAACATGGCCTTCTGATTTTGCCGGCTAATTCGACAGAAATAGCAAAGGAAACGGCAGCAGCTAGCAACCATCTTTGGAAATGCAATCTGTAGGGAGAAGTAGAAAGTGTCAGACAAAAGAATCTATCATGAGGCCTTTCTGAAAACTCTGACCTCAGAGTCTTAAGTGGGTAAAGTGTGAACACTTGGAAAAATGAACTTTCTCCTTCCATTTTTTTTCTCAAGACTTATTCATAGGAGTTATAGTTCCTGAAATATCTTTCCTCCAAGAGAAATAGATGTCAAACAAGAATCCCAATCATCCTCGGAAGTCATGTGAAATTGCATGACCTTCTACCAGGCTATTGTTTCCAAGTAGGAAGGGAGTGGACAGAATTCAGAGACAGAGAGAGATGAGAGAGAGAGAGAGGAGAGAGAGTGAGTGAGATGAGAGAGAGAGGAGAGACAGAGAGGAGAGAAAGTGAGGAGAGAAAGTGAGGAAAGAGTGAGGAGAGAAAGAGGAGAGAGTGAGGAGGGGGGAGAGAGAGAAAGGGGGGGAGAGAGAGAGAGAGAGACAGACAGACAGACAGACAGACACAGGTGATCGTAGACACATAAGGCCCACCAGTATATCAAAGCCCAAGTGCCCTGGGTCAAGGCTGGCCTCTACAGTTACGCAAGTCTGAAAGGCATCGCTCTCTGAGTCTTCCCTGACTACTTTTGTCATTGATAATTGCTCTTCTATGGGATTCCATAGCACTTGTAATTTGATTCATGCAGTCTAGCATGAAGATGCCATCTTACATTACTGTTGATTGTACTTGGCTTTTCTACTTAACAAAGTAACCAGCATCTCTAGGTTGGGCCAAATCTTAGTTTTGATCCTACAGTGCTCAATAAATGGTGCCAGTGTTAACCTTGCTCGGGATCCTAAGACAACCTTGATTTCCTCCTTTAATATCACAGAGGATGCTCTAAGCAATAAGGTTCAGAAACTTGTAGTCTATCTGCTCGCTGAGGCATCCAGACATGTGCTCAGGGATCTTCTGGAGAGATTTCACTTTCCCAAGAGATCAGAAGGAAGCCCATGAGGAACGTGACCCTGGCTTCTGTTCCTTCTACACACCCACCCCCTCCCCAGTAGCACTGATGAAACTGCACCAGAAATCATCCCTTCCTAGGACCCTGGCACTCTGGAATTTCCAACATTTGAAGCCATACCCGATCTACTGCCTGTGGAAGCAGTTTAACCGTGAGGAGGTCCCCAGCCCAGCTGGGATAAATGTCCAGTTGTGTCCTATCCCCACAACTCTCCCCTTAGCAACAGGAGCTCCCCCTGATGCGGGCTCCTTATGAGGGAGCTGGCAAGGAAACCTGGCTTCTTCAGGAGTTCGGTTGACAGAGGAAACATCAACACTTCTGGGGAAACACTGCCAGGATCACTATTGAGATCTTGTTCTCCTTTAGAACAGCCTTCTCCTGACTCAGCACAAAACACACCAGGCTCCTAAGTGGAAGTGAGTGATTCCATCTTGGAAAGAGCAGGGCTGCCGAATACGGGAAGTAAACTTAGCAACTGAATAGCCCAGTGGGATTAATGAAGAAAGTCTCCAAGCTTCAAGAGCTCTTACACAATGGGATTCCGTCCAGCAGCATTATCCCATCGCTTGGCTCCTTCTTGGCACTGTGCCTATCCCTTCCTCTCCCTGGAAGAGAAACTGAGGCAAGGGACACCAGCCACGTGGCTCTGAACAAGTCACCTCGTGCTCCTGCCTCAAGGGACAAGTTCTGGCTAGGTTCTCCTTTTAGCATTACCTGAGATTTCTCTGTACCCAACACGTTCACCATCACCTCCATCACCGTCTCGTGCATGCCCAGGACTCTCATGAGGTTGGGATGCTGGTAAAACACCTTGTTGTTCATTATGTCTCTAGGATAAGGATCAGAGAGAGTCTTCAGCACCTGCTTATTTATATGCTATGAAAATTCAGGGATGAGAACACACAAACACACGAGAGGGCAAAATAATATGAAAGTAACAGGCTGAAAAGATAATAAGAAAGCACTAGTTCAGCTGGAATATATGTGGAGGGCCATTTTAGCTGACTGAAATATTCTGTGCTCCTCTATTTCTAAGTACTTGCTTTTTCTCTTTGAAACATTTCTTTCTGATGACCTATTAAACATCCCTTGTTTTATTTTTTCTTGTAATAATTTTAGATATCAATGAAGCTTTTGGACAATAGTCTTTAAAAACTCACGACATTAAGATGTAAGAACAATTACATCTTTAAGTCATCCAATATAAATTCACAGAGTAAAGCTGCATGCAAATCAAAATACAGAAACAGCCTGGTAATTTGCTGTGTACTCCCTTGCTGGGTGGTTACTTTCTGGCTGCCCATTCCCCTTCTCTTGAGGGTTGCAGGAAACACCACCTCCAATTGCCAGTTTTTACTTCTGCTATGTCTACTACGAAGGCTGGGGAGAGAATAATTATCTAACTGTATTGTCTTCCCATAAAAGTCGCTTCATTTATGTAAGATTTCTCTTTGGAAATGAGTTTGACGAATGAGTGCATTTCCCTCCAAGGATCCTGAAGGTCCCTTTCCTGCACCTTGGTGATGCTCCTTTGGTATGCTGGCTCAAGGGTGGTAGGATGAAAAGTTAGGTAGGAGGTTGTCTGTAGGTCTAGTTCTTGATTCTAATAAAGTAAAACTGTAGGCTGGTTAGTGAATCTTTTTGGGCCTTGGTGTTCTCATCTGCAAAACAGAAGTGCTACCCTACGTGATTATAGGAAACCCTTTTGATGTCTAAAATGCTATGAATTTTTTTTGACTACATGGCTTCTAAGGGAGAGCCATGAGCTACTGTTAAGGGGAAAGTTATCTCAATGAACTAACAAAAACGACTCTAGGTTAGTCCTGAGAAAAGGGAGAGATCAGGTGGCAATTTTTCAGAGGGAAGTTTCGGAAGATTTCGAGTCAAAAGCTCAGGTGCTCAGATCATTTCTGTCTTGGGTTGAACACACCGTCCCTTCCTCCAGATGTTTTCATGGGCTCCCTGGGGCTATTTTCAAAAGATTAAAATCAAGTAACTGCTTTTCCCCAAGACTCCTCCATACTTTTAGCAATGCCTTTCACTGTGAGTAGTTGGGTCTCTCAGGTTGCAAAGGATATGACTCCATGAGGAGTGAAATTGGAATCAGTTCACACAAAGATTTAATATGATTTGATTCCACTATATCTCTATATCAAGGTAAGTCAGTTTTCCCACTTAAAGCTCCTAGAGAGAACAGCACGTAACCGTGAATCACCTACCCCAGCCCATTGATCATGAGCAACTCCTCTTCCTTGCCCATCCTGACACTGAGGAGGGAGCGGATTTGGCCCAGGGCAGCCAGCAGGTTGATGGTGTCGCTTACAGAGGTGTGGCTGATGGTGTAGGTCTTCCGCAGCGCCTGCAGCAGCTCCCCAATGCTGTCATACTGCCTCCGGAGGAGGTTGAACATCATTCGGACCAGCTCTGAATCCTGGATCTGGTCCTCCTGGGCCCAGCAGATCATCGTCTGTGAGATGAGTTCCTTCAATGTTGCTGGAAGGACAACAGGAGGGAGCAGGACTGTGGCTGTCATGGCTCAGGGAGAGCTGGGTGTTTCAGCCACTTCATGCAAATAGAAGACACATCATTGGTTGAGGTTACAAAATTCTTATTATAGGCAATGTGCAGTGGCTCATGCCTATAATCCTAGCAATTTGGGAGGCTGAGGCTGAAGGATTTCTTGAGCCTAGCAGTTTGAGACCAGCCTGGGCCACAAAGCGAGACCCTGTTGCTACCAAAAAAAAAAAAAAAAAAAAAAAAAAAGCTGGGTGTGGTTGCACACGCCTGTAGTCAGCTGCTTGGGAGGCTGAGGTGGGAGGACTGCTTGAGCCTTGGAGGTTGAGGGTGCGGTAAGCCACCACTGCATCACTGCACTGCAGCCTGGGCAACAGAGTGAGACTCTGTCTCAAAAAAAAAAATTTTTTTTTTGTATTTTAAGGGTGGGTTATGACATGCACAGAAGTAGAATATATCATCAAAAGACAAATAAACCGGCTATATAACAATAAAAGAATATCCCAATTATGAGTTGAGGGTGCTAACTATTCTATTTTGATTAAACAATACTTGCATCCACACTGGGCTGAGAGAACAGATCTAAAGGCTTTACAACGGGACATCTGAGCATCATCCTAAAGTCTGAACAGCCTTTTTTTGCACTGGATCTTTGGCAAGAGTCAGCTGACACTGCATCTTGGACTCCTCTCATAAGCATCAAGAGAAAAAAACCACAGTGACTTTGAATTCAGAATTTATTGGGGCTCATACTGGTTTTACGGAAATTTTACTGTCTATACAAGTAAAGGAAAGATCACTGAACTGGGACTCAAAACAGCTGTGGAACCTTCAGAGGTTATACTAAAAAGCCCCTGAAAATTGCTGATTGGCATTGGCATAGGAGGTAAAGGAGGAAGGGGACCTGTTGGAATGGCCGGGAAGGCACTGCTTACCCCTTCCCTTACCATCCACACTTCCAGAAGATGACAGAGGTGAGACATGCTGCTCTTAAATCACAAATGCATCCTACCCTGGCACTGCATATCACAGTCCTACAAGGTATGGATGGCAGGAAGATCCTTAATTCAGGCCAGGCAGTGCCAAGGGGACAATGAAGGTCACTCAGTCAATCAGTGAAAGAAAGGGGAGTAAACAGATCAGTGCTTCTGGTAGCCCGTGGCATCTCTAATAGTTGAGGTTTCTACTCCACATCACTATAGATGGCAGATGTCTGCTCTATATACAGTCTTGGCTCATCGTAAGGATATAAAAATAGAACTCAGTTACCAAGCTTTAAAAGAGACCTAGATGTAATGGATTAATTTAACTTACTGCTGTGTCTATCAACCCTGTCGGTGTGTTAGATTCAGATGGGACACATAAACTGAGAACCTTAAAAAAGGACACCCAAGTCAGAGAGAAGCACAGTTAAAGGATGTTCTCAAGAGACCTCACTAGGCAGGGACTGCAGACTAATACCTGTTAGGTTAGATAATATCTGTATCCTCTAGGGGCAAAGTCATTTAAGGGCTATGCTGGGCTCCTTGTCAGAAACCTGTTTCCTCAGAGTCCAAATATAAAAGTTCCTGCATCTCCTGGTTAATTCACATGTATATATTTTGGAGGAGAAACCCTAATTTTATTGTCTGTCATATTATTCAAAAAAATCTAGGCCAGGCGCAGTGGCTCACGCCTGTAATCCCAGCACTTTGGGAGGCCGAGGTGGGTGGATCACGAGGTCAGGAGAAGGAGACTATCCTGGCTAACACGGTGAAACCCCGTCTCTACTAAAAATACAAAAAATTAACCGGGCGTGATGGAGGGCGCCTGTAGTCCCAGCTACTCGGGAGGCTGAGGCAGGAGAATGGCGTGAACCCGGGAGGCGGAGCTTGCAGTGAGCTGAGATTGCACCACTGCACTCCAGCTGGGCGACAGACCAAGACTCCGTCTTGAAAAAAAAAAAACAAAAACTAGTAATAATAGATTTGTACAGAAAAAAGCAAATGAATAGTAAATGAGAGCACAAAAGAAATAATTTAAATTTGCTATTTTTTTTCCATGATATTAGGATGATAGTGCCTGGCTTCATGGTAGGATTTGTTCGCTGGCCAAAGCCTGCCAGAAAACTAGGGCTTTCAGTGTCTGTCTACTCTGCTGGTCCTTGACAAAACTTTTGAGATTTTCAAGAAAAGTAACGTCCTCCTGGTGCTCCGGAACTGTGCTGAGCTCCACCAACCCATCCACAAAAGCGTTTCCACCCCTTTGTCCTCAAAGAAATAATACAGGGCCTAGTCCGGGCACTCTGTGTTGAGTGTGTACTAGTGCCCTAACATCCAGACTTGCCATTGGACTGAAAGCTAACATCCTTGATGGAGAAAATGTTACTCTCCACCTGCTCTTGTCCAAACTCATCCTCTGATAGTGACAGTCAGCACCAGGACCTTCTTGCTATCATTCTTCATAACTTCAACTATGAAAGTGGGAGTTGATGTCAATTCAGAATCCTATTCTGCAACCTACAGCCCTTGGGAGGGCTCCTCCTCACCACCAGATGTGTGTGGGATGCTGTTGATAATGTTGAAAGTGACAGAGATCTTTCCCCTGGCAACTTGCCACGCTAATTTAGCTTCTGTTCCATTTAAATTCTAGCTCCCAACTTCCAGACCTCTTAGGGAGGGAATGCCTCTTATGCTTCTCGATTTCCCTTTCCTCCTTAATTTCATCACTCAGGAATTCAACAGAAGCTTTGTCTCCTTTGGTGTGCAGTGCACAGCCGCTGTAGCCCCAGGCACAGGGCGTAGGAGGGCCTAGGAGGCCCCAGGAGGCCAGGCTGCCATGCAGACCCCATACACATGCACACTGAGCAGCGCAAAGGGCCGGGCACAGGACCTGGGCGCTGCTGGAGTGGTGGCGCAGGCATGGTAGCATGGAGGGCAGCAACTGCAGAGCCCGGGGCACCAGGCATGCAGCATCACAGAGGCGACCACCAATACGTATGGATGCACTCCTAGTTATTACTTACGTAGTAAGAAGGAAAGCAAGACAAAAACAAAGACTCTTGGACCCAATTTAAGTTTTTCTAGTCCCGTCAGTACAATTTCCTCTAAAACCTATACCTTGGCTTGAAAGAATTATAGTTCTCACGACTAACAAAACAATTCTCTGCAGATATAATACATGCTATCCCAGTCCCTGCCACACTGGAAAAGCAATAATCAGATCTGGTGGAATTGCTAACCTGCTCAAGGACCATCTTCTCTTCAACAGAGAATTTTACAGAATCATAATAAAACCAAGTACATATGAGTTTCCTTTAACCTGGCTTTCAGATTAATTCAGGATTTGGGTAAGCTCTTAGCCTCACACTGACTCAAAAATCCAAACAAATATTTATGGCCTAGAGAGCATGTAAAGCAAAACACCTCACTAGAGGGCAAAATGGGAAAGAAAACACCCTTTTAGCCTCAAAGCATGAAGCAGCAAACACCTGCCACTCCATTCTTTGTCCAGGCAAGCCTTCAAAGTAAGTGTCAGAGAACGGGATAAATATTTATGTGTGACCAAGCTGAAGTACAGTTAAAAAAAAAAAAAAAAAGTAGTCCCCAGGTCCTGCCAGAAAAGGAGGCAAGACTTACCGCTGTGTTGCTGACAGGCAGATGTAATTCCATGGAAGGCCTGACATTTAAAGCCATATGTACTGGAAAATGTTTCAAATTGTGAGACCAAGGTGCAGTAAGTGAGAGAAACAATAACTATGAAAAGAAATAAAATTCAGGGGGAGAGGGGCAGAAGGGGACATTTTCAGGAGCCATGAAAAGCACAACATATTTTGTCATCTGACATATACTAGAGACCCAGGACCCACCAAGCAAACCCAGGCACAACCAATGAACTTCTCAAGGTCTAAACACTTTTGGGATGGAGAAAATGGAGCTTTATACCCCTAGCAAGCAATGCTACTAAAAATTCTTCAGATTTTAATTAGCTCCCGTGCATCAGCAGCAGAGCAGCCAAAACATACCAGAGTCCAGAAGTTAAAAAGAATACATTTTCTAGATTGTGTTAGGCTCTCCATATACCTGTATATCTGATGATTAAAGTAATTAATGCATATAACCATGGATGGCACATACTGCAGGTTTAATAAAGGTGAACTATTACTGACATCTCTACCAAGAGTCATAAAAATGTGATCTGCAGAGCCCTGGGGGCCCAAGACCCTTTAGATACCCTTTAAGTCCAAATGTGTTTTCATAAAAATTCTAAGATATTGTTGGCCTTTTTCATCGTGTTGATAATTGCACTGATGGTGCAAAAGCAATGCTGAGTAAAACTGCTTGTGCCTTAGCTTGAATCGAGTTAGCAGCACCCAACTATATTTTTTATTGCCACACTTCCAGATAAATGCGTTTCACAGAAGGATGTCCTGAATAAAGCAGTAAAAATTATTAATTTTATTAATCATAAACTCTCGAGTTTACATCTTTAAAATATCCTCTGTGATAGAATGGTACAGAGAAAGAAAAGAAGTAAAGCACTTCTGCTATGTATTAAAGTTCAGTGTTTTTTTCTGGAGGAAAAGTACTTGTGTGATGGAGTTGTGAGCTGAACTAGCTGCTTATTTCATGAATGCCATTTTTAATTAAAGAATAAGAAACTATGGTTAACTTGAACAAATGAAAAAAATGAAATGAAAAAAATGAAAAAAGTAAGCCTTTCACTTCAAGTGATAGTATTTGTTGCCAATAATGAAATTTGACCTTTCAAGTGAAAATCAGAATTTTGAAAAATGTTTAGCTGCCACTGGGAGCTCGACAGCTTCCCAGTACTTAAAGACTTTTCTGATTAACCTGTCTATACTAACAAATGTGATTTTTAAACTATTTTATAATGAAATGTGTCAAGATTTTGAAGTTCTTATTAACTCAACGAACCAATAATCTCTCAATGATCAATGAATGACATTACAAAAACATTCTTAGGTAAAAGATCCATTCAATGTGCAAGATAGACCAATGAATTGTTACATAACAAAGTACAGACATCTAGTTAATATGGTTTCAGATTCCACATGCCAACTAACTTTTCAGAAACTACTACTTGTTCAGATATAGTTTTACAGAAGAATATCCATAATTATTGGAAAAGGCTATGAAAAATACTACTACCCTTCCAATTATGTATTTAAGGCCATTTTTCTTCCTATTCTTTAACCAGATATAAGAATCCAGCTGCCTTCAATTAAGTCAGACATTAAAGAGATTTATAATCATGCAAAGAAATATCACTTTGTTTTGAAAAATTTAGTTTTCATAAAAGTATCTTTATGTAACATGTAATAAGGTTTTTATTTTTAAATTAATAAATATTTAAATATTTGTCAATTTTAATTTTAAATTTGGTAAACACTGATAGATATAATCCACATAAACTAAAGCTTTTGGGGTTCTCAGTAATTTTCAATAGTGTAAAGGGGTCCCAAGACCAAAGGGTTTGAGAACCACGGATCTATATAAAAGGGCCTATGCTGAAGTGAGGCTGTGATTGGAAACCAAAGCTTTCCCTCCAGCTAAGATGAAACCTGTTCCATTAGGCTGCATGATTCTGATCAAGTAGCTGAGACATGAACCTAGAAAGCTACAGATGAGGAAGCTTTCCATGTTTACTTCTGAATGGGAGGCAGGTATGTACGAGATTAAATGTGAGCATCTCACGTAAGAAGAATATCTCATGTAAGAAGAGTATCTCATATAAGAAGAGTAAGACACCTCACATTGAGAAATAAAGTGAGGATTAAAGAATCATTATTTTGAAAATTGAATCCTGGCAGTCAAGGGCCCTGGCTATTATTCATTCATCACCAAAGGGCAACCTGCTAGCCTGAAGGGCTCCTAATGCTTTTTTTCTCCTGAATTTGGGCTTAAGAACAGTCATCTTCTAAGCAAGGAGGGAGCCAGGCTTGTATTATGCTGAGGCTGCATGGCTTTCTTCAGCCCGCTCTGCACACGCACAAAGGTGGGCTGCAGGCTGGAGAGGGAGGCACTTAACTCTTTGTCCCCAACATTAGCTGATCCTTCAGCAATGACTTTGCTCTTATTAATACTGGAAACCAGAGCTGTCAACTATAGAAGGCTTTGCCCTGAAGTTGATATGTGTCCAGGACTCAGGACGTACACCAATTCACAAGTTTCTGCCTATCTTCATCTGAATAGCTGAATTAACTCCAGTCGTGCCACCTCTAAGTTAGCTTTTAACTGACCAGCATTTTCTGGGTATCTGTTACATGCCCAAGGTTAAGTACTCTACAAGAAACTATTTCAAGACACAATTATTACCCACTACAGCCTAGTTGGAGAAACTAACACATGTGAGGCATTTAATAAAAAATAAAGTGTAAAATAATGAGTAAAACTGTGTTGTCTCAGACAATTAGGAAATAAGACAATTCATAAGAAGGTATAACTCCTATAGTAACACATATATTCAAAAGAAACTAGAGAAGAGAAACAATAAGATCTCCCTCTTTTCTTCCAATGGCTTTTTTTATCTGAAGTTTTTTATATTTCTAGAATAAGCCTCCATTACATGGAGACTAAAGAAGCAGGGAAGAAAAAGCTCTATCAGGAAGTTAAAAGAGGGGCCTTCCAAGTGATACCAGAAATGATCTGATGAAAAAGACATTATGCTTTGCTATGATTATTTTGGAATGCTATGTTCCTTAGAGAGATGATTCATACATAAAGTACCTGTATGTGTGTGTGCATCTGTGTGTATGTGTGCATGTGTGTGTACATATATATATAGTATCCATGGGAGAATGCTGACAATTTTGGTAGGATTTTTTTTTTAAATTTAAGTTATAGGGTACATGTGCATAACATGCAGGTTTGATACATAGGTATACATGTGCCATGTTGGTGTGCTGCACCCATCAACTCGTCATTTACATTAGGTATTTCTCCTAATGCTATCCCTCCCCCCTCCCCCACCCCACAACAGGCCCCGGTGTGTGATGTTCCCCACCCTGTGTCCAAGGGTTCTCATTGTTCAATTCCTACCTATGAGTGAGAACATGGAGTGTTTGGTTTTCTGTCCTTGTGATAGTTTGCTGGGAATGGTTTCCAGCTTCATCCATGTCTCTGCAAAGGACATGAACTCATCCTTTTTTATGGCTGCATAGTATTTCATGGTGTTTATGTGCCACATTTTCTTAATCTAGTCTATCATTGATGGACATTTGGGTTGGTTCCAAGTCTTTGCTATTGTGAATAGTGCTGCAATAAACATATGTGCGCATGTGTCTTTATAGTAGCATGACTTATAATCCTTTGGGTATATACCCAGTAATGGGATTGCCGGATCAAATGGTATTTCTAGTTCTAGATCCTTGAGGAATTGCCACACTGTCTTCCACAATGGTTGAACTACTTTACACTTCCACCAACAGTGTAAAAGCATCCCTGTTTCTCCACATCCTCTCCAGCATCTGTTGTTTCCTGACTTTTTAATGATCGCCATTCTAACTGGCACGAGATGATATTTCATTGTGGTTTTGATTTGCATTTCTCTGATGACCAGTGATGATGAACACTTTTCCATGTGTCTGTTAGCTGCATAAATGTCTTTTTTTTTTTTTTTTTTTGAGATGGAGTCTCGCTCTGTCGCCCAGGCTGGAGTGCAGTGGCGCAATCTTGGCTCACTGCAAGCTCCACCTCCCGGGTCCACGCCATTCTCCTGCCTCAGCCTCCCAAGTAGCTGGGACTACAGGTGCCCGCCACCACGCCTGGCTAATTTTTTGTATTTTTAGTAGAGACGGGGTTTCACCATGTTATCCAGGATGGTCTCGATCTCCTGTCTCGTGATCTGCCCTGCCTCAGCCTCCCAAAGTGCTGGGATTACAGGTGTGAGCCACCGTGCCCAGCCCCCCATAAATGTCTTCTTTTGAGAAGTGTCTGTTCATATCCTTTGCCCATTTTTTTGATGGGGTTGTTTTTTTTCTTGTAAATCTGTTTGAGTTCTTTGTAAATTCTGGATATTAGCCCTTTGTCAGATGAGTAGATTGCAAAATTTTTCTCCCATTCTGTAGGTTGCCTGTTCACTCTGATGGTAGTTTCTTTTGCTGTGCAGAAGCTCTTGAGTTTAATTAGATCCCATTTGTCTATTTTGGCTTTTGTTGCTATTGCTTTTGGTGTTTTAGTCATGAAGTCCTTACCCATGCTTACGTCCTGAATGGTATTGCCTAGGTTTTCTTCTACGGTTTTTATGGTTTTAGGTCTAACATTTAAGTCTTTAATCCATCTTGAATTGATTTTTGTCTAAGGTGTAAGGAAGGGATCCAGTTTCAGCTTTCTACATATGGCTAGCCAGTTTTCCCAGCACCATTTATTAAATAGGGAATCCTTTCCCCATTTCCTGTTTTTGTCAGGTTTGTCAAAGATCAGATGGTTGTAGATGTGTGGTGTTATTTCTGAGGCCTCTGTTCTGTTCCATTGGTCTATATATCTGTTTTGGTACCAGCACCATGCTGTTTTGGTTACTGCAGCCTTGTAGTATAGTTTGAAATCAGTAGTGTGATGCCTCCAGCTTAGTTCTTTTTCCTTAGGACTGTCTTGGCAATGTGGGCTCTTTTTTGGTTCCATATTAACTTTAAAGTAGTTTTTTCCAATTCTGTGAAGAAAGTCATTGGTAGCTTGATGGGGATGGCATCGAATCTACAAATTACCTTGGGCAGTATGGCCATTTTCATGATACTGATTCTTCCTATCCATGAGCATGGAATGTTCTTCCATTTGTTTGTGTCCTCTTTCATTTCATTGAGCAGTGGTTTGTAGTTCTCCTTGAAGAGGTCCTTCACATCCCTTGTAAGTTGGATTCCTAGGTATTTTATTCTCTTTGTAGCAATTGCGAATGGGAGTTCACTCATGATTTGGCTGTTTGTCTGTTATTGGTGTATAGGAATGCTTGTGATTTTTACACATGGATTTTGTATCCTGAGACTTTGCTGAAGTTGCTTATCAGGTTAAGGAGATTTTGGGCTGAGATGATGGGGTTTTCTAAATATACAATCATGTCATTGGCAAACAGGGACAATTTGACTTCCTCTTTTCCTAATTGAATACCCTTTATTTCTTTCTCTTGCCTGATTGGCCTGGCCAGAACTTCTAACACTATGTTGAATAGGCGTGGTGAGAGAGGGCATCCCTGTCTTGTGCCGATTTTCAAAGGGAATGCTTCCAGTTTCTGCCCATTATGATATTGGCTGTGGGTTTGTCATAGACAGCTCTTATTATTTTGAGATAAGGCCCATCAACACCTAGTTTATTGAGAGTTTTTAGCATGAAGCGCTGTTGAATTTTGTCGAAGGCTTTTCTGCATCTATTGAGATAATCATGTGGTTTTTGTCTTTGGTTCTGTTTATGTGATGGATTACATTTATTGATTTCTGTATGTTGAACCAGCCTTGCATCCCAGGGATGAAGCCAACTTGATTGGATAAGCTTTTTGATGTGTTACTGGATTCAGTTTGCCAGTATTTTATTGAGGATGTTGGCATCAGTGTTCATCAGGGGTATTGGTCTAAAGTTCTCTTTTTTTGTTGTGTCTCTGCCAGGCTTTGGTAGCAGGATGATGCTGGCCTCATAAAATGAGTAAGGGAGGATTCCCTCTTTTTCTATTCATTGGAATAGTTTCCAAAGGAATCGTACCAGCTCCTCTTTGTACCTCTGGTAGAATTCGGCTGTGAATTCGTCTGGTCCTGGACTTTTTTTGGTTGGTAGGCTATTAATTATTACCTCAATTTCAGAGCCTGTTATTGGTCTATTCAGAGATTCAACTTCTCCTGGTGTAGTCTTGGGAGGGTGTACGTGTCCAGGAAGTAATCCATTTCTTCTAGATTTTCTAGTTTATTTGCGTAGAAGTGTTTATAGTATTCTCTGATGGTAGTTTGTATTTCTGTGCGATTGGTGGTGATATCATCCCCTTTACGATTTTTTATTGCGTCTATTTGATTCTTCTCTCTTTTCTTATTAATCTTGCTAGCGGTCTATCTTTTCAAAAAACCAGCTCCTGGATTGATTTTTTTGAAGGGTTTTTTGTGTCTCTTATCTCCTTCAGTTCTGCTCTGATCTTAGTTATTTCTTGCCTTCTGCTAGCTTTTGAATGTGTTTGCTCTTGCTTCTCTAGTTCTTCTAATTGTGATGTTAGGGTGTTGATTTTAGATCTTTCCTGCTTTCTCTTGTGGGCATTTAGTGCTATAAATTTCCCTCTACACACTGCTTTAAATGTGTCCCAGAGATTCTGGTATGTTGTGTCTTTGTTCTCATTGGTTTCAAAGAACATCGTTATTTCTGCTTTAATTTCGTTATTTACCCAGTAGTCATTGAGGAGCAGATTGTTCGGTTTCCATGTAGTTGTGCGGTTTTGAGTGAGTTTCTTAATCCTGAATTCTAATTTGATTGCACTGTGGTCTTAGAGACAGTTTGTTGTGATTTCTGTTCTTTTACATTTGCTGAGGAGTGCATTATTTCCAATTATGTGGTCACTTTTGGAATAAGTGCAATGTGGTGCTGAGAAGAATGTATATTCTGTTGATTTGGGGTAGAGAGTTCTGTAGATGTCTATTATGTACGCTTGGTGCAGAGCTGAGTTCAATTCCTGGATATCCTTGTTAACTTTCTGTCTCGTTGATCTAATATTGACAGTGGGGTGTTAAAGTCTCCCATTATTATTGTGTGGGAGTCTAAGTCTCTTTGTAGGTCTCTAAGGACTTGCTTTATGAATCTGGGTGCTCCTGTATTGGGTGCATATATATTTAGGATAGTTAGCTCTTCTTGTTGAATTGATCCCTTTACCATTATGTATTGGCCTTCTTTGTCTCTTTTGATCTTTGTTGGTTTAAAGTCTGTTTTATCAGAGACTAGGATTGCAACCCCTGCTTTTTATTGCTTTCCATTTGCTCGGTAGATCTTCCTCCATCCCTTTGTTTTGAGCCTATGTGTGTCTCTGCACGTGAAATGGGTCTCCCGAATACAGCACACTGATGGGTCTTGACTCTTTATCCAATTTGCCAGTCTAGATCTTTTAATTGGGGCATTTAGCCCATTTACATTTAAAGTTAATATTGTCATGTGTGAATTTGATCCTGTCATTATGATGTTAGCTGGTTATTTTGCCTGTTAATTGATACAGTTTCTTCATAGCATCAATGGTCTTTACAATTTGGCATGTTTTTGCAGTGGCTGGTACTGGTTGTTCCTTTCCATGTTTAGTGCTTCCTTCAGGAGCTCTTGTAAGGCGGGCCTGGCAGTGACAAAATCTCTCAGCATTTCCTTGTCTATAAAGGATTTTGTTTCTCCTTCAGTTATGAAGCTTAGTTTGGCTGGAATGAAATTCTGGGTTGAAAAGTCTTTAAGAATGTTGAATATTGGCCCCCACCCTCTTCTGGCTTGCAGGGTTTCTGCTGAGAGATCCATTGTTAGTCTAATGGGCTTCCCTTTGTGGGTAACGCAACCTTTCTCTCTGGCTGCCCTTTATATTTTTTCCTTCATTTCAACCTTGGTCAGTCTGATGATTATGTGTCTTGGGGTTGCTCTTCTCGAGGAATATCTTTGTGGTGTTCTCTGTATTTCCTGAATTTGATTGTTGGCCTGCCTTGCTACATTGGGGAAGTTTTCCTGGATAATCATCTTTGTGGTTTTATCTACCTTTGGTCTTTGATGCTGGTGACCTACAGATGGGGTTTTGGTGTGGATGTCCTTTTTTTTAATGTTGATGCTATTCTTTTCTGTTTGTTAATTCTCCTTCTAAGAGTCAGGTCCCTCAGCTGCAGGTCTGTTGGAGTTTGCTAGAGGTTCACTCCAGACTCTGTTTGCCTGGGTATCACCAGTGGAGGCTGCAGAACAGCAAATATTGCTGCCTGATCCTTCCTCTAGAAACTTCATCCCAGAGGGGCACCCTGCCTATATGAGGTGTGTGTTGCCCCCTACTGGGAGGTGTCTCCCAGTTAGGCTACATGGGGGTCAGGGACCCACTTGAGGAGGCAGTCTGTCCATTCTCAGAGCTCAAACACTGTGCTGGGAGAACCACTGCTCTCTTCGGAGCTGTCAGACAGGGACATTTAAGTCTGCAGAAGTTGTCTGCTGCCTTTTGTTCAGCTATGCCCTGCTCACAGAGGTGGAGTGTATAGAGGCAGTAGGCCTTGCTGAGCTGTGGTGGGCTCTGCCCAGTTCGAGCTTCCTGGCTGCTTCGTTTACCTACTCAAGCCTCAGCAATGGCAGACGCCCCTCTTCCTGCCAGGCTGCCGCCTTGCAATTCGATCTCAGACTGCTGCTCCAGCAGTGAGCAAGGCTCCGTGGGCCTGGGACCCGCTGAGGCAGGCACAGGAGAGAATCTCCTTGTCTGCCAGTTGCTAAGACCTTGGGAAAAGCGCAGTATTTGGGCGGAAGTTTCTCCTTTTTCCAGGTACAGTCTGTCACGGCTTCCCGTGGCTAGGAAAGGGAAATCCCCCGACCCCTTGTGCTTCCTGGGTGAGGTGATGCCCCACCCTGCTTTGGCTCACCCTCCATGGGCTGCACGCACTGTTCAACCAGTCCCAGTGAGATGAACCAGGTACCTCATCTGGAAATGCAGAAATCACCCGTCTTCTGTGTCAATCATGCTGGGAGCTGCAGACCAGAGCTGTTCCTATTTGGCCATCTTGGAATGGACTCCCCAATTTTGGTAGGATTTTCAAACAGCAATGGAGGGACTTATTTCTTGTGAATATACATGAATCTCTTTCATAAACAAAGAGCATTAGAGATGTTAAGAAGAGTTACAACTAAATACTGATTTTATTTCTGTTGCTTTACTGAGTTCATCTTTAGAAATGCTACCCTTTAGTGACTACAAAATACTTCAGTATTCATAAGAAACATGACTCTCGGCTGGGCGCGGTGGCTCACACCTGTAATCCCAGCACTTTGGGAGGCCAAGGCAGGTGGATCATGAGGTCAGGAGATCGAGATCATCCTGGCAAACACAGTGAAACCCCATCTCTACTAAAAATACAAAAAATTAGCCGGGCATGGTGGCAGGCGCCTGTAGTCCCAGCTACTCGGGAGGCTGAGGAAGGAGAATGGCATGAACCCGGGAGGCGGAGCTTGCAGTGAGCCAAGATCGCGCCACTGCACTCCAGCCTGGGCAACAGAGCGAGACTCCATCTCAAAAAAAAAAAGGAAACATGACTCTCAAAGTGGGACAGCCATCAGAAGCAAGATGACATTGAGGTGAAGAGGTTAAATCTACCATTTGCCACAAGGTATGGCCCGTCTTACTCTTTCAACACACACACACATGCATGTGCACACCACTTAACCCCACTCAGAACCACCACACATAGTAAGGACGCCTCAGCAGACCTTGTTGCATCTCTAGGATTTTTATGCACTGACTTAGCAGAATCTCAAGAAGGCCTTGCCAAGTGCACTCGATGGTTCGGTTCATGGGATTACAATATACTGTTCTTTTCAAAAAGGGACAAGAAAGAAAAATATGTTGCCAGGCACATGTTTTCTGATGAGAAATAAAGCAAATGCTCTTGAACAGAATGTCTTAGGGAAGCTAGTCATGTACAGATGGTTTCCTTGATAATTATAAATGGCTTCATTTATGAGATTATTATTAACATTCTAATTCACTTCACTTTTGCAATTAGCGTAATTAGGGGTAGTCACATTAAGGCAATGATATCAAATATATGATGTATAAGCTGCATTTTAAATGATTATTCAGGCTAACTCAGAATGGAAATATTTCCAAGGCACTGTATTGTTTAGGGAGACTTGATGCCTGAGGGATATTTCAAAAAGGAAAAAAAAAAACCTACTCATTACCTAATTTTTGGACTAGTCAGACCTTTTACATAATAACAAAGAGTTAGAGGGTCTTTAAATTTGAGCTAGCCTTAGTACATCAGTTTGGAGTCCAGGTGTCACTCATTGTTAAGTTGTTTATTGCGCTCCACTTGTTGTTTTGTAACTTTCTGCTCTGACTTTAGAAACCAAGCCCACCATGTGTGACCCTTATGAGAAATTCTCTAAAGATTCACCTACCAAAGTTGGTGTAACTCCTTTTTAAATGGTAAAATAACCAGCTTTGCAATGCCAACTACCATAAAGGAAAGGTCACTTATTTTCATGGTGCAGGTTTAAATGTTTAGGCTGCAGGGGTCTGTAAATAATCTTTTATTTCTTCCTCCAAATTTAGATCACAGTCCAAGTGGCCATCACGCAATGAAGTACATTATGATCGAAGAGTGGAGGTTGGCCACTGGCAAAGCAAATCCCTGCAGCTTACAGATCTCAAACCTACGCTGGTGTTGTATCTTTGTGAGTGCTCTTAAATCTGGGTCAGTTTGGAAGAAAAAGTCATCCAATCACTTTGAGAAGAGGGAGCAAACAAAATTGCACCACACTTAGGTTACACTTAGAAAGCAATTTATAATGCTCACATTACAATGGGAAAAGAAAAATAATTATGTGCATGTAAAGGATGTACACTTATTTTTAAATTCTAAGTGATTGAAAAGTCAGCTTGTGGCATGCTGTAAATGCTCTGGAGGCATGAACAGGTGGTAGATAATTTTGAAGTGTAAAGAACAAGTGTATTTTGACCTCTACTTTATTTCTCCCAGTAGTAGACTAAATAATGTCCCTCCAACTCCCCCAAACGTCCATGTCCTAATTACCAGAACCTATGAATATGTTACCTTACAAAAGAGACTTTTCAGATGTGAAGAAGCTGGGAAAGGCATGAAATGTATATTCTCCCCTAGAAAGTCCAGAAGGAATGCAGCCCTACTAGCCTACTGTTGACTTGTGACCTCCAGAACCGTAAGAGGTAAATTTGTGTTGTTTGCAGTACCATTAAGTTTGTGATAATTTGCTATAGCAACAGTAGAAAACTAACGTACTCCAGCTGTTAAGAAAGTCTTGGGTTGAGGATGGTTAACTCTTTTCTGAGGCTACAAACCAGACTGGAGAGTCTCTGTTAGAAAGCCATGACAAATGTGCCCACAGAAACTGGGACCCAAGAGAGATACAGTCTTCTATGTATTGTTGAGGCAGCTGGAGTAAATTGCAGGGCTATTGAGGTAACTGAGGTCTGCCTGAATCTGGCTCAGAGCTCTTGAGAAGCCAGAGCTGACATTAAACACAGAAAGCACCTACTGCAGAACTGCTGTGCACCATTAGGTAACGTATGTAGATTACAGACAGCACAGTCTCCAGTTTCTAGAACACAGCTTTTCTTTTTGCCCTGTTCTCCCTCTGAAAATCACGAGCCAGAACCGGCTGCATGTCAACATTTACCCCTGAATAAATTAAAGACGCTGAAGATGTAACCATCATGCATAATGAATATTACTGACCACATACATAGCACCCGTTTGTCTCTTCTTCCTTCTTAACAGAACCCTGCTTTTGCACAGTTTTCTGCCTCTCCAACTTACAGCCTATGCTCCTCAGGAATGTAAAATGACCCAAACTTATTTCAAAAATAGACCCTGTTGACTTAAGTCAACTAGCATGTTCCATTTTCTAGGTCACACTCTGGTACACGAATTGGCCTGTGACCAAGTTTTTGTAATCAAAAGTGATCTCGGGATCCTTGCTTGCAATACCAGGGCAGGATAAACTTTCTCACTTTTCCCTTGGACACTGTAGTGCACGGATATGAGGCCCAGAACTGCAGCCACCATCTTTCTGCCAGCTCGAGGGCAAAGCTGGAACAAGAAGCAAGATGACTGCCTGGAGAGTGAGCAGAGCCACTGGATGAACTCAGTCCTTGGCTGGCTCCATCGCTAAACTCACAGATGTCAGCCAGTGAAATCTGTTAATGGCTATTCTACCTGAGTTGGGCTTCCTGTTGCTCGTTTGCTGAACGCATCTGAAAAGATAAATGTGGAGATGAAGTTCTTATGATCTATGCTTTGTATACTCATTTCAGAAGCTGAGGTATACAAACTTCCAAGTACCAGGACATCCAGCTGAGCACTATTTTATTTAATCCTTATATTCCCTAGCCCCCACTCAGCAGGATAGGAGCTACTATTATTCTCATTTTTCATATAGAGAAACTGAAATATACAGAGGTTAAGGAAGTTGCCTAATATTACAATCAATTAGTGAATGTCAGAGTTTGGATTCAAACCCATGCTGCTGGAATCTAAGCACATCTACCTGACCATCTGAGAGCTGTTTACTCTCAATAGCTCCATAAAACTCAGAAAAACAGTTATCTTTATTAATGCTTTAACTTTATATTATAATATCTAGATGATGCTCTTTTAATAAACCATAAAATGGATTCAGAAATAAAATCTCCCAAATCATAAAGCTTTAGTTCTTTTTCTGACTCTCAGCTGGGCAGATTACTCATTTTCCCAGAGCCTTGATTTCTTCACCAATAAAATGAAATTAGCAATACAAAATTTATGTTGAAGAAAATGAATGTAAGTGTGGTATGGGAACAAGAGTACTGGTCAGGGAATAAGAGTCCTTTGTTCTAGTTCTGGCTATGTGACCTTGGGCAAGTCACCTACCTCTCTGTGTCTCTGTGCCCTTCTATGAAGTCAAGTCACTTGTGGCTTAATATTCCATGGTTCTATTTCTATCTGACCCATGGAGCTCTTGAAAGGGTTGTGTCAGTTTACTAAAATGGCAAATGAAAGCCTTTGGCTTCATTGGGTTAAATTAATGAGCATCAAGAATTTTACCACCACATTTTAATGCCCTATTTTGATGGTACCCAGCTTGCTTTTCCTAACAGTAAAACCTGAGGATGAAGAAATAAAATCTCAAAATTCCAGTGGTTACTCACTATGGTGAGTAAGTGGCCATTATCAAAGCATCACTGCACATCACTAAACATTTACAGCGAGGAGATGAGCTGTGGCAACTTGATGGCCTTTTTGATGACTGTCCTGATTGCTGGCAGAGAAATGAAGCTTCCTGTGTCAGGGGTCAGGTGATGCAATAACACCCTCTAGATTTAGTAGGGAAGATTTACAGGGGGCGGGGGGGAGGGGAACTCATGCCCTCTGTGGTCTGTGCCCTAGAGCATCCTCTAGGCCAAAAGTCTGATCTGAATTACAAAGTCATCAAGTATCTACTACTTATTAGCAGAGAAGGTCAGGGAAAAAGTTAAATCCATGGACTTCAAGAGGACTTTTGAAGAATTCATCATGCAAATTTCTCTGTGCTTCCCCAGGGCCTCTCTGGCCCAGGTTGTGCAGTAGGTACCATTTTGGCCTCATTTTGCTAGAACAAGGATGTTGTGATTACTCAGAATAAAGTTACAAGGCTCTCTGCAGTCAAAGGAAAAACCTGTGAAGATAACCCGGAGCATTGTTCTTGGGTGATAAGAAGAACTGCTCTGTTTACAGCATGTTATCAGGGCACAGGAACAGGCACTGGCTGTCAGACCCCTCGAGGCGCGTGATGGTATAGGGCTGGCCCCAGGCTCCACAGGAAACAGCAGGACACATCTCAGGTCTGTATTTAATTTTTGGGTATGTACACTTCTATCTTTCTATATCGGCTTCCTTGGCTGAAGAATAAAAGTTCAAACTGCCTTCTAGAACATCCTACCTCTCATTATCATAATGTATTAGTCCATTCTCACACTGCTATAAAGAACTACCTGAGATTGCATAATTTATGAAGAAGAGAGGTTTAATTGACTCACAATTCTGCAGGCTGTACAGGAAGCATGGCTGGGAGGCCTCAGAAAACTTACAATTGTGGTGGAAGGCAGAGGGGAAGCAAGCACATCTTATCATGGCAGAGCAGGAGAGAGAGAGTGCGTATGAAGGGGGAAGAACTATACACTTTCAAACAACCAGATCTTGTGGGAACTCTATTATGAGAACAGCATGGGGGAAGTCTCCCCCCCATGATTCAGTCATCTCCCACCAGGCCCCTGCTTCAACACGTGGGGATTACAATTCGACATGAGATTTGTGTGGGGACACAGAGCCAAACCATATCAAATAGTATAGCCAACATTTACTAAGAGCTTCCTGTGTCCGACTCTTTATTACTGTGCCTGAATGATCATTCAATCCTCATCATTACCATGTAAAAACTGACAAGACAGGTGTGGCATGGACGGAATTTCCCCAACGATGATGGCCCTTCTTAACCCAAGCCTCACTTTATGGTTTCTTTAGGCAAAGCAACGCTTCAATTGAATAAACAAATCTAAGTTCCTATAAATAGGTGGTGTCCAGAAGGCGTAGTGGATATGGAGCCTCCTGACTCTATCCGTGATTGGCTGTGAATCCCACAAAACTGCCCCAGTCATACTGGCCCACAGAGCTTGGCTCTCAGGACAGGCTGTGTCTAGATAGGCTCGTGACAGGTGTGTATTTCTGCTAAATCTGTTTCTAAATTTCCCTCCGTCTGTGGTTTTCTACCTTGAGCAGAGCCTCCACATCTCTAAGGATGGAGACAAGAGCAGAAGCAAAATGCTTCACTCCCAGAACTGCTTCCCTAGCCAGACAGATACAGATACCCATATCTGACAGAGGCAGCCCTGCAAGCCAGTAAGACTGTGTTTGCAGCCTGATTCTGCCAGTCCTGCTCTAGAGTCCCAAGGGGTTTCATCCATCAGACTAAGATAATTAGCCTGTTTTTGAAATCTGTCAACCAGCCTCATAATCAGTTTTTCAATACATGTAGGCGATTAAATGACCGATGATGATGGTGGGGAAAAGAGCACAGTGAGGACAGAGGGCGTCTGCTGATGTGTTAGGGAGAGATGCCTCTGAAATAAAGATGAGGCAGAGATGGCACAGCGAAGGACTCAGGGACCTCGGGCCTCTGTCTTCACTCAGCTGGGAAAGTCATCGAATTGCTTTTTAGTTTCAATATAGAGAATAAGTGATTATGAGGCAAGCCACTGGCCATGTACCCTAAACATCCATGCTTCCCTATCCCCCTCTCTCCATCCCCATGGCCCCCTTTCCAGGCATCCCTGCCCGGTGCTCTGGAAAGAGTGTGGGTCCGGGATACGGAATGCAATTCAGATCTTGGCCTTTTTCTTACTTGTTGCAAGACTTTGTCCGAATTATTTTTCTACCCTCAGGCTTAGTTGCCTAGTGCATAAAATGGGAGCCTAGAGGTCACTATACTTGGTTGCTTGTTGCGAGAATAAAATCAAACGAGGTAAGGTGAAGTGCCAAGCGCAGTACCGGGCACAAAGGAGGTACTCAATTAAGTGTTCGACTTTCTCTCTCCTGAGAACCAAACTCTCTTCCCCATCACTAAAGCACAGGCTACCAAAAGAGAGGGCCTGACAATGATTGATTCAACAGATCACAGAATACTTTTTAAGCATCGATTACTGTGAAGCACCATTCCAGGAGCCCAATACAATGAGTTTTTATGCCTGCTTTGCCACCTGTGAGGTAGGCAAGTTGCTTAACACCTCGGAGTCCCCGTTTCCTCATCTCTAAGCTAGGACTAATGATATCTGTTTTGTTTGCCATGCAGGGTGTCAAGGCAAATCAGACTGTGTGGAAAAAATCTTCTTGCAACCTCTATGGAGCTAAATAAAAGTAAAGTTCTGCCCTTGTTCCCACACTGACCCCATCTGCATGTCCATTATGCACTTGACCATCTCTCAGGCGACTATAATGCTCTCTTTAATGCCTTGTTCTTCTTCACATTTCTAACTGGGTGCCAGGATATGGCAACCCTACCTCTAACATGTCTGACACCTCAAAAATACTTTTTGTTGTCACCACCTTTTCTATTGCTGCTGTGACAAATTACCACAAACTTAGTGGCTTAAAACAACAGAAATTTCCGGTCCTATGATTCTATAGATGAGAAGTCTGCCCCAGATCTAGACTGAAATCAAGGTGTGACAAGGTGCAATCCTTTCTGAAGGCTCTGGGAGACAATCCATTTCCTTGCCTTTTTTTTTTTTTTACCTTCTAGAGGCAGCGTACATTTGTTGGCTCATGACCCCTTCCTTCAGGAAATTTAAGCCACACCCTTTTCATGTTGCATATCTCTGGCTCTCTTCTGTCAATCTCTCTCACTCTTGAGAACCCTTGGGATTACTTTGGGTCAACTCCAATAATCGAGATTTCCTGATTAGCACTCTTAATTCCATCTGCATTTTTTTTGACCATTTAACCTAACATATCCACAGGTTCTAGGAATTGGGATGTGAACATCTTTGGGGGGCAATTATCCTGGCTACCATACCAGCCTTATTCAAGTCCTCAGAACCTCTCACCCAGAGCACTGCGATGAAATCCTAATGGATGCTCCTGTTCCCAATGTCTCCCTGCTGCAGGGAGGGCTACACAAAGCTGGTAAGGGCTAAATCATTAATTAAAAGACTATTGTCTTGCTAAAGCAGCTTGATTTGTGCCTAAGATGGCAAGTAATCAACAAACGATAGCCAAAAAATAGTTAAAATTAAGCGCTTACTATATGCCAGACACACATTTAAGCAATTTGCACATATTAACTAATGTAATGCTTATATCAACCCAATGAGGTAAGTATGTATATGCCATGTCCATTTTATAGATGAGAAAACTGAGGCACAGAGAAGCTGTCTCATGCTCAGTCTCCTGGATATCATGAATTTTGGGAGAAGTTAATAACTTAAGACTAGGTAGCCTAACTCCGGAGCCCTGTGCTCATAACTATCTCAGTACTGTTAAGTAAATTAATCATTTAGTCCTTAAGCCGTTTCACAGCCATTGCCTATAGGGGGCAGGATGTTATTACATAAGTGACAAGGATGGGCGTTGAATTCAGGTTGACAAAGTTTTGAAGTTTTATGCCACCTCTGTGTGATTTTGGAAAGTTACTTACTCTGTCTTTACTTCAGTTTCAATTGTAAAATAGAAATAGAATTGTGTATTACAGATTGTTCTCATGAGAATTAAACGAGGTAATATTTATGGAAGTGCTCAAGACAATGCTCAGGACAAAGTGGGTACCACGTAAGTGTTAGCCCCTCCCTCCCCACAACTGGGAGACCAAATATTACAAAATACATGGGCATAACAAAGAGTAACACTCTAAGCCTGCATACGGTTTAGCTGCTGGATTTTTGAGACAGAATTTTCGCTCTGTCACCCAGGCCGGACTGCAGTGGCACTATCTCGGCTCACTGCAAGCTCCGCCTCCTGGGTTCACCCCATTCTCCTGCTTCAGCCTCCCCAGTAACTGGGACTATAGCCACTGGATTTTTCAAGATGTTCTATATTCTAACACCACTCTTTTTTTTTTTTTTTTCCATTCTGACCCATTCTATTCTTTTTATAATTCAGCCATTCTCAACTTGTTGCCACTCCTGTATATGACATGAACTTTGCTGCACATGGGCCTTTGTTGAAGCAGCTTTTTTTTTTTTTTTCATTAAAAATGCCTTTTCCTTCTTATTTTATCCATCCATCTACATTCTTCACAGACAATTTCCCAATCTCCTCCTCTGGCCACCTACTGTATTTTGTCTGTACTTTTATTACAATACATCCAACCTCATGATTATTTTGAGTTGCCTAGCCATACCCATTTCCTCCTTTTTCTGAAAGGTCCCTGTTTTCTTCTTTTTTATGAGCCTCAAGTAACCAATATTCAGTTGGAGGTCAAAAAGATTTGTGCCATAGAGCTGAGTGTGGAAACAAGTACGACATGTTCCCTGCATTAAGACCTGGTGAGGAAAACAAACACATATACAAGTACCTCACATAACGTGGAAAGTCATACATACACTACTAGAAATTCCACAATATGGAAGGGGTAGAGGGAAAAAGAATGAGTTTGAAAGACTTCACAGAGGAGGTGTTTGTGTGTGTGTGTGTTTAGGGAGAGGCTCTTTGGAGAGAATTTAGAGAAGAGGCTTAGAAATACTGCCTGAGCTCTGCAGATGTACTTACTACTAAGTTATCTCACTTTGCATGTGCGTATTTGTGTTGAGGGGCTAGGACTTATTTCGTATAGATGTTTTCTTCTTCTCAGCACTAAACATGCTACAGCATTTAGCTGGGAGAGAATTTTGGTTTAGGGCTCCTAGGCTGTTCAGTGAATAGGCAAGAGGTAACATACGTAAGGACTTTGGGGCTTGACAGGTTCAAGGTCACCTCCAGTTCTGGTCTTCATTAGGAGAAGAGTGGCAGGGGAGAGCAGGCACTATTCAAGGCCAAGAGTGCCACCTAATCTCTGCGAGAGGTAACATTCTGTGGCAAACAGCACAGGGCTAAAGACAGAAGAGGGATGTTCACCTCCTTCAGAAAGACTCAGCCATGCTCACCTATAACTCAGTTCTTAACCGATGCCACCCAAAGCTGAATTGCAATGGGTCATCTCAAGACCTCTAAGCATAGAGATAAGATGCCAGCGTGGAGCTTCCTTCTCCCATGGGGAAAGCATTCAACAAATGGCAGAGATCAAGAATTTACCGAATTTTAATCTGTAAAATTTGACAGATGGTTTTTATTTTGTTAATTTTAGAATTTAGGAGAAATAGATGGTCAGCCTCTTCTGGAAGAATAATTCAATGCCTATATATTTACATTGAAGGAAATGCTGCTTAAACTGCAGCGTTGGAAAAGTACTGGCCAGAAGGAACAAGCAAAACATTTTCTAGGGAATTTTCTGGATGGAGATACGAAAAAAAAGTGACTTAGTACAGTGGCTACTATTGTTAGATTTTTTCACTTGTTCATTATCATTTGATCCTTTGATAATATTGTAACAGCTTTCATTAACAATATGGCTTGGAGTTAATTTAGGCAAATCCCTTCAACATTGAGCCAGCTAGCAGATTTCAGAATGTGAGTTTCAGGACACTGTTGCTCTCTCTTTCCTAGAAAAGTTGTGGCTTCTCTGCAGGTCATTGGCCAACATCAACTGCTCACAGCAGAGGGACTGCGGGGTGAGCCCACCACCACCTTATCTGAAAATGATTCAGATCCTTGGTTTGGTGAACTTTTAAATGTTAAAACATTGAATTCCGTTGGGTTCAGATTTTGAGTCAAAACAGTGAGATATCTCACAGATGTAGTAGGCAAGATAAAAAGAGTGATTTTAAAAAGCCATTCCAAATGTGTTTGTAGCTCATGGTATGTATGCTGGTAAGTTCTTTGGCAAGGGTACAGTGGAGAAGCACAGCACAATACAAAGAGACAGAAGACCTGCCTTCAAGCCATAGCTTTACTCACTTTACGTACCTTAGGTTGGTGACAATCAGACACCCGGACGTTTTTCTGGAACGGGTAAGGGTAGAAAGAATAAACAAGTACCCCTTAATTCTTCTGAGTCCTGCTTCCCCCAACTATACAATGGAGGAGTGTAGAAAACTAACAGCAGTAAATGAATATGTGTGGAAGTATTCAGTAAACTGCCAATTCATTGTATAACGTTTCTAACACTATCTACACTTTTATTATTTCATCAAATGCAAGGGTAATAGAAATCAGATACGCAATAGCATGAACAAAATTACCAATAATTTAAAGGATTTTGACCCTTTAATGCATATGGTTCTGTAATCAGCAACCTTGTCTCCATCTGATCATATTAAAAACAATTTATGGGGGTGGTGGTTGTTAAACCACTCTCTAGAATTTATTTTAAAATGCCAGGCTTGAGTGAGGGGATTCATCATGTCTGGAACATTCAGCAGAGAAGCCAAACATGCCTGATCACCTCAACCATTTCGTCTATTTCTGGGATCCCAAGATAGAGTACTTATGACACGAAACGTGAACCTCTCATAACTCCTCCTGTGGAAGGGAAGAAGCATGAGGTGAAGACACGCAGTCTCATACAGGGCTGGCCTCTCGGGTGTGCGTGTTTTGCCAAGACAGACAGAATGTGGTCTGTGTGCCTGAGGCCTGAGGTAGCGGGGCTGCAGACTGCAATCCTTGGTGCCCGAACACCATTCACAGATGTAGGGGGAGGCTTCACAGAGGCAGGTGACAAGTGACTTCATCTGACTGACTCCATTTACCTCACATGAAATGGTCACCTGGTGGGACCCCACCCCCCGCCAGCCATGACAAACTCTCTGTTAAAAAGAAGGTGGGAAAGGGCCAGCTGTGGTGGCTCATGCCTGTAATCCCAGCACTTTGGGAGGCTGAGGAGGGCAGACTGCTTGAGGTCAAAAGTTCGAGACCAACCTGGCCAACATGATGAAACCCTGTCTCTACTAAAAATACAAAAATTAGCCAGACATGGTGGCGCATGCCTGTAATCCCAGCTATTTGGGAGGCTGAGGCAGGAGAATCGCTTGAACCGTGAGGTGGAGGTTGCAGTGAGTGGAGATCACACCACTGCACTCCAGCCTGGGTGACAGAGCAAGACCCTGTCTCAGGAAAAAAAAAAAAAAAAAAAAAAAAGAAAAAGAAGGTGGGAAAGAAGCAACCACTTTCAAAAGAGACTCTCAGCAGGTGATATAGGAGACATATGGGTAACTCAGCCTATTTTCAGTTCTCCTTTGGCGGTAACCACAAAGGGAGCCTAAACTCACGTTTTTGTGGCTTTAGAGTGCTGCTGGCACATCCTCACAAAAGACCCGCCCTTTCCAGAGTGACTGATGGAACTACCCTATCAAGGGTTGCCATTGCCAAGTCCCCCATACACTCTTCCAGAGGTTTCAATACTTCCGATGACAAATGGTGAGATTTGTTCCCTTCAGAGATATTCTGACAAAGTTGAAAGGTCGATATAAAGGGCAGTAAGGGCAGTAAGATGTATGAACCCCAAAGTAGTGTTTTCAGACAAACTGATCCTATCTTGACAGTCAATTGCTCTAGTCTACGATTTGAAAGGGTGTTCCAAGATGGATAGGAATAGGTAACAAGATAAAAAGCAACGATATTAAACCTGAGAAATTCCTTCTTCTTTAAACAAATGATAAATTTGCTGAATCTGTACCAAGGAGTAGACTGATTATATATAATACTCAGACAAGACAATCTTCCTCTTGAAATTTCATGTCCTAGAGATAGTCTAACAGCCCTGCAGAACAAGTTATAATCTTGTTTCATCATGGGTCAAAACGGTAGGAGTCATCTATAGTATAAGGATTAGAGAGATAAATCTAGACAAAGCTCGGCATTGTTGAAAAATAGGAAGTCAAAGTTTCTAGGATGCTACATTTTCAAAAATCATACCCCAAATCCAAAAACAACCCCCCCAAACTCATATCCTATATCCTTTACAAACTCTCTTTTATTATTATTTTATTTTCTCTCTGGGGCAATTTTCAATGCTAAGGAACCACAAAGGGAAGTGACAGAAACAATAATCGTTAAGAAACAATAATGGTTAAAAGAGGAAGACTATGGAAACCTAAAAGAAGAACAGACATGTATTTACAGGCACCTCTAAGTAGAACACGACAGCAAGAACAGACACCAAGCAACCCATCTCAGGTTTCAGGACAGTATGAAAGTAAGTTTCTTCAATCAGAAGAAAGGCAGAACCCAAAATACGTAACTGAACCACCAGCAATTATAACATACTGCCCAGATGCTTTCTTTGAAGTTAAGCAGCCCCTATCTATCTTACAGTATTTGTTTAAAAAAAGTTACATTAATTAAGTCTTAGAAGAGCACACTGTCATTTAAAGGCAATGTCACTTACTGGGGCATCTCTCCTCCTCCTCCGTCGGCTGCTCCTTCTCTGGCTTGGGTGGGCCTTTGATTTTGTAAACCAAGGCACAGAGTTTTCCTGTCCAGGAGGTGTCCTCCTCCTCCTCTTCCTCTTCTTCCAAAGGAACCCCTAGCAAGCCACAGAACAGGGTGAAAATCCAAAGCAGTGCATGAAACCATCATAGTGTCACAAAGAACATTTAAAAAACTGCTTCCCATCCTTCTGGAACTTTCTAAAGATACTACAGGCTTTCTAAAGATACTATTCTCGTGAATAGTTACCTATCTTATAGCTTTTGAAAAAAAAAATATTGATTTCCTGTTTATCAGAACAACAAGTAAGTTTAATCCTAAAACATGTGTTTTGAATCTGTACCCCCAAAACCTCTGAAAGAGTGTAAGGGGGATTACATACACTCTTATAGTGTTGAAACCTCTGGAAGAATGTTTGGGGGACGTGGCCCTAGAATCTGTAGAAGAAGTTAACAATGAGTTATTTCAAATGAAAAGCTTGTCAATTACCCATATATTATTAAACCTACCCATGTACAAGCAACACAAATGCTGAGAGCTGCTTAAAACCAGTAGGTACGTATCCAAGTAGAGATTGCTGGCTGAGAAGCCTTAAGGGCAGAAGTTACTAAACACACACACACACACACACACACCACACACACCCACACACCCACACCCCCCCCCCCCCCCACACACACACACCCCTAATAGCTAAAAAGCAAAGAGATCAGAATCTTGTCTCACCTGGAAGCTGAGAGTCCCAACTAACTTTAAGCAAATTAGGTGAGGTTTATATAAGGATCAGTTGTCTTCATTCTTTTGCTAGAAACCCTGTTTCCTCTCTATATCTCAGCACAGGCTCTTTTAGGTAGAAGGAATTTTGGTCATATATTCTGTCAGGGTTACTTCCTGTATCTTTTCTGACACAAGTAGCTAGGATAGTCACGTCTTGAAAGACAGTATTGCAATTTTAAATACAAAAATAACTTCCCAACCTCCCACTAGCTTTCTAATGAAGGAATCAAAAACAGACTCTTCTTGTAAAAAAAGGACAAAGCCTTTCTCTGGGCAGCTTACCACAGTGAAGGAGAAGGTCCTCATGGAAATCATACAGCTCCTCCCGAATCTCCTCTGGGCAGGGGCAGTTCTCTCCCAGTTGAAAGTTAAGCAGCATGTTGATCTTTGAGAGGCAAGAGAAGAATAGCTAGTTGGTTCTCAATGTTGGCCAAGGGAACTCAGATCCTGCCTTAGACAGACACTTACATTCTTTTCAAATTTATTTTACTTAGTGATTTTTTTTTTTTTGGTAAAAGTGGCCAATATTTACAAGTAGCTTTCACCTTTTCCTGATTCTAAAAGTAACTTATTAATTGTATAACATTTGGAAAATACCTAAATAAGAAAATTTACTGTGATTCCACCACCCCGAGATAACTACTGTTAATATTTTAGCTAATGTCTTCCTGACATTATGTAGGTATACGCACAGAATGGGATCACATTCCAGATACACCTTTTAAAAACCAGAGTTTTCCACTTAATGTTACTTGAACATTTTCTTACTTTCTTAATCCAATTTTTAATAGGTGCATTGTAATTATATGGAAGAATTATAATTTATGTAAAATTAACTCTGTTATGACATATTTGTTTCTATTATTTGTCCTTATAAAGCTGGTTTGAGTTTCCTTTAAAATAATTTTTTTTCATGTCTCTGATTATTTTCTTAGAATAAACTCCCAGAAGCAAAATGACTAGAGGAACAGGTTTGCATATTTTAATGTTTTTTTATATGAATTTACAAATTGCCCTTCAGAAAGCTTACAATTTGCATTATTAACAAGTTTATACAAGTGTGTATTACTATGCCATCTTCGTTACAGTAATAAGAGTTAACACATTTTCAAATATTTTCAATTGAATGGGTGAAAAATGTCCTATCCCTGTTGCTTTAATTTATGCTTAATTGGTGAGGTTGAAATTTGTTTTTTCACACATAAAGATTAATTTTATTTTGTATTTCATAAATTTCCCATCCATGTTTTTCCTCTATTTTTCTACTGGGTAATTATCTTTAAAAAATTTGCCCCTGAGTGCTTTGGACACCTCTAGATTTTTAACTTTTTATATACTTTTATACTCTACATGTATTGGCCCAGCTTTTGGTCAGCTTTTAATTTTGTCTACAAGTTTTTTTGTTTGTTTGTTTGTTTTTTTGAGACAGAGTCTCGCTCTGTTGCCCAGGCTGGAGTGCAGTGGCACAATCCCGGCTCACTGCAAGCTCCGCCTCCCGGGTTCACGCCATTCTCCTGCCTCAGCCTCCCGAGTAGCTGGGACCACAGGCGCCCGCCAACACGCCCGGCTGATTTCTTTTTTTTTTTTGTATTTTCAGTATTTTTAGTAGAGAGGGGGTTTCATGCCAATCTATCATTCTTTTTAGTTTTTGTCTCAGGGATTTTTTTTTTTTTTTCAAGACTGAGTCTTGCTTTGTTGCCCAGGCTGGAATGCAATGGTGCAATCTTGGCTCACTGCAACCTCCACCACCTGGGTTAAAGTGATTCTCCTGCCTCAGGGTGCCGAGTAGCTGGGATTACAGGTGCGCACCACCGCACTCAGCTAATTTCTTGTATTTTTAGTAGAGATGGGGTTTCACCATGTTGGCCAGGCTGATCTAGAACTCCTGACCTTGTGATCCACCTGCCTTGGCCTCCCAAAGTGCTAGGATTACAGGCATGAGCCACCGCGCCGGGCCTGACTCAGGGATTTTTAGTAGTTTTTGTGCTATGGACCCCTCTGACAGTCTGGTGAAACCCATGGATTGCTTCTCTGATTAATATTTTAAATGCACAAAATAAAATACATAGGACTACAAAGAGAAATAATTATACTGTAATACAGGTATCAAAACTATAGAAATCAAATTTGTGATGTAGTAACGTATGTACTTATTAACTCATTAGAGAAAATGATCTAGTGGCAGGTCTTATATCTATCCACTGTGGTCTTGAAGTAGTAAGGAATGAAAATGATCTTTCTAGATACCGTAACCACTGTAATGTGACATGAAAAAATGTGCAATTTTGGTTGGTGTCAAAGTCAGGTACTTGTTTTGCTGCCAATATTAAAATAAGAAAAGAAATGCTATCAGAGATCAGTGAAAATAAAGCTGTCATTCATTTTCCACTCAGGTTCCTGGATCTCTGAATTCTGCCTATAGGGCCACGACCCCAGGTCATTGAACACCTGGAGTGACAGAAGAAATAACCAGAGGTAAACATTTTGCTGCCTCAGCCAGGATAACCCAAACTCCTTTTGTTTAGGATTTCTAGGTTGGAAAAATTTGCAATCTCTTATTAAATCATGAACCTTGTGTAGCATTGTTAGGAGGAACTCTACACAAAGATCTTACTGCAAACCATATTTTGCAAGTAGGTAGAGGTATTGTTTGTAAGAAAAAATATCCACAGAACAGGTTGGGTCACGTTTGTGGTTTTTCTGTGAGGTTAAATTACAGTAATTATATTAACAACATATGCTGATTTGTTGTCGATTAAATAAAAATAAGATTTGAAGATCTGGTTTCTGAGTTAGAAAATGAATTTCTTTACTAAAAGATCTTTCCTTTGGCAGAACATTTAGGAAGCAGGGGCTTCCTTGCCTGTAGGACATACAACAGAAAGCTGGGTTGAGCTGAATTTTCCACTGCAGGTCATGCCCTTTAATAACGTCCTCTTGGAAGTGAAAGGCCAGCTGGCTATGCTTGGCTAACTTGCCAGCAACCCTTGGACTAATCTCAGTTTTACCTTCTTTTGTACTTAGTTATATCCCCCATTTTCTTCCATCTCCCTGAATACTCTCTGGACATAGGGCTTAAAAATCTGTTTTCTCTTCAAAGGTTGTAGAAGGATATCACTGTTTTAAAATTGTAATTTTCAGGCATCCTATTTTCTAAGTGATTTTGCATTGCTATTCTCTGAAATTGATCTAAATCCACCATATCCTTTGATGACATTAAATCTTCTGATATTGATGACTCTATGGGTAGGTGCCTTGTAGAAGTGAATACTCTGAGAGGGATGGCAGGGGGACAGCTGAATCTCATAGCGGTAAGTGTCCCTTCTTTCATTTTTATTCTCAGACCAGCAGTATCAGCATTACCTGAAAACTTGCTAAAAATGCAAAAGCTTAGGCCTCACCCTAGACATACCGTATTAGAAACCCTAGGAGTGAGGCTGGGCACAGTGGCTCACACCTGTAATCCCAGCACTTGGGGAAGCTGAGGCAGGTGGAGCTTGAGGTCAGGAGTTCGAGACCAGCCTGCCCAATATGGGGAAACCCACCCCTCTACTAAAAATACAAAAATTAGTTGGTCATGGTGGTGCATGCCTGTAGTCCCAGCTACTTGGGAGGCTGAGGCATGAGAATCACTTGAACCCAGGAAGCAGAGGTTGCAGTAAGCTGATACCATGCCACTGCATCCCAGCCTGCATGACAGAGTGAGACTCTGTCACAAAAAAGAAACCCTAGGGGTGAAACCAAGCAATCTGTGTTTTATTAAGCCCTTTAGATGATTCTGATGCTTGCTCAAGAATCACTGGTCTAATACATTAGTGAAGAATTTCTTGAGTTACTGACTTCTGAAATGAGTCTGAAATGATTGATCAGAGGATTGCTTAGAATACTAAAGGATGGTACATACTCATCATCCCTTTGCTAGATGTAAAATGAGAAAGTCTTTTGGATTGACTGGAAAAGATTATTTGCACTGTGCCAAATGCACAGGTATGCTGTTTTGTCAGGAACTACTCTTGAAGGCTTTACAAATGTTGTCAAGCTGCTTTTAGACTGGCAGTGGATCTAAATGGTAGCCCAAGAGACAGCAGAAGGTATGGAGGCAGAATGGGGAAAGGAAGTGTGTGAGTAAACCTTGTCCTTCCCAAGATGTGGAACCATGAGCAGCTATATCCACGAGGACAGTGTTGGGTGGGCAACCCCAGTCTTGGCTGGGAGAAAGAGATGCCAGAAAACATGTGTGAACTCCACTCATCGGGTCACTGATAGAAGGTCACAGAGCCTGTCATGAAGCAATTGCAAATATCTCCAACAATAAAAGTAATAGTAGCTCGCTTAGTACTTACAGAATGCTTACTCTGTGATAGGCATCACACAAAGCAATCTAAATGGGATCCTTGCAGGAACCCTGGGAGGGAGATGCAAAAATTATCCACATTTTGCAGCTAAAGAAACAGATACAGAAAGGTCATGTGGAAGACCACACAGCGAGCAATGGGGGAGCCAGTTTGGGAACCCACAGCCCAAGGCCAACATGTGTTACCATCACCATGTCATTGTATCTTCTGTTATTCACAAATACATATGAAAGAGCCAGAATACGCCCAGTGAAATAGGGAATATGCAGATCTATTGCCAGTCTAAAAGCAGCCTGACAACATTTGTAAAGCCTTCAGGAGTAATTCTTGGAAAAATAGCACACTTGTGCATTTTGTGTGGTGCAAATGATCTGTTCCAGTCAATCCAAAGGGCTTTCTCATTTTGCAAAGGGATGATAAGCTTTACCCACTCATTAGCCAGGCTGGTATCATTCAAGAGAGTCTTTTGAAAGCCAAGATATGTCATTCATTTTTAAGCCAATATAGATATCTACGTTTTAAAATAGGTTAGGAAAGTAATTGGATGGAGTTGTAGTTCTGCCATTAACATAAAATGGTGGTAACTATATTGACAACACTTTATGGACAGGCTGCTTGTTTTATATACATGTATGTATGCTTACTCTATGACAGGCGTCATGCTAAGCAATCCAAACAAATTATCTCACGTGATCCTTGCAAGAACCCTGGGGAGGAGATGCAAAGATTACCTACATTTTGCATCTCCCTCGCAGATGTATACATACGTATATATATATATATATATATATATACACACACACACACATATATCTATATATATATGTGTATAAATATAATCCAAAGATCTGGTTTCAAAACAAAAACTACTTCCTTCGCTGAAAGATTTATCTTTTCTTTTGAACACTTAGGGAGCAGTGGTCAACCCATCTGCAAGGTCTAAGTGAGCCACTGAGCAGCGGGGAAAATGGAAACTCCTATTCTACAGAATGTGTCTCCCTCATTTAGAAATTTCTCACTAGGATCTTGACTCTTCTTAAAGAAGCCCTTCCCATCGGGGTAAGGCTAACCCCAAGGTGGGTACTGTAAAGAATGAATACAACAAATCACAAAGATGACTCACTCACTGAGTCCCCTTCTCCAGGCTCCATGGAGCTGGGGAGGCTTTGTGAGAGAGTCGTGCCACCGGCAAGGGGGTTTAGACGCATTAGAAGAAGAAGACTGTGTGCCAACTCTCATAAGTAGGGGCAGGTTGACCCTATTCTGTTGGTAACTGATAGACAGGTAGTGACTTCTGCAAGGGTTGGCAGAAATCCTTCTGAGTGGTGTATCCTTGCTGAGGAGACAATTGAATCCCAACAGTGGTCTGGTCTTTGAATCAGTAATGGAGGCATTGGAGAGGGTTAAAGAAGGGAGGAAGCCCTGCCACGTGTGCAGTTTAGAAAGGGGTATTTTCCTACCCAAGAGAATTGGCACATATTCCTTAGCTTTCAGGACTAGGCCTGTCTCCTGGTATTGCAGTGGGTCTTTTCATCTTCCATAGCTCTTGAGGCTGCCCCAGAGACCATAGAGGTTTCATGTGCCCTGTTCCATAGGTCTCAAGTTCTTCCATAGGAACTGGACAGAGGCTCAGGAAGGACCCTCACCTGCTCCTGTGGGGGTGAGCGGAACTCCTTGGTCTTCCGGGCAGTCAGGGCCGCAGACATGTTCAGGGCCTGCATGAGCTCATTGTAGCGGAACTTCTGATTTGCCTGCAGCTTGGAGACATAAATGTCACCAAATGCCACAATGGCCTCCACTCGGTGCTGCAGCTCACAGTCGCAGAGATAGCTGAGGAGCTCACACATCTGCAATGAAAGTATTATATAGATAACACTTTGTGTACTTTGGTGAGGCTGCTAGCATGCCCATTTTACAGACAGTAGCACTGAGACTTAGACAAAGTAAATTGCCACACAGTAGCCATAAAGCTGTTACTCAAATCTTCACCATTAAGTCGAAGGCAATAACAGAAAACAGCTCACTAAAGACAGAAGAAATCTGCCTATGGAGAGAGAGAAAATATTTCTAAGAAAATAGTTTCCCAGGAAGCTGAGTAGAAAAACCAGCTCCAGATCATGCACGTGAATGCTGCCTCCCTTTCTGAAATGTTCCAGTCCTGGAGGATGGAAAGTAGAGATGTTTGTCCTTCTCTCCATCTTTCATTGTTTTTTGCACTGTTTTTCTGGGATGAGTTGTTTTGGATTGTTATTACCAATCTTATCACTTTTAGAACTTATTCAACAACAAGCACCATAATCATCAAGCACTCTTGGTCAGTCACTATGCCAAGCACTTGACATACCTTACCTCCTTTAATCCTCAGTGTGTTCCTGATATTTTGATCAAAGCAGAAGATCTATTAACCTGCCTCCACTTAACCACCTGCAGCTTACCTGCAGCTTGACGGATTCGGGTAATCGAGTCTGCAACAAGCCTTTGACAGGAGCCTCCTTGCCGGCCTTCTCCCCAGCCTCCACAGCCTTCTCCTCCACCTGGGTCACTTCCTCCTTTTCTGCTCCCTCCTCTGTCCCCGCACTATGCTCCCCAAACACAGAGGGATCAATCAGGAGGAGGATCTGCCGAACATCATCATCATCAAACACGCCCATGACCAGCAGGGTTCCAATGAGTTTCAGCACAGGCACAAACTGGAACTCCACAGACCCCCCTACAGGGTCTCGGATGTGGGCCCCGCTGCACTGCACTGCCTCTGTCAGCATACTCAGAGCCTTCGTCCTGAGACTCTCCAAGGGAATCTCGGGGCTCTGCTTTTGGTGATCCTCACCAGTCACAACAAAGCAAGGGGTGGAGAACCTGAACCCGGGCTTGAGACATGTTCTCAGGCCCACCCCAGGCAGTCCATGCCTCTTGGACTCGTCCGGGAAGAGGCGGATATTCCTGGTGGTGCTGGTAATGGGGATGATGTACTCGTTCTTCATCATCAGCTTCCTCTCCTTGGCGCTGGCCAGGTGGATGCTGATGAGCAGGTCATAGAAACCAGATCGAAGGAGGCCGGGGAGGTACTTGTTGTCAATGGCATAGAAGAGCTGGGAGAGGTCCACGTGGCTGCACAGGGCGTAGGCCACGCGGCTGTTTCCCAGGGCGCACACCGCGCTGTAGAGCCTCAGCGTGTGGTAATGGAACCGCATCAGGTCCTCCTGCTCACAGAGCTCCAGGATATCCACACACCTGAGGACAGGACGAGCAATCAGCCACACCAGGGGGAGAAGAACCCACCAGAATCCAGCTATTTCATCCAGCCCAACAAAGGCAGGGTGGGTGGAAGGTTGGAGGGGTCTCTGCCACAGTTTCTCTTATGGCTTATCATGCCTCTCTCAGCTCTGGTCCGTATTCCAGTTCCTAGTACTCCACTGTATTTAACTACAAGGCTCTCAAAAGCCTGCAAGACACTGGTTTACCAAATATGAAAGTCTTCATTATTAGGAAAAAATCCGAAATTCCCAAACAGAAAACATTCACATATATGAGAGTGATGACTTGGTCGTCTTACTTGTAGGATCAAGCAGATGTTTCATTTCCCTCAGAAATGTAAAATCTCCTCAGAAAATGTAGATTATGCTTTCTGTCAGTCTACCGTCTACATCAGGGGTTCCCAATCCCGGGGCCATGGACCAGGACCAGCAATAGATTTTCATAGGAGTGTAAACCCTACTGTGAACCGTGCATGCGAGGGATCTAGGCTGCATGCTCCTTATAAGAATCTAACGCCTGATGATCTGAGGTGCAACAGTTTCATCCTGAAACCATCCCCTCTACCCCCTCCCCCAGCCTCACCCACCACTGTCTGTGGAAAAACTGTCTTCCATGAAACCAGTCCCTGGTGCCAAAAAGGCTGGGGACCACTGATCTGTATCATTTGTATAAAGTCCAATCTACCACTATCCATGGGGTGTTCCTCCAACGACCTGAAAACAAACATACTTGTTTTGTTTTCACAAACATACTCTGCACTCTTGTCCAGAGAGGAAACACCTTCCAACCTGAAACCAATTAACATTATCCAGTTGGCTCTCTCTTTCTTGACTTAGAGGTCTGTTTGTATGTTGCTCCCTTGTTTGTGTGGGTCCAGGGCCTCGGCTCTAATCTCTGCTTAGATTTTTCATTTAGTCTCACGACTCCTCATGGATTTGAGGACCCTGCAGAATTGACTTACTTGGCTGGGCTCCTGGTCTTTTCTGCCCCTTTCCTGCCATGGCCTGCCCTGCTGCTCGTGACCCAATGGGACACCTAAATGGGACCTATGCAGGTGTCAAATACCTCAACCCTTTCCCATTGCTCTGCTTTTTTATTCAAAGAGGTCAAGGGATGGCAATAACCGTAACATTTATTTCTTACTATGTACAGAAACTGTACCAGATTATACTTATACAATCTCATTATTTTCCTCCCAGAAACCCTTTGGGTGAGCATTTCTCTCACTGTGTAGATGAAAAGAGCAATGTTCAGAGTACATAAGTAATGTACCCAAGGCCACAAAGCCAGAAAGAGAGAGCAATGGGATTGAACCCCAGCCATAATTAATAGCACCTCTTAGCAAGGGGAGACCAGGAACCTGATTCCTGATTCTCTAAGTCAAGCTAGAGTCTTCCCCTTCCTGTCATAAATGATGCATATTTCAAGGTAAACTAGTTTTTAATTTAAGGCATGGCACTGTTCCTTAATACCAGGCACTAGGAGCTGCAACAAAGGCCCTGTGGCAGGCACCTCCTAGTGTGTTTCCTGCTGTTTCTGAGTAATGAAAGTGGGAAGGAATAGAAACTGAGGCACTGGGGAAATCAAGTCATACTGGGACTGAGCAGGATCCAACACAGATGCTCCTGGTTTCCTTCTGGGCTGGCTTGGCTCTGCCTCACCTGCCCCTCAGGCCTGCCCCTTCCTTCGCGGGCCCCTCTGGTACCTGTTCTCCTCGGGGATGTGGAGCGCCATCATCTGCAGGGGCTCCAGGCACTGCACCACCCAGCCGTGGCGCTCGCTCACACGCTCGGTCTCCACCTTCAGGAAGCTGTTGGGCATGCGGCTCCAGAGCACGGGCTGGATGGTTTGGACGTCCAGCCGAGGTGGACACTGTGGGACTGGGTTCTTCTCTTCACTCCTGAATATGGCCGCTGACAGGGGCATTGCGTTCTGGGGCACGTGGGAAAGGCATTGGAAAAGAAACACACAGTTGCTGGATGACGCACCCAGACATTTTAACCGATATGGCCAGTATAAATTAAAGAGGGACAAATGTATCCAGGGATCTCTAAGGGCTTTACCAGCATTAATTAGCATTTCAAATAATGGGTTATATGAGCATTAATTGATTCTTTCAGCACCCAAAAGAGGTGGGAAAAGGGGAAGATAAGAATGCATATTCTACCATCTGAATGCCACAGGAAAGGGCAGGGCCTGGGGGTGGGGGGCTTATGGGAAGTGAACAGGCTTCTCCCATCTTCTGAGGCCTGGGATTTTCCCCCTAATGGTTAGTGCTGCTTTCTCTTGTCATGGCCATTAGATGAGAGGACAAATAAATACCTTCAGCTTTCCAAGTTCAAACTGAAACAAAGAAGTACTTGTAGGCTGCAGGAAGACTGCTGGAAACACTTTGGTATTAGGCTCCACCTGGAAATCAAAACAAATCGAAAGCTTTGCCCAGAGCTGGACAAACAACACAGCTGGCTCAGCCATTGGGTGTTTTGGTCAACAATCTCATTCCAATGACTGCTAGCTGTCTGGTCATTCTCCACTGCTCAGAAATTCGCAGAGACCAGTTATCTATCAGCGGAGATTGTCACAATTCCACACCTTAAACAGTGTCTCCACTCAGGGCTGAATAATCTCAGGTCCTTTCATTTTTTCTCTCAGATACCTGTAGCCAGTAGCTTCCTCCAGTGCACAGGACAGGTAGGTGTGAAGCTAACTCCCCACCAAAGGCATACCTGCTGCTGGTCACTGAACAGTGTGATGTGCTTGCTCTTCACAGAGCCCAAAGACACGTGGCACATGGCAGCACCATCATTCTCCACACCTGCCCATAGGAGATGATAACTGGGATAGGGTGGTGACTCAGGCAAACCAACATTAGTCAAGCAAGCCCATGGAGATCCCATGGTAGGGTTTCTCAACCTTGGCACTGCCGACATTTCAGGCCAGGTAGCTTTTTGCGGTGGGCGCCATCCCATGCACTGTAGGATGTTGAGCGGCATCCCTGCCCTCTGCCCACTGCACATCAGCAGCACTCTCTGCCCCCACCACAGTCATGACAACCAACATGGTTCCCAACATTGCCAAATGTTCTGTGAAGGGCAAAAGTACCCCTGATTGAGAAACACTGCTCTACAGGCAAAGACTGTGAGGTCCCTCACTGGAATAACAAAAGGACACTGTCTCCCTCTCAAAGCCCTAATTCTCCCCGGGTTCCTCTGGACTCCTCTCCATCCTCTCCACCCCCTTTGCACTCTTCAGCATTCCAGTTCTTCTGTTGAAGGGTTTGGCATTTACTGATTGTGCTGCAGCTGCCACTTAGATGAAACATTAGATTTATCAGTGTACCACATCAGGAGCTCCAGGTATTACTTGCTCCCTTTGATGGAGGAGCAGCCTCTGAATTCCATATTACTAAAGTGTTTTCAAGAAAGTCACTGGAGGATGATGGAAGACTACATAAAGTCTGCTCACACACTGGGACTTTAATTCCACCAACTGAAACCTTTTAGGTTGAAGCAAATATAAACATTAGGAAATTCTTGCAACTCTCCCCATCTATAAATGAGGGGATGGCAGGTGTGCTGGACATACCCTAAGGTGACCCCAATGGGTCATCATTCCCCTAGAACTTGTGTCTTGCTTTCAGCAAACAGAATGACAAAGATGAAGGACCTGTCACTTCCTAGATTATTTTATGTAAAACTTCATCTTGGTGGACTGGAGAGAAAGCTTCTCCAGATGACCTTGGAGATGTGAGCAGCTATACTGTTAGAAGGCTTACGAGAGGGCCACGGAACAAGGAATTCTTGGGGGCGGAAGGCGGGGAGAGTGGCCCCTGGCTGCAGCCAGCATGAAAACAGGACCTCAGTTCTACAAATGCAAGCAATTGAATTCTGCCAACAAGCACGTAAGCATGGAAGAAGATACTGAGCTCTAGAAAAGAAGGCAGCCTGGCTGACACCTTAACAATATCCTTGTGAGACCCTGGACTGAGGACCCAGCTACACTGTGGCCAGACTCCTGATCCATAGAAATCATGGGCTAATAAATATATGCTATTTTAAGCCGCTAAATTTGTAATTTGTAATGTGACAACAGAGAATGAGTATAGTGAGTTTTCTTTTTGTCAAAGCAATTGTCACAGGTTTTCTTTAAATAATGAACTTCCTCAATGTATTTAGACATAAGAGTTACAAAACCACACATTTTTATGGCTGTGACTTAGAAGATTGCATGATTTAGTGCTATCATTTGTTCATGATGAAATAGGCTGGATTGGTTAAACCCCAGACTTTCATCCAGTACATGATCCTTCTAGTACACAAAAGTGGCCTCACATTTCAGGTAAAAATATTTGATTTATACTGGATGTTCCATGGACGATATGAAGAGATAAGTGCCAGTAAAACCAAAATGTTGGAGTAGACTGCTAGTACTGCCTGCCTCTGCCTGAAATAAGCTTTGTAAATGACTTTCAACAGATAATGATGTAGTACCTATTATATACTTGCTTTGTGCCAGACCCTGAGTTCATGGTGATGAGACATGAATAGGAAATTCTGATTTGATGTTGTTCTGACTTTAGCTACAAGGCAGGAGTCGTCCCTGGGCTGGCTCCCAGATTTCTCAAATGCCCAATATGTGACATCTAGAACAACTTGTAGGCCTCAAGTCACTGCAAACTGAAGGGAGCAGAGCTCCTGTGGCTGAGGAAACTTCATCTGGACCAGTAGGAAGCCCATGCGTTTCTGCTAACAGGGAGAGAGAAATGCATTCAGTCGAATCACACCAGTATAGGGAGCCATAGCTTGAAGAGGGAGTTTTATTTTCAGGTCCCTCAGGACTGGTTCCTGAAAACTTCATAAACTGCCCAAACTCCAGGGCTCTCCTCAACCCTCCCTGCAGAAAGTAAGTGCTTTGAGAGCATTTAGGATGCCCTGGGATAGGTTTATTTTCCACCACGCAGAGTATAGTCTCACATGATAAACAAAGGAAATGTCTCTTCGATCACTAAAACAAGAAAAAAACACAAGTGTGGGCTCATGAGGGTGTAATAAGGATAAAAATGGGCAATTGGTGGTGTGGTAAGCAGGATTCGAGAAGGCCCTCTGGGACCCCTGGTGTTACTCTTATGATCATGCTATGTTGCACGGCAAAAGGCATTCTGCAGATGTAATGCAATTGTACTAACCATTTGGCCTCAAGATAGGGAGACCTTGTTGGCCTTTTCAAATTGCATGAGGCTTCTAAAGGCAGGAGTTTTCCTGCTGGAGGAAGAAGGGAAAATCAGAGAGAAAAACTGGACGTGCCCTTGTTGGCTTTGAAATGGAGGGGGCCACGTGTAAAGGAATGTGGGTGCCCTCTGGGAGCTGAGAGTGGCCCTGGCTGATAGCCAGCAAGGAAACAGGGGCCTCAGAATCTACGACCTAAGACCCATAATCTCAAAGAACTGCCAATACCTTGAATAAGCTCAGAAGTGGATTCACCTTAGAGCCTCCAGATGAGCCTGGTTCAGGCCCAGGGCACACTTTGTGTTTGGCCTTGTGAGAATCTGAGTACCCAGTCAAGCCTGCGGAACTCTGAAATAATGTGTGTTGTTTTAAGCTGCTAAATTTTGTGGTAACTTGTCAGGCAACAATAAAAAAAAAATGCCTACAAGGGGATTTCCCAGCCGTGGGTCAGTCTGGCAACACATACTCGGTGAGCATTCACTAGATGCCAGGTACTGTTTCATGCATGGGGAGGCGGCAGTGAGCACAGGAGAGGGCCTCTGCCCTCAAGGAGCTTACCTTCTAAATGAGGAACTTACATGCCCATGGATTGCGCAACCAGCCCAGATTTAGCACTGCCGTGGTATGCCACTGACAGTTTCCCTTTTGTATTTGAGGCACCTTTCATCACTGGCTGATCTGTTTTGTCCTTGCAATAATGGACATTCTTTTTCTAATCATGTGTGAAGGTCATGGCACAGGAATGGGCCTGAATTGAAAGCTAACCCCTCTTGTAAATCCAAACCTCATAGCTGCCTGTGTCTCAGACTGGTGTGCCTGGAGTGGCAATCACTGAGGAGTATCTCTTGAATGTAGATTTTATTTCTCAAATTCGCCACTGATTATATTAAGTGGACAGAAAAATGTGTTCAAATTGTTTATCACTATTTAATGGGGAGGTCTAGAAACATTGTTTGAGAGACTCCTTCTCTCATTATTTTGGTTTCTAGTCCTTTCTGAATCTGAAAGCCAGTGTATAAATATTGCTGGACTGTTCTTCTTGACATAATTGAAAAATGAAAATGGCTACAGCTGTGGAATAACAACGATCCCACTGTCAGGGACCAAATGCATGGCAGGACACGTTACTGTCTCGCCTGGAATGAGAAGGGGGCTGGCTGGGTGTGAACCTCTCAGGTTTCTGGACAGAGTCCTGATACTGTCTCCTTTGCGGCAGCATTCTTAAGGGCAAGAGTCAGGACTGGGATCGCTGAGCAGGGTCATCAGGATTTCTATGCACAGGGTGGAGGAAGGCTCTCCAGGAGGTAGGGTACCAGCACCCAGCCAAAAGAAGACAACTGACCAGCCTATGTCACCCAGAAGGATGGTGAAAGGTGGGCTAAAGCTGTCACAGTGTCCTCCTCTTCAACATCACAGGTTCTTTCCTGAAGCAGGCAAGTCACTGCTGCTGCAAATGCCATTTTAAAAAATTAATTATTTTTTTTGAACTTCCAAAGATCAGCTAGTCTTAAAAGTTATGAGATGCTTTAGCGTCCTCTGCAGCTCAGGGAGGACCCTTCAGTTAAACTCATTTCTAAAGTTAATGGGAAAAAGCTAATGGATTTTGAAGGACAGCAGTAATGTATATAAAACATTTCTCAGGGGATTTGGGGGTGGAGGAGATAGAATCATGAAAAAGTACTAGAAGAATAATACTTTACTTTCTGCCTCAAAGCCTGGCTTTGTGAGTGCATCTTTCTGGAAATAGCTGGTTGGGCCCCAGCTGCTGAAGCAAGCGTGCCAAGTGGTGATGATTCCACTTTCTCCCAGGAAGAGGAGGAGGTGCAGAGAGGGTCATGCACTGCAGGAGGTGCTGGAGAGACAAGGTGGCGGCCTCTGTGCCAACAGGCTGCTCCCCGCCCCCAGGAAGGGTTTGGTCCATCTGTTCTTAGTCAATGAACATTTCAGATGGGAGGTGGCTACTCTGTCTGCTGTCTACCTTACCCCCTCTCTCCAACCACAGGCCAGAGAACTGGCTGCCAAGAGGCTTTTCAGCCTGAAGGCTGTAACCTGAGGCTGATTTAAGAATCAGGGGTTTTATCCATGTACATCATAGCAGGATGTTTTTAATTTGCTATAGTTAGGTAAACTGGTGACCCTGAAAAACTGTTGGATGCCCTAAGTACGGCATGCCACTCTCCTGCTCAGAAACCTTCAATGGCTCCCCATTTCCTATCTATATCTCCCTAGCTTTCCAAACAAATTTCTTACCAATAACCATAAGAGCCCTATGCGATGTTGTCCACAGATCCCCAAACACACTTTCTGCTTCCCTATCTCCATGATACTTCTTGAGCTATGTATTCAACACTCTTCTCCTTCTACCCATGAAAATTCATTCTTTTTTTTTTTTTAAGACAGGGTCTTACTCAGTCACTCAGAGTAGGGTACAGTGGAACAATCATGGCTCACTGCAGCCTTGACCTCCCCGGACTCAAGTGAGTCTCTTAGCCTCCTGAGCAGCTGGGACCACAAGTGTATGCCACCACACCCAGCTAATTTTTCTATTTTTTGTAAAGCTGAGGGTCCACCATGTTGCCCAGGCTGGTCTCGAACTCCTGAGCTCAAATGATCTGTCTGCCTCGGCCTCCCCAAGATACTGGAACTACAGGTGTGAGCCTCCATGCCTGGCCCGTAAAAACGCTTTTTCCTTAAAAAAATAAATAAATCAAGATTTCTCCTTAATGAACATTCTCCTGACTGCTTGTGATGGAGTGAGCTCTTCCTTTTTTGAACTCGTACAGCGTTCTCTGTCTACAAATACTTGTGACTCTCCATTCTACCTTGGAGAGTCGAGAATGTTTAACGTAGACATTAACCTCCCATCTCCCATAGTTTGCTCTGTGGAACTCTAGGTTCATAGAACATTATTGATTCTTAAAATTAAAAAAAGTGCTTTTCTTTGTCAAATAATTTGAGAACTGCTTGGTTACATAGGTTTCTTTCTGAAGTATTTCTCAAATATTTCAGTGTGCTAATAACCTTCATTATAAAACTTCAAGAGGTGGATGTGATATGTGGCAGTTTCCCAACCTTACCTGGCCATCAAGGATGAAGAGATCAGGCTGCTTGTGGTTAATGACAGGTAAACCTACATGTGTATAACAGGTGGTTTTCCTGAGTAGCTCTATGGAAGTTCACGGTCCAGGAAATGAGGAAACACATTGTTTATATAAATGTATTTTTTTTTTTTTTGAGATGGAGTCTTGCTTTGTTGCCCAGGCTGGGGTGCAGTGGTGTGATCTCAGCTCACTGCAACCTCTGCCTCCCAGGTTCAAGCGATTCTCCTGCCCCAGCCTCCTGAGTAGCTGGGACTATAGGCGCGGGCCACCACGCTCGGCTAATTTTTTGCATTTTTAATAGAGACAGGTTTCACTATGCTAGCCAGGATGGTCTCAATCTCCTGACCTCATGATCCCCCCGCCTCGGCCTCCCAAAGTGCTGGGATTACAGGCATGAGCCACTGCGCCTGGCCTATAAATGTATTTTTAAAGCATCTTATGAGGTAGTCATAGGGAATGTGGATAACCTTTTTGCAAAAGGGATATTTCCTGGCAAATTAATCCTTTTTATAGGTTTCTATTTTGAGTACAGAAGTTTCTTAAAGTGAGAAGTATTTTTGTTCACCTTTACATCTTGTATCTTGTATAGTGCAGGTAATAGATAAGGCTGCACAAGAAATATTTATGAAATAAATGAATAACATTTACAGCTCAACACCAAGGAAAGGACTTTTCGTCCTCTAGAAAGACAACCAGCATATTGGATCAACCAATAACTATGATTGCCCAGCCTTTTTTTCTCTGCATACAATGAAGTAACTTTGTTGTTGTTTATTTGTTGTCCTAAGTGGCCCATGGCCCACATGGGCTCATCAGCTTGACACACTGTGGCAGGAATGCTGAGTACGGAGAACAAGGAACACAGTGATAAACACCAGGCCTGGGATAGCCCTGTTTCGGCCCCAGAAGCCGCCCTTACCTGGTAGCAGGTGCCCAGTTCCTTTCCATTGGCTGAGAAGGACAACATGCCCATGGCCAGATCCACGAGACAGCCGATCTCCAGGTCCACGTTGCTCCGATTTGATCTCTGGGAACTGGCTACAATGTCTCCACCCCAGACCATGTAGCAGTTGCTGCGTTTCACACTAGGAGCCAAGACAGGAAAAGGCACAGAATCTGGACTGGGGCAGTTTGTAATCAAGACTCAGGAATGAAATGAAAAATGAAAATGGCTACAGAAACTTTCCTAGGAAGCTTTCTGTTCAGCCCCAAATACTTTTTTTTCCTTAAATGAGTTTATTTAGCTTCAATCCAATTTACTCAGACACAAACCACTCAGAGTAAGGATGTGGCAATCTATTCAGGCTACCTCCTTCCAAAAAGCACAATGTTCAGAGAACTGTTTCCAGACTCAATGTCAACACACCTTTGTGAAACAGATCATGGGAACGGCAGTATCCCACCAAAGAGACGGGAAATTGAGGCACGGAGTGAATGACCACCTTCGGCAAACTTATATGGGGATTTGGAATAAGAGGCAGAAAAAAAGTCTGGGTTCAGAGTCCCAGTCTGGTAACCAGGGCAAAAGGCTGTAAAACACTTGAAAACTCGGGCCCACATTCCTTAGGATGGCCGGCCTGGGCTCCCTACAAAGTAGTTTTTCTCTGACACCTTGCTGCTACCTTGACTTATGAGCCCCTGTCCTTCCCCATGCCTTGGAGTTCTGCCTCCCGCACTACTGGCTAACCATCAGCTTAGGTGCCTTGCTTAGCTTTCTGTCTACCAAACCCCAGAATACAAAACTCCATGACAGGTATTTACACTTAAAAGCAAACTATAATAATGAAAAAGTCCTTAAGGCTCCCAAAGCCTGATTCCCCAATTGTAGGATTTCACATCCCAGGTGAGCTGTGGAGATGTGCAGTGGCAGAGGTGATTCTCAGAGCCCCCCACCGTGGGCAAGAGATGGCCGATTCTTTCTTCTTCTAAGCCCACACTGGTGTACGTCAGCTCAGGCACCTGGTCCCTTGAAGTGACATGACATGACTTTTCTCAAGTTAAATAAAAGGGTGATGCTATACCTGATGCAAGAGCAGCCCCTTTAAACATCTTAGGGTCAGTCTGATGTGACTCAGCTTGGCTTCCTGTTGTGGTCCTCAGCATGGAGGGCAAGGCCACATAGGGGCAGGGATAGTACATTTGGCACTGTGGGGTGGGTAGATGCTGGAATAGATCCTGTAAACTCTGAGAGTTGCTTCACCTCTCAGGATGATGTTCTCATTTGAAAAACCAAAGGTTCAATTAGGATTCTCCGAGGTTCCTTCTGCCTCTAGAAGTCTATCACTTTCCCCCTTTGTAAGCATGCATTAATCTCCTGTCCTCTCCTTTGGGACAATGATGGGTCTGCTCGCTTCCTGTGAATGCCCTCAGGCAGGGGCCAGTGCAAATAGCCTCTTTCAAAGAGTTATAGCATTATTAGAGTTCTATAACTGCAGCCATGTTAGTACTACTTTTTAGTGATTAAGGTGCTAACCATACTGATGACTAATACAGAATACAATTAATAATGTATTAAAGCTGTGGGAATGTGAAGTGGCTCGCTTTGGTCATACATTAAAGGGCCCAAATTCAAAATGTCCTAAAGCATCTGTAAACGGATTTTGTATTTATTTCTTATTACATAGGACAAAGAAGTAAGAATTATTGAATGTGTACCATATAGTATGTCTTATCCTAGGTGCTAAAATGTCAGTTAATGTTCACAGTAAGTATGGCCACTGAGGCTCAGATAAATGAAGTAATCAATCTTGTATGGTAGAGCCAGCAAACTGGAATTATAAACTCAAATGAGGTGGACACTTCTGCCTTTTCTTCTGGCTGAAGAACAAAGCCTGGATTGGTCAATTACTTTAGAATACTTTCCTTTCCAATCTAAACCAGATGTTGCTTATAGCATCTATTTTGGCTCTCTCAATGATGGACATTCAATAATGGGAATAATAATTATACAGCTGACCCTTGAAAAACATGGGTTTGAATTGCATAGGTCCATTATATGTGGGTCCACTTATAGGTGAATTTTTTTCAACCACACATAGATTGAAAATACAGTGTTCACAGAGTGCAAAACTCACGTATAGGGAAGGCTGACATTTCCTATACCAGGGTTCAGTGCTGACTGAGGTCATTGAGTATGAGCGGATTTTGGTATAGGTGGAAGATGTTGGGGCCAATCTAGCTCATATACCAAGGGATGACTGTAGCTGATATTTACTGAGTGCCTGAGTTGAGGCACTGTCCTAAAAATTTTTCTATGAATTAACTTATTTAATCTTCACAATACTCTGTGATAGAAACTATTATCCTCATCTTTAGATAAGGAAATCGAGGCCCAGGGAGGTTAAGTGACGGGTCCAATGTCATACCCCTAAGAACCCAGGCAGTTTATTCTAAAGCCAGCACTTATTTTTTTATTTTTATTTTTTTTGAGACAGAGACTTGCTCTGTTGCCAGGATGGAGTGCAGTGGCGCCATCTCGGCTCACTGCAACATTCACCTTCTGGGTTCAAGCGATTCTCCTGCCTCAGCCTCCCGAGTAGCTGGGATTACAGGCACACGCCACCACGCCCAGCTAATTTTTGTATTTTTAGTAGAGACGGGGTTTCACCATGTTGGCCAGGATGGTCTCAATCTCTTGAACTCGTCATCCGCCCGCCTTGGCCTCCCAAAGTGCTGTGATTACAAGCGTGAGCCACCGTGCCCAGCCTAAGCCAGCACTCTTAACCAGCTGCAGGTCCCTCGTGACACAGTGACTGTGACTCACCTCTGGCTACTAGTCTTTGGTGAGCCAACATTCTCTAAAGGACACTGATTGCAAAACGTTCCTGTCTTCGTAGGGAGCAAAGGCCAGCTTGAAAAACAACTTATGACATCGCTACATATGGCTGTATAGGGAAAAGATGCTCCTGTACCTCACGTAGGTGGGGAACAGATGGAAACCACAAGCCATGGTCTCTTCAGTCACCTCTGGAGCACATCTGGCCAACAATCCCTTCTCTGGCAGCAGTGCCAGCAGACCAGTGGGAGGGTATGGGTATGCCTAGAACGCGCTTGCCCTAAAGTTTCCTAATTTCTATTTGGTGGTTATTATTCATGAAGTTTCAATGTCTCTTTTATTCCTTATGCTTTCAACCATTATAAACTCTTGGGAGGAGGAGTTCTGAGTATATCAGTTAGTGTGTGATGTGGTATATCTTTTTATTTCTTCTGAATCAACTTCTCTCAAGCACCCAGAGATTTTCTCTGTCTTGTTCTGATGTTGTAGAAACTGGGACTTGCCCAGAAGTCCTGGAAAAAAACTCTGAGAGAGATCACGTACCCCATTCTCTGTCTATATTTTCCATCTCTGGGTCACGATTTATACACATGATGAAACTCTTCTCTATTTTCACTAGCACTTTTTCTCACTGTCATAGTACCGGTTTGTTTCTTTGAAGTCTGTGCTTCATTTTCTCCTTTTAAGAGAGGCCAAGATGTTTCCTTCTTTGGGTGTGGGGTGGAAGAAAAAGACTGGGGGGAGGGACTGAGAAGCCCGATGGCTAACCCTGCCACTTGGGAGCCCCCTTACCTTTCATGGACCCGGCCTCTTTCATCCCCTAGGGTGACAGTCACTGTGCAGTTTTTATTCAGGTCAAACTTTTCACTGTACAAGTGATAGTCTGGAGTCACCCATCCGACCCAGACACAGGATGGATCCTGTCCAGCAAAGATGCGGATGGCGTAGTAGCACTGCTGTGGAGAGACCGCAGAGGGGAGTCAATGGCCCCCAGCCCCCATCCAGTTGAAGATAGGGGGCCCAAGAGGCAGAAATAACACAGCAGCTCACTTGGCCCCCCCTTTTTTTTCTGGAAAAGTGCACACTAGTAGAGGTAGGCTAGATGCTAGATCTGGAAGGAAGGCTGAATAGGGATTCTGGCTTCCTAATTTTTCCTTTCTATTTTGCTGTAGCATCTGGCAAAGCAAATGCTTAAGCTAATCTACCACCCTTTGCCCAGAAGACACTGGTGCTGAAATCAGGAGATGCTGTGGATGGAAGCAGTGGCAGCTGCTCAGAATGGCAGCACAGAGCCCTAACCCTCTCCTGGGCACCAGGGCAGATCTGAGCTGCAGGAGAGAGCGGGCACAGTCCCTGCCCTCAGAGAAAGAGTGGTCAAGGGTCAGAGCATCCCCGTTACACTTTCTCCTTCTAAAGGGAAGTCTAGTGCTTTTTTCTGGAAAGTCTTGAAAGAGGTTGCTCAAGAAAAAGTTCATCTCATGGCCAAATGTGCTCTGTGTAGCTGTCACACTCAACTACAGTCAGTATTGAGAAGTACAGCAGTTTTTGGCAGGGCTCATACAATCCATGGGGTTATCACTATATTACAACAATAGCTACAGCTCTGAGGCAGGTGACTAGCTCATCATTTTCCTTATGAAACTGAGCAGATTCATTCTTAATTAAGTGGCTCTTATTTGTAGTCTGTCAAATTTTCTTGACTGGAAGAAAAAAGGGTCGGCTAGACAAACCTGGGCTTGAATCTTGACACTGCCAGGTATTCATCATGTGACTTTGGACAAATCATTTGTCCTCTCTGTGCATAATATTGTGCATAATATTATCCATTTCAGGGCTTGCTGATTAATTTTAAATGGAGATTAAATGGGAAGGCAACAATGTGCCGAGCACAGTGTCCCCCACAGACTAAGTGAGTGATTTACTGCAGCAAGAATCTTGTTCCTGATGAGAGTTAACCTACAAATTCAGGATTGTTGGATAACTTTACAGAAGGGTTGACACACATGTCTTCCACAGGCTTTTTTTTTTTTTTTTTTTTTGCCAGATGCTAAAGAAGAATGAGAGATAGAAAGAAAAATCAGGAGTTGCTTTCTGACTACTGTCTAGGGACCAAAAGTAGCTTCCATCTTCTGCGATGGCTTCTTGCTCTTCTTCTCATTTGATTGCTTTTAACATCACTCCTAGCACTGCACAGAGACATGGGGCAGCTGACTCACAAAAGTTTACACAAAAAAGGCAAACCAAAAGATTTAATTGAGCGCCCTCCAACTGATGCTCATTTCAATCAGAAAGGCAGTGTTGGATCCCTGATGGCAAATGGGCAACAAGTATCCAATGATGCCCAGTTAGGAGCTCCAGGTAGAGCTTTTGCTTTGCACTGAATAACTGTCTTTCCCCCACTTGAGAAATGCCACAGATGTGTTCTGGAAGCATCAAGATGGATATTAAAAGACAGAGTAATTGGCAATTAAAGAGGATCTCTAGACGGATCTTTGCTGTAAGGGGCATATTACCAGGCACAACAAAGAATCAAATAATTAAAACCATAATTGAGCACATTTACTTACTGTTGTTGTATGAGAGAGTATTTCTTGCATCTGTTTCCTGGGGGAAAGATAATCCATGTTTTAGTTATTCAGCTGTATTGAGAATCCCACAGTTCCGACAGGCAACTTGATCTACCTTCAATGATCAAGTCAAGTTTAGGAAACTGGCTACTCCCTAAACACAAGTGATTGCAACCAGTCTTGGGACTTATTCATTTGCAAGCTGTTAACACAAGGCAGGGATGTGACTCCCAACTCTTATCCCTCAGCCCAGATGGTAAGTTAGATGGTAAGTTGAGAGTGAGGACGGAAGACCGCAATAATATAAGTAGGGATACCTCTGAATAGGTTATCCTATTCTCACAAGTAGCTGTGCTTGTTTAAAAGCTTGGTAGAAAGCAAAACTCTAGAGGAAACCCCAACAAGACGGCTCCAGGCAGCAGACATACATCAATGATTAAAAATAGACATCAGGGGAAAGAAAGACAGCAAGGGATATGTTACTGATCAGGAAGAAAGAAGTCACATTGCCCATGAATCACACAGCTGCAGAGTTGGACAATGCCCATAGCTATGCAAAGAAGGCAGTATCTGCCTCCAGAAACTTCTAATTGCACACAAAAGCAAAAATAATTGCACCCTCTTATGCACTCACAAAACACAGGAATTGTGGGCAGCAAGGAAGGTAGGGGCTCAGAGTTCAAGAAGAGCAGAAACTTTTCCACCAGATGTGTCTGTTTAGCATGATTGGTGCCTTAATTATGCACTGCACAAACACACACGTGTACTTGCATGTACATGCGTGCACATACATTCTCATTTTCTTTTTTACCTGACTGAAAGCAGAGAGAACCCTATCAGTGGAGTTCCTATGCTGAGTTAGGGTAAAAAGCAGAAAGCCCACTTTACAGGAGATACAATGAGTGCCTCTGAGAACTGGAGGCCTCACCCTCACCTTTTCTGGAAAGCTTCACTGTCCAGACAGGGGCTGTGGCTGAAGGAGGAGTGGCACTCGACAGGCATGCTCAAGCGGCAATAGATCATGTCGGCATTGCTATTCTGTGTGCCAAATGTCTTATGCGTCACCTTGAGACACGGAGGGCTGTCCATGGTGCCATCAATCCTCATGACCTGGAAACAGGACGAGTCCTTACCTTGACATACCAAAGGGCCTGACCTTGACCCAGTCCCTTTTTCCCTCGTGGACATGCACATGGCAAGGCATTCTGTGAACTACAGAAGTAAGTTGTGTCCAGTGATAACCAAACTATGATTCTCATCATTACTTGGGCCTTGTCCCGTAGGAAGAAACAGATCTGCTCCTGGCTAGGGAAATTAGAGATTTAAAAACATGCTCACTGGGTTCTCTGTAAGGCCAAGGGTGGAGAATAAATGCCAGAGGGGGGTGGCATCTGGGAGACACAGCATAGTGTTCACAGAGGCTAACCTTTTAGGTCAGGGGGCAAGTGGCTAAAGAAGATAATCTTTCCAAGGACTATGCTTGTCACTGGGCATGAAAACATCTAAGGGAAGGGGAAAAAGTAATCCCAAAGCTCAGGAAGGATGTCCAGCTCCTGAGGAGGACACCCTCCCCACCCAGCCCAGCTCTCATCTCTGCCACAGTCATGGCCTGAAGGCTGAGGCTCCTGGAGCCTCCTCCTAATACTAGGAAATCAGCAGTTCCTAGGCACAAGCATTGCAGGGGGCAGAGTTAGGGGAGAAAAGGTCAGAAATTGATTTTTGCAATTTGTGTGTGGAGAGGGAAATGGGGGGATACAAGGGAAGTGAACTGAGGCTTACAATAATAATTTTCTTATAATCTGAGCCTCTTCTTTGCTCTCTATAGAACTGTTCTTGTCCTGGGTCCTATAAGAATACTTCAATTCTATTTTTCTAAGTAGAGGGCCTCTAGGGGTTCATGACCTCCAACAGTTTAAGAGTCACTTTTCTAAAGTAACGGTTAGGGAGGAATCAGAGAGAGAAAAGTCTCTACTATTTAACTGAGGAAGAAAGTGGGGCATTAAGGTTGATGCTTGCTGAATTCAGATGGGAGGATGAGTTAAGGAACTTACAGTGAGGTTGAAGCAAACCACTGAATCTAACTTGACTAAAGCTGCAATGGGGCTGATTTGTCTGGCATTTTTTTTAAATCAACACTCTCCCCCTATCCACCATGGAAAAACCATAGTCTGTGAACCAAAACAGAGGCAAGTCTTAGTCCATGTAGGGCCAGAACTAAAGTTAGGCTCCTTACAATCTTTGGCTCCTCTCTGCTCCCCTTAGAAGATGGGGATAGATTAATCAATGATCAGACGTCAGCTTAAAATCCTGGCAACACCATCAAAAAATTGAATAGGTCCTACAAGACATCAAGTCATGAGTGGGTAACAACATACATGTTCAGTATATATAATCTTGAATATAGGTATGGAACTTTTAAATTTTTTTTTAATAAAAAAAATTGTTTCAAGAGACGAGGTCTCTCTCTGTCACCCAGGCTACAGTGCAGTGATGTGATCATAGCTCACTGCAGCCTCGAACTCCCGAGCTCAAGGGATCCTCCCACCTCAGCCTCCCAAGTAGCTGGGATTACACGTGTGAGCCACCACACCCAGCCCGAACTTAAAAAAAGAAAAAAAAACAGAAAAGTTTAAGGTCTCCGAATACTATATTACTATGACAACACAGTATAGGAACATCCAGAGCAAATTCAGTGGCCCAAAATGTTGAGAGTTGATCTGTAAGGTTTTATGTGCAAGGCTGATGCCTCTCGTAAGATGCCACTGAGCTGTCCCAATTAAGATGCCTGCAACTGCAGCTCTGAGGGCCAGAGGGGAGGTGGCTGGTAAGTGGCCAGGGCATAGACTTAGGTAAGCAGCTGCCTGTTGACAGGAGACTTAGGGCAAGCTTAGGGCCTTGGCCCACCTGACCTGCCAGGGCCACACACATTGTGTAACATTACCTCTATGTGTGGATGATCCTTTGGCACGTTGACAAACGTCGGGAGGCGCTTGCTGAACCACATAGCAACATCTCTGTTCATGTTGACAGCAAAAGGCTCAAAGCCCTCTTGGAGACCGCACATGGTATAAAACTTGAAGGTACTGGCATCTGTCCCGAGATTCATGCGGCCGATCTGAGATAGACCCAGACAGCAGATGGGCACGAAGCCTGCAGAAGAGTTAGAGAGACCTGCTTTAGCCCGAAGGCACCATCCCAGGAAACTCCGAGGCAGCTGAATCTTTGCTTCCTTAAGGGCTTTGACTCCCAGTAGGAAAGATGTGACACAACCCGTTCTTTCTTTCTTTCTTCCTGGCACATAAAATCAACAACAGGAGGCCACATGGAGACCACCACTGCCCATGGTACATAGGAAAGATAAGAGAGCTTGGTTCAAAATGACTTGGGAAAAACGATGATCCAGTTAAGAATATTCGTAAGATATAAATAAATATCAACTGGAAAGGCAAAACCAGTAAGAGAAAAAGTGAAATTCTTTATCTGTCCCTTAGTTAAAATTGATCTCAGGCCCTGGGAAAATTTAACTACTACCCAAAACAATGCAGTGAGCCTAAAGAATGACTTGGTGAGATTTTCTGCCACAAAAACAAAAAGATGGGTAACTATGTGAGATGATGAATATGTTATCTTGCTGCACTGTAGCAGCCTTTTTACTATCTCTATGTATTTCATAACATCACGTTGTATACCTTAAATATACAAAATAAAATTTATTTAAAATAAAAAAAGGATGACTTGGTGCAAGTTGCCCGACTTTTCTGGACCCAGCATCTTCCCCAGTGACATGAGAGGTCCTTCACGTTTCGAGAGTAGGATTCTAAGAAGTTTTAAATGCTAGCACTATGATTGTGCTTGTTAACAAAATACAATTTACAAACACCCAGTTTCCTAGCCCACTCTCCTCCTCGCCTACTCAGGAAGGCAGAGTTTCAAGCAGGAGCCAGAGAAAGCTCCTCTCTTCCTTCCTACAGCTATCATCTCTCCAAACTCACATCTGTAGCTTGATCGTATTAAAAAACTACCACTCAAAACAGACCAAAGCAGAAGTTCAAATTGTTTGGTGTTCTTGTTTGTGGGCTATTTATAAATCATAATTGTGGACCAACAAATCAGCAACACAGGGAAAGCGCTAATTATGTTGGATTTGGGAGGATGTGAGAGGCAGGCAGGTGGCTGGAGGACCGCTGGAGGCTGCAGAGAGCGCCTGGAAGGGTAGGAGAAGTTCTGAGGCTGCTGGATGAGGCAGGGGCTGGAGTTCCCTACAGAAGAAAGTGGTGTCACTCCCTAGGATAAGAGTGGTCATTTCGGGGGACATTTAAAAGCCAATTTTGGGAGCATTTACATCTAACAGTAAAAACTTTCTTTCACAGACACCAAGGCCAAGATGCACTCTTCCTAGATGGGAGGCTTATATACTATTATCTAAGCCACGAAATTTCTATGTAAATAACAAGTTACATAAGTGAAACGTAAATCTCTTGCAAGCTATGTGGTTGCTTTTAGAAACTATAAACTCACTTAGGATACAGACGTGTTTAATACCGTGTCTAAATGAAAGAGAATGTCAATGCAGTCCTAGCAAAATGGCAGTGATGTTTGTAGAAAAAGCCTCCTCACAGCACTGCCAACTGAGGACAGACTAGGACCCCTACCTCTCAGGACAGTCAACGGACTGGTCCCTTGGACAAGCACCTGTGCATGTAACATCCTGAGCACTACTATGCTTCTGTATTTTTGTGATAGGGGCTGCGATGGATGAAACCATCTCCTTTCTATAGACAGAGATGTTTATAAATAAAGAACCTTTGGAAATCTGATTACAGTGTAGAATAAGAATTGCTTGCCAGTAAAATTCCTAGGCTCCGCATTGGGAAAGACAGTTTTGCTATGTGCCATGACAAGATGTGAAGGAAGAAGAAAGTATCCCAATCCCAAGGAGCTTACAGAAATGGGGACAAGGAATGGAATATAAAAGAGGGAATGTGTTTGCTGCAAATCATACCTAATCTCAAGACAGTATTTTAGTTATTCTACTAAGGGAGGTAACTAGACCAAGAAAACCACCAGTATAGGTTTATCTTGGAGCCATGAACATGAAGATCATGAAATAGTCCAGCCTTGATGTGAGCACAGAGTAGGACAGCTTAAGAAAACCTCTCTATTCCATTCTCCATGAACCTGGATGGTGCAATAAGCGAGCAGCAGGGGTAAAAGCCTCAGTGGGAAGCAGCAACAATGAAGATTTGACCTCAGGACATAAAAATAATGTCCTAGTCACAGACCCAATGACAATGTAAGGGGGAAAAGGTAATAACTGCATAAGACTTCTTTTTTTCTAAGGATGTTGAGCTCCTCTTCATTCCTAAGCACCAGTAGAGAGGACAGCACTTTAATAAGGCTAAAACTAAGAACATGAGGAGTTAATGGACTTGACCACAGTCACGGGAAGGGCAAGTGACAAAAATGGGATGAGATCCTTTATCCTCGAGTCATAGGCCAGCTGCCAGTCAGTGTGTGAGAGGGAGTGAGTCTTCAGGGGATGAATGCCCCAGATTTAAACAGTAATTATGACCAGGGCCAGAGGACTGCATTCACTAGAGAGTAAAGTGTTGTCCCTGTGGGGCAGAAGCCCTCTCTACAGGGAGAGTTGCACACTCCATGGGAAAAGACAGGGTAACAAAAGTCATGGATGCAAGAGCAATGGGAGGCACAGAGTATTGGGGACCTCCGGGAGGCTAAGTGGACGCAGCTGGGCCAGCTCTGGAAAACAGCAGCAGAACAGCTAAATCTAAGGCTTGAGTCAGAAAAGAGAAAATCTGAAAGGACAGAGAGGAAAGATTAATTCTCATTAAGCACCAGCGCTTTCTCTTGGAGAAAACGATTCGATAACTAGATACATTTAATCAGCTCCCTCCACCTGGCTAAGAGGATCTAGCTAGTATCTCCATTTCTAAAACTTCTTTATTTGAGGCATTTAAAAATCTTGTAACTTTATAACTCTTCATGAAAGACAGATAAGGGGGAACAACCATGGAATGATAAACCACAATAGCAAATATTTACCAAATACCTTGTAAATGTCAGGCTTAGTGCTCTACAGATACATCTCATTATTATGCCAATTTTACAGATGAGGAAACTGAGACCTAGAAAGTGGACTGGGGCTCAACATCTGCTACCTGGTAAACTGCAGAGTCAGCATGTGAACAAAGCTGCCTGAGCAGGAGTCCACAGCAAGCAACGGGGACTGAAGCCAGGATGCCTGCTTTCTAATTGTCGTCTAAGCTAACTTGTTTTGAGTTACATTGCTTTTCAAATGATTTTCCAACGTGTCAGGGAGTTCACCTGTTTGTCTCTAGATTAGACAGATGGAGACCCATAACCACAACACGCTCCAGGCCCCGTAGAGGAAAAGGGCTACCTGTACACAGCTCACCACATGGCTCTCTAGAATTCACCTGGATAAAAGGACCTACTGGGCAAGGTCATGTGGCATTACTATCTGTCATAAAGAAGGATTTCCATATTGCACACAGCTTAATGAACCCATAGCCTCAAATGAGATTGGAGAAGAAGAAAATATAATAAGAGGGCAAAGAATACCACCTCCCTACATGCATCCTAATAGATATAATTATGCTGACAACTCTGAAGAGGTTTGAGAAGAAAATTTGCAAAAGGCACAGTCTTCGGCCAAGATGTATACAGAAGTTCTTGTCCCAGGAAGGAAATGGCAAGAATATATGCATTTACATTTTGTACAGGACCCCCAGTTCTGATACACTTGGTATTATAAGGCCTCATACTGGTTTTCTGATTAGGAAGAGGGAGAGCAGGGGGGTAATCTTATAATTCCAGGAGATTGCAAAGAAGTCAGCTCTCTCAAAAATCCAAAGGACAGATCCACTTTCAATCCATTTTAAACTAAAGGAAGACATAAAAGAGAATAGCTACCAGCAAGGGAAAAGCTGACATCTTAGAGAGAGGGAGGTAGATGACCGCTCAGACCATTCCTGGGGTGTTTCTGGGAGTTTCAATCCAGCAGCACATGCTATACCCATTCCTTCCTATTTCCTGGTAAGCCTTTCAAAGACAGAGTTACAGGAGATGACAGGCAGATGGTCACAAGCCTTGTAGAAAACAAAGGAAACAACAGGCCACGCTCCCCTGCCACAGCCGCTTTCTGAAACACAAGACCCATCTGGAGAGAGAATGACAGGGGACCCTGGGTACCAGCGTGTGTGCCTGCAGATGGCAGTGACACTTCCTGCAGATAAGTTTCATTTTGTGCCTATTGAAAAGCTGCCAACAGAAATGAGGGATCTGTTAAACCCGACAGGTCAATGGGCAGGAACAGCCTGGCAGGCTGCTCCTGCAGACACCAAAGCTGTAGCAAGAGGCAGCATGTCCCTCAGGGGAGTGCCTGGCAGAGAGGCAGCACAGGAGACCACACCAAAGCCTCTTCCAGACGTCGCATTCTGAGGTCTAGCAGAATGTTCAGGATTTTATGTTCCTTTCCTTTAAACAGAGGAAAAGAGAAGGCTAATAGCAAAGGGTTTGCCTTGGAGGCTTCTGAGCTCTCAGATACTTCTAGGTGACAACACTGAGAGCTGTGATGGTCCAGTCTAGGGACCAGGGGAGGGAACATTAATTAGAAAATTCTAATGAAGCAGATAAAGGCATATAATCTATGATGCATAAGAGGATGGAAATGACAACTTGTAAGTAAGCCAGAGGTAAAAACAGCCATGAACTACAATATCTGTCCCCACTGCTTCCCCAAAAGGGCAAAAGGCTTCCCATGGCCCAGCTCCCACTGGGGTAATGACTGAAATCAAAGCTGACATGCTGGTGACCAGAAGAACACAAGCACGTCGGGCATTTTGCTTTACGGGGTGGGGGGAGGTAGGCGCTACAATGCATGAAATGTTTTATTTTCAACAGATGCTTTTCTTAACAACTCAAGGCAAGAATTGCTACCTCTTTCCACTTGACACAGAGAGAAGAGAGATGCTATGTGGTTATTCCAGGCCTTGGGGCTACTGTTATCAAAGAATGGCATGTCGACTTCCTTATAACTACCCTTCCACCAACTCACAAGGCATTGCGGAACTGAAAGAGCTTTCCAATTATCTTGTCTCTGTGTTATTAAAGGGCAATATGATACGACAGTATAATGTGCTAACACATTACAGTACAATTCTATTATTAAACAGCATCCTAATAATACTTTGTTATTCTGAAGGTCAAATCACATCCCTGTACACAACAGGCCTATGGGACATCACTTTCATTAAATACAGAGGCTCTCTCAAAGCCGGGTTATGCTCAAATGTCCCTCCCCTCTATAGTATTCCTCTGCTCAAACCCCATAATGGCCCCTCATTTCCTAGAGGGTAAAGTCCAAGGGTGCTTGGCTCAGAGAAGACAATAGTTTCTTGAACGAAAAGGCTGAGTCTCAGTATTTGAGCCTATAATCTGCACCTTATCTACCTTTCCAGCTTCATCATCCATACATTCCACACACAAATCTTCTACCCTTTCCTATAGCTTCCTGGAGCCACAGAACTACTCTTGTTACATCCCCTGTCAGGACTAGCCTTCTCCTTACACATAGACATCTTGTATTCTGTAGTTAACATGCAATTCAAATCCCATTCATATAGACTTTTCATTCTGTATTAGTCACTTGTCATTGATAACTTACTGCTCTGCATTATTATCGTCTTTTTTTACAACTAAAAAATGAGCTCCTTAATACTGCTACTACTCACATTTGCATATGCTTTAGACCACTGCTCTCATACTTCAGTGTGCATGCAAATCACCAGTGTCTCGTCAGAATGCAGATTCTGATTCTGGTCTGGGGTGGGGCTGAGATTCCTCATTGCTAACAAGCAGACCATACTTTGAGTATTAAGGCTTTGGACTTTACAAAGTTCTTGTAACTCTGCACAACATATGAGATTCTCATCTCCTCCTCAGAGTTCAACAGACAAGTAACCTCTTCCAGTTCACACAATAGCAGGGCCTGGAAAAGGCCCTGATTTTTGGACTCTTTCTACCCCAGAGAATGACTTTCTTTGGAGATGTGCCTGAATCTCCTAGGCTGTTTTCCTCCTGGCCTCAGAGGGAGGGGACTGCATGAGGTGGGTGCTTGGAAAGCACCTGGTTGTCCTTGTACACTGCCCTGATGTCCACCCACAGAAATCCTCTCCTTTGCCTCTGAACCAGCACACAGGCCATTCCTTCTTCTGGCAACATCATTCTCACCTGTCTGCAAAAACAGAGTTATTTCTTTAAAATTTTGATTTTAAACCTCTTTGGAAGGCATTAAAATATGACTCCATTTGACTTTAGTCATTTGTCTTTTTAGGAAAATACAACGGACTTGTAAGCTTTATATTTCTCCAAATATTTGGCTCTTAGAAAAACCTTGAAAGGATGAGAACACATGAACACAGGAAGGGGAACATCACACACCGGGGCCTGTTGTGGGATGGGGGGAGCGGGGAGGGATAGCATTAGGAGATATAGCTAATGTTAAATGATGAGTTAATGGGTGCAGCACACCAACATGGCACATGTATACATATGTAACAAACCTGCACGTTGTGCACATGTACCCTAAAACTTAAAGTATAATAATAAAAAAAAAGAAACACCTTGAAAGGTACAGTTGAATATGCATACTTTAAACAATAGGTGTCTGAAAAAAAAGTGCAAAAGTCATTTATAAAGCTAAAAACGCTCTGTAAAGAGCATGTATATTACATACACACAGTTTCATGTATTTGTGCTCTCTTGCCTATGCAGTTGTATTGTTTTAGCTTTCTAGGTAGGAAATGTTTCTTTCTGTAAAGTCTCAGAAATGTAGGGCTACAAGGAGCCCTCATCATCTACAGACATAAAAATGAGTTCCTAAATGGATAAATAAAGTCAACTAAGATGTCCTGGGTAGGCAGAAGCAGAGGCAGGTGAGCGTCCAGGTCTCCTGATCCAGCACAGCCCCCTTCTCGTCCGTGAGGAGGAAACAGTGCGGCAAAGCACCAGGCATAAGGGCATTCACACAGCAGGTGTTAAGTCACTGCCGTTGAATTTTATATCTGGGAAGAACATTAGATTTTATTTCATCAATGCTTTTATTCTCTGATATAGATGAAGAAAGTAAAGCTCAGAGAGGTCAAACAGATACTCCTTGGGAGCCAATGAGCTTGTTAGGAGAAGTCTACTGACTTGCAGTACACTCTTTCCCCTATATACCAACAGTCTTGTGTACATAATGTAGTTATATAGACAAGAAATAATAAGCTCCACTTCCTCCTTTGTGTAGCTGGAAGCGTGCCCCTGACTGTGGTCTATTCATGGACATTAAAAAATGCAACTCTGGTTGGGTTTCACAGTGTGTCTGAATTTCAAAATAAATTGTATTTCATTCAAGGAAATAGCTAAATCTAACTTTTGTGTTTCAATCATTCTCTTCAAAGCATCAAGTTCAATTACACAAACATGCAGACTGACAATTCAAATCAGAATAAAAGGATAATTCTTTAATTCACTGATTTTTCTCTCCTGTCAATGACATTAGTCATATACAATAAGTGTTTTCTTTGTAATACTGGGAAACCTGGAGAATCTTAAAATGCCAAGACACAGGGGAGGGAATTAGCTTCTTGGTTAACCTATCTGAGAGTTCAGAATGTGTATGTATGCTGCACACACCAACTATCACTATTATCTCCCCTAATTCTTTGAAATTGCTAGTCTATGGGATCGTCTTCACCATTAGGGTTTTCAAATATGCAAAGGACAGTGTAGACCGAATAAGGAAGTAGAGCAGGTCGCTCAGCTCTCCCTATATTTTCCTCCAGCCTCATGGAGCTGGGGTTGGCAGAGGGTGTTAGATTTACCATTCTCAATCTCGTAGTCAGCGAAGGCAAGTTCAGAGCCTTTGTTGGTGATCAGCAGCTCCCCATTCAGTGTGAAGATCATTGAAGCATCATCCAGGTTAATCATACATCCGACCACATCCCCTGGCTGCCAGGTACGCCCAAAATACCCACTTCCTTGATGCCAACGCTGGCCCTAGAAAACAAGACTCTAGGGCTTAGAGAAATGGAGTCTCTAGAGGCCCCAGCAGCTGGAGAAATGACCATATCTTCGATATCTCCTAACTAGTAGTGGTTACATGATTTCTAGGGGACACTCAAGGATAACCAACAAGGAGGAGTGGTCTATGTTATAAATGAAACCAAGACACACAAGGTAGCCCAAGTCTCTTGATTTCTAGTCACAGCTATGGCAATAATCAGGATTCTCTCTAGGGAAAACTGGTAAGATTTCCTGACATACTAGCTGCATAGTGATCTTTATGTCACCTCTGGAGTGGAGTCAATGGGCTTGGGTGCAAAAGTAGATATGAAGGTGATTGTAGAAAGGATTTGGGGTACAGTGCTCCCCTTCAACAGAGTGAAGAGCAAAGAAACAGTCACTAGGAGATGCCCATTCAATGTCTACATTAGCCAGTGGTGGTGGTCACTCACTTTGAAGCCAGAGATCCAGTAATTTGAGCTTCCAGAAAAATGTTTGGAGAAGGAAAACTTGGTCTGAGGATGGGTGTTTGCTAGATATATAAACTCACCCTGTTGCCTTCAAACACAAAGGCTTGGTCATCGGCCCCCAGCTCGACATCAGGTCGACAGCCTGGCCTCGCCCAGCCGACTCGCATGTCTCCTCCAGTCACCACTTCAAACTCAAAATACCACTTTCCAGATCTCACTGCATAAGATCGCTCTACCCGGAAAAATCGGATCTTGTCTATGCTGACCTTCTCCACAGCCGAGTCAGCTATTGTGAGAAGAAAGGCGAACAGAGGGTGTGGAAGGGAAAGAGAGAACGTAGACCTTCAATAATTAGGTAGCACTACTCAAAAGAATTTGATGAGAACATCTAAGACTGACCATAGGTCGACTACTATCCAATATGGCATTCTGTTCATGATGATCGTCATCATCATCACCATACAAGCTACCACTGACTGAGGGATTGCTTCATAGTAGATCCTTTAGAGACCACTTCTCAGTTTTCCCTCACAATAATCCTATGAGGTAGCTAATATTGTCCTCATTTTACTGATGAAGAAATTCAGGCTCAAAGAGGTAAAATCATTTATTCAACATCACAGAGCCCATGAACAGAGGAGCAAAGGTATAAACCCAGATTGGACTTCAAAACCATCCCCTTAATGACTTACAATTCTGCCCCTGTGGCCTACTGTGCCTCCTGGGGCATGGGATGACAATAACAGGCTCATCAATTTTAAGCTGTTGTTCAGATTTTAATCTGAACAAGCTTTTAATTTGGAGATGTGATTACCTGATCTAAAAGTAAGCTGATATTCACACATTTGGCAAGTAAGATAAAAAAACAGTGACTTGGTTTTTGATCAGGTATTCTGAAAAGCTCAGCTACCCTAGAAGATAACCTATTCGTTGTGGGAATAAGTCATAGAAGTGTTCATTGCAGAAAATCTGTCAATGGGATGATGGTTTATATCAAACATGGTCTCCCCGATAACAATAAAAAAAATCACACCATTTAGTCTAGTGCTCTTCAGCCCCAATACTATTTCCAATAGTACAAGTTAGACCTATTTGAAGTTAGGATGCCCCAAGAAGAGGACCTGTTTAGTAAACTGGGGCCAGAATAAACACTCTCAACTCATTACCTAGTTCTTGGTCTGATGGCTCAATGTTATACCCGTAACCAACAAAAGTGCGCACAGCTTCCCGCAGGCTGTCCCTGTTTGACTTCTTGGTACGCTCATCCAGTAATGCATATGGCACCAGACGGGGATTTCTTTTGTTCTTCAAATCCTATGTGACGCCAGAGAAAAAAGGTGCCAAGAAAACATTTCACCTTCACCACAGCTCACCCTATTCACATATTCCCAGCAACAGTCCTGGCTTTCTGGTCGCTCTAGGTCTATTAGCCCTTCCCTCAGTGCCTTCACATTTAGCAATGTACATATTGCCACTTCTCCTCCAGATTAAATGAGTATAAATGGAAACATTTTACTAATGCTCAAAGCTAGCATTAAAAAACACTTTTGGCCGGGTGTGGTGGCTCATGCCTGTAATCCCAGCACTTTGGGAGGCCGAGGTGGGTGGATCACTTGAGGTCAGGAGTTTGAGACCAGTCTGCCAACATGGTGAAACCGCATCTCTATGAAAAATACAAAAATTAGCTCGATGTGGTGGCACATGCCTGTAATCCCAGCTACTCGGGAGGCTGAGGCAGGAGAATCACTTGAACCCGGGAGATGAAGGTTGCAGTGAGCTGAGGTCATGCCACTGCACTCCAGCCTGGGCGACAGAGAGAGAGTCTGTCTCATTAAAAAAACAAAACAAAACAAAAAACACTTTAAATAACACCAGTCTGTGAATAAAATGAAGCATCACAGAATTGGTTAGAAACCTCCATTCCCAAGGCAAAGCAGCTGGAGATTTGTATAATGATTTCCCTATGGAAGATCATGTCATGATTTAAGTTGCTATAGCCTCCTCATGACAGCTTAACAGCCTTCATGGAGAAACATCGGAAAAGGTGGCAGAGCCACAGTGTGTTCATTTCATGGCAGAGGACACACATTTGTAGTAATGTCCCTCTCGGTTCCTTAGGAGGGACTAAGAAGACAATAGGGACAATTGTAGTGATAAGTCACCCAAACTCATATGTATAACATGCTGTTTTGAACCTCTTTACTCCGCTGCTCCTCCTCCCCCCATAGTTTGCACAGTTGTGTTCTTCCTGGCTTCCAGATGTGTGGCTCCGGTATGAATTAACTAATGTGCACATAGCCACTCCTGAACGTCCCTGATACTAACCCTACCATTGGTGATTACTAAGATGAGAGAAACCATCTCAAGGAAAGAGGTGTGCCAGGTGGTTTGGGACTAAACTCTTTCTAATTTCTAGCTGTGCTCTGGGTTTCAAGCTGCCTCCTGCTCAGGCCAAGACCTCTGCCCAGAAATCGTTGGCCCAATGGACTGAAGTAAGGAGGCAAAAGCTTTTGGGCAGGCTGGTTTGCTGCTGTGCTGGGCTAGCTTCCCCTCCATTTCATCCTCACCAGTAGATACGTGGGACTATCCCAGAAATACTGCTGAGCTATGAAGTGACTATTACAAATTCTGTCCAGCCCCATGATTCCATAAATAATGAACACACTGAGGTGTGAGGGATAGAGTGCAAAGGCAAACTCTTCCTTCTGATCTAACACACACCAAAGCAAAACGGCACGTGGATGATCATATCTTCTAAGTTTTCCAGCATGCCTGACCCAGAATTTCTTACCTGTTGGATGCCATAGGTCCATCCTTGTTTTATTCTGTCTTTTGCCCAAACATTGTGTGCATTTTCTGCAAGCTTATCCACTAAAATTTCTTGAGGAGGTAACAGCTTCACATCAGACAAATCCAAAGGGGCTGGCTTATAGCCGTTGGACATCATATAGCTACAAGTAAATGTAAAAGTATACATTTTTAACAGATCTCCATGAGTTTCTCATTCCGGATTTTAGACCAAGAGCACATGGTAAGAACGCTACGCAAATAAGGCTACAGTCACAGGTCCCACTCTTTGGCTGAACAAATAGCTCAGCTCTGTTTCAAGTCTATAGATGAAGCCCCCAATCTACCATCCTTCTTCCCAACATATGTAACGTATTTCAAAGAAGACTTGAAAAAAGCAGATGGTCAATACAAACCATCTTTATTTCTACTAAAACTACTTCTGTTCTCTAGAAATAATGGGCACGTTCAGCATGCTGCAACATTACCAGAAGCCTGTCATCCCACTACAAAAACACAAAAAGTCAAAACCAGATTGGCAAGAACAAGACCTTGAGTCAAATGTCTCCTTATAAATCAGCACAGAATAATCACTCAGTCAAAAAGTAAAGGCTAAACTTTTACTTTTGGAATTAAAAAAAGAATGATGTCAGAGTATTTTTGAACTTAAAGTGATCTTAGCAGTTAGCTGTCCAGTCCAAGAGTTACAGCCTCAAATGTCTGTAAGTTGACTGATAATGGGAAGAAGTGGAAGAGCTCTATGTAGACACATCGTGTAAATGCAGAAGACTAGGGCACACTGCGGAGTGAAACCTTAGGAAAGCAGATTGTCATGGCCATGTGGGAATATGAGTTTAAAGGTATCTATGGCCCTAGGGCCATTGACTGCCTAGGCCAGGGCCAGAATCCAACAGTGATGAACCACAGACCAGGGCTCAATCCATCCAGGACCTCTGAGCAACATGAGATGCAGGGTCTATTGTAGGTAGGTATAAGATAAAGTTCTGCATCCACCTTTTCAGGATGCTGCCCTTGGGCAGAGTCAGGATGCACTGACTGTTGTGTCCTGACCTCAGCAGCTCTGGCCAGCAGCCTGTTCCTCCACTGCAGCCTGTCAGATGTGCTTTTCTTGGTACTAGGAGTTGCGTGTGTGAGAGTGGATCTTGGAAGTTTAAGAGGAAAGAAGGGGGAAGATAAACGTTTGATTAAAGCTGGCACTGCTTGGCTCCTAAGTAATGATGACACCTGTGTGTGAATCCATCTGCATATCTGCTGGCATGCATGAGAGCAAACAAGCAAGGGGGCCAGTGGATGTGCCGCTGAGCAAGCATTTGAATGTGCAAGGACAAGAAATGTGCAACTGTGTCTGAATGTAGTGGGAGAGAGGCAGAGCAGGACACAGGCAGATATAGGAGGTCAAACGAATGGTGGCAGAGATACCCCTTCCACAAAGGACTTACAAGGCTGGTCCAATGCCAGAGGAGTGACTCTCTGTCATGGCTGGGAACCACTTTTCAGCTTTTGTGCTGAATGCTATTCTTATAGATCAAAGACAGTGCATCCATCTGACCTCCTGGCTCAAAACTAACAATATTAGTGTGAGGTCCAGGTGGAAGGGGCAAAGAGAGGGAAAACCCTGAAATACTTCTTCACCAGGCTTCTATCTGAGGGCTTCAGTGTCATCTAGGAAACAGGGGAGCCCTTCTGAGCTGGTGCTAGCAACTATGTGGGCTGTTGTCTGTCTTGGTACCACCCTCCTGGATTAAAAATCCAGGCTGAAGCATTAAAGTCTTGAACCATTAAAAAAAAAATCACCTACTTTTTGGGCAGTTTGACCTTCTTGAGATCCTCCTCAGCAGCTGGGTTAACATGAGCAATGTGGCACCCCAGGGCCAAGAGGGTTCTGTGACACAACAGAAGGAGAAGACTAAGGTTAACTGCAGTGTTAGGAACAGCAGGAACCCTAATTCACATCCGAGTTGAAAACAGACAAGAGCCATTCATTTAGCCCAGGGGTCAGTAGACTTTTTCTGTAAGGGGCCACAGAGTAAATGCCTTAGGCTTTGTGAGCCATATGTCTCTGTCACAGCTACAACTCTGTGATTACAGAGCAAAGCCAGCCATAGGCAATATGAAAACCAATGAGCTTGACTCTGTTACAATAACAATCTATTTACAAAAATAGGTAGCTGGTCTGATTGTCCCATGGGCCATAATTTGTCAACTCCCGATTTAGATGATAGCAAGCATAAGATTACAGAAGAGAAATTTGTTAATTGCCCCTCTTGGAGACATTTTTCTATTTTATAAATTTGCATTACAATTATATGCCTCTTCGAATTCCATGGAACAGATAGAATTCTAATATCCAGCCCACAGGTCAGCAAATATTTACTGCATGATGCCTGTAAGGGCATGAGCTGTGCTTAAAACCATGAAGTACAAAGCCATACCCTCAAGAGGTGCCAGTGTAATTGAAGGTATCCCATGTAAGCCTGTGGGACAAGGGACCTTACGGAGCATCGTTATGCCAACAAAACCACAAAGTTAAAATGTTCTGCAGTGACAACTAGAGAACAGGGAAATACAAAGACAAGAGAACAGGTAACAAGCCCCCAAAGAATTCAAAATGGGAGATAACAATTTAGGCTAGAGAAGTTAAAGTCTAAATTAGGCCCATGGGTAGCATCACGGAGAAGCGAAAATTATTTTAAAATTGAATTTTAGTGTATCAGATCAGGTTTCCCAACGGGTTTTAGAAATGCTTCATTTTTTTTCCTTTATTTAATGTGAACTGCAGGAGGTACTTGGTCCTTTGATTCTAAGTTTCTTTTCTGCCTCTTACTTTTTCCCTGCCCCTAGCAAATAGCAAATGGTTTAAGAAATATAGTCAATAATAATGGTGGATGGTTATGCTAAATCCTCTTGTGACATGATTCATCATCATCTCCTCTAATTTATCAGAATGTGCCACGTTTTCAGGCAAGAGACATATCTTTGCAGTTTAGTTATAATGCATTAAATCATCTATTCATTGTTTGTAAAACTTCAGCTCAATTAAATACTCACTTTAAGGTTTCAGTTGACATTTGCAGGTTATAGTTCTTCTCAGTTTCTGGGAGCTTTGAAAACTCCACAAGGCAAGGGTGTTGTCTTTTATTGTCATCTCGTATCTAGGTGGTGACATAAGAAAGAATGTGATTTAAGTTTTGACCAGCTGGCACTGCATGGGAAAACAGAACAGAACATACTTTGAAACATGGCCCAGGCAATCCATATCAGGCAAGAGAAAGACAGCAACTTGCTATTCGGCAAACAGATGATCTCTCTAGTCAATGAGACACACAGTCTCCAAGTTGCCAGTGGTTTGTGCTCCGTGGATTTATTTCTAGACAGGCATCTGCATTTTGAACATACTTTCCGAAAGAAGCAGTGCTACATGTGGCAGCCATGCTCTTGTTCCTCCAAAATTCATGTAACCATAACGTTTCTGAAGAGGAACATTCTTCAGCATAGGACAGGCTACAGAATCTGGACCAGTGTTGTGCAGTAGAACCAAAAGTCAGCCACAAACGTGAAGCACATTTGTAATTTCAAATTTTCTAGTAGCCACATTAGAAAATCAAAAAGAAAAGTTGAAATTAATGTGTTTTGTTTAACCTAATAAATGCAAAATAATCATTTTAACAAGTAATCAATATAAGAAATTATTTATGAGATATTTTACTTTTTCCCCCACACTAATCTTCAAAATCTGGTGACTATTTTACACTTTTAGTACATCTCAATCCAAACTAGTCACACTTCAAGTACATGTGACTCGGGGCTTTGTATTAGACAGTACACTTCTAGACATTAAGTAATTCATTCTTTCAACAAACATTTGTTGAATGCCTGTACTACACGACAGACCCTGAGCTAGATATTAGGAGTTCAATGGTGAAGCCATCCTCATGTGAAAATATTTTATGGTAGCTATATAAATACACAAGTGTGGGAGTGCAGAGACCCTGTCAGTAACTCAGCTAGAATGTGTGTCATTTGAGAGAGTTGGCGTTATAGGAAGCTTCAGAACTCACCTATCCTTCTGCCTTCAGACATGACCTTACACAAATCATGGAACACAGTCAATTTACATTCTCTCTGAAAAATGATTTCTAATGAAAGATTCCCTATCCTCCTCTGAGTGTCCATTAATCTTAGTGACACATCTGAAAACCATATTAAACAAGTTCTGATTCAAAACAATGAATCAGCCACTTTTCACTACCCATACAGAGATGACAACTTTTTTTCTGAAGGAGAGATGTGAGTATTCTGAAGCAAGTGCTGAGAAACAGTGCTATATCCCGAATAAAATAAACCAGTATTTGGGATTAAGAAAGGGGAGACACTTCTGGTTCTGTCTGTGAAGACCTGGTCTCCTCAGTGTTCCTAACTAGTGAATGCAATGAAAACTAGGCATGCAGCAGGAAGAACAGTTCCAGGCAACAAGGCAATCCCACCCTCCACCCTAACCTGGCCCTGAGACACATACCTTGCCGAAAGTCCAGCCAAGTTCTATTTTATTCATTCCCCAAAGCTCATGGATGTTTTCAGCTAGTCTGTCTCGGATCTTTTCTAGGTGAGGTGGCAAAATAACCTAAAGGAAAAGGAGCAAGTGAAAAGAATCGATTGTTTTGAAACCTATCATAAAATCTATAGGAGCTGGGCACCCCACTTGAATTGGCACATCACCCAGGAGGAGCTGCAGTATCCGACCTCATGCTGCCTGACCCACATGCTCCCCAGCCCTCCTCCCTCTTCCTTTCTTGGCTTCCTCTCTGCTCCTTGTTGTCTCTCTGACCATTGCCTCTTAGTCTTTTCTGTAGGTGTATGTGTTGAATGTTCTTCACATGTGAATACTTGCCTCACCCTATTTCCTCTCTACATGTTCTCTCACCCAGTAGATGATCACTCCCAAGTCAGGCCATTTCTAACCATGGTCTCTTTTGAAGTTTAGACTCATGGTTCCAGCTGCCTACAGGATTTTTCCATTAAAGTGAGCTCAATATGTTACCCAAAGCTGAATTCATTATTTTTCCTTCAAAATCTTTTTTCTCCTCCTGTTTTTATTTTTGCTTTTTGTTGCATGGCCCCACTACCTCTTTAAGCCTGGAAGTCATCCTATTATCCTTCCCCTGGCACTACTCCCCCATCTAATCAGTCATGAAACCTACCATGTTCATTTCCTAAGTGTCCTTCTGAGGGATTCCCTTCTCTCCATTACTCAACCTCATTATTTTCTCCCTGGACCATTCCAAGAGCCTTATAACTGGCCTCCCCAGCTCTCCACTGATCTATCCTCTACACTGCAACCAGTGGGACAAGTCTACAACAAAAAATCATGTCAAAACACTCTCTAGTGTCACCCAAGTGTTCCTTGACACTAAGACTAGATGTATTAACCACATACACAGTGCTCTTCTTTAGTTCTCATCACTGTCTCTACAAACACATCCTTTTCAAACTTCTTGAAATTCTCCCAAAAGACCACACTGTTTCACAGTTCTGTGCCCTTGCATATGCAACCTTAACCCTTATTAATACTCCCCACCATATACATCACACACACCCTCCACCACACACCCACCTTCCTCAGCACCTGGCAAATACCTTCAACGTTTATCCTCCTGCATTTAGTTCAAATGTCATCACCTTTGAGAAGTCTCCCCTGATTACCTAAAGGGAGAGTTCCTCTGTATTTTCCTGGTGTTTTGCTCCTATCTCGCCACAGGGGTCACAAACTGGGAGCCTAAGTTTTGTTTCCTCTCAGATTTTTTATTATTATTATTTTCATGTTTATTGGTTGACAATCCCTAAGAAATGGGAGACTTCATATAAAATTCCAGATTTCTCATTTCTTTTGACAACTTAGAAGATGGCTAACACGGGACCCACACTTTTGCCTGGTGTCTGTCAGCTGGAGCTGAGAACTAACCATCCATTTCAGGAGGACCTGCATGCTCGAGTGTCTATGGCTTTTCCAGGTGCATGGTGCAAGCTGCTGGTGGATCTACTATTCTAGAGTCCAGAGGATGGTGGCCCTCTTCTCACAGCTCCACTAGGCAGTGTCCCAGTGAGGACTCTGTGTGGGGGCTTCAATCCCACATTTTCCTTCCACACCACCCTAGTAGAAGTTCTCCATGAGGACCCCACCCGTTTAGCAAACTTCTGCTTGGACATCCAGGTGTTTCCATACATCCTCTGAAATCTAGGTAGAGGTTCCCAAACCTCAATTCTTGACTTCTGTGCACTCACAGGCTCAACACCACGTGGAAGCTACCAAGGCCTGGGGCTTGCACCCTCTGAAGCCATGGCCTGAGCTGTACCTTGGCCCCTTTTAGCCATAGCTGGAGTGAAGTGGCTGGGTCACAGGGCACCAAGTTCCTAGGCTGCACAAAGCAAGGGGGCCCTGGGCCCAGCCCAGAAAATCATTTTTTCCTTCTAGGCCTCTGGGAGGGGCTACTGCAAAGGTCAATGACATGCCTTGGAGACATTTTCCCCATTGCCTTGGTGATTAACATTCGGCTCCTTGTTATATATGCAAATTTCTGCAGTGGGCTTGAATTTCTCCCAGAAAACGGGTTTTTCTTTTCTATTGCATCGTTAGGCTACAAATTTTTCAAACTTTTACGCTCTGCTTCCTCTTGAATGCTTTGCTGCTTAGAAATTTCTTCCCCCAGATACCCTAAATCATCTCTCTCAAATTCAAAGTTCCAAAATGCCGCCAGTCTCTTTGCATAGGAGGAGCGACCTTTACTACAGTTCCCAACAAGTTCCTCTATCTCCATCTGAGGCCACCTCAGACTGGACCTTATTGTCTATATAACTATCAGCACTTTGGTCAAAGCCATTCAACAAGTCTTCCCAATCAAAACTTTACCTCATTCTTTGGAACCCTTGTTGAGGCCAGCATCTTCTAGAAAACCCTATCTAACACACATGTTTCTGATTACTTAAGTCAGGAGAGGCAGCCCAGACAGGAGTCACACTCATGCTTCTACTCTCTGCCTGCTTGGGCACCAGCAGCCCTGCATCCATGGATAAGCTCCTTCAGGCCTTGGCCTTCAAGCTTCTTGTCTATGAAGGAGTCCAGAAAATGCCACAGTGGTATAAGGATTATTTTGAGCTGAAGACTTTGAAAAACAAATGATACAGGATGGGGCTTTTTCTGGACTCCTCTTATCTGCCTAAAAAAAGAGCCCCCCAAAAGAATTCAACAATTTTTTTCCCAGGGGAGATTGACTTCTACCACCAGAGAAAGGTCAGCATCACACCTAAACAGGCTCTATCACAGAACTATCGTATCTCCTATCTGTTCTCCTTAGGAATCATTTATTTTTCACCAAAGACACTTATTTTCCCAGAAGTGCCCTTCTCCCCTTCTCCTTTCCCTATTAAGATGGTATATAAGCTCCAAATTCTAACTTCCTCCCTGAGCCACATTCCTTTGTGAACTCCATACCAGGTGATTAAAATGTTTTTTTCTCTTGCTAATCTGTCCATATGAGCTTAATTCACAGGACCCCAAAAACAGAACCTAGGAGGGTAGAAGAAAAGTTTTTCCTCCCTGACATCTAGAATATACAGGACCCAGATGATCTAATTCTTAGAATCACCTCTAGCTCACAACCCCCTCTCAATTTCCTATCAACATTCTCATTCCCCATTAAGGTACTCTGTGAAGCAGGCAGAGAAATACTGAAATGATATCAAAAGTGATATAGTTTGGCTCTGTGTCCCCACCCAAATATCATCTCGAATTGTAATTCCCACATGTCGGGGGAAGGGCCTGTTGGGAAGTGATTTGATCATAGGGGCAGCCTTCCCCCCTTGCTGTCCTCATAATAGAGTTCTCATAAGATCTGATGGCTTAAAAGTGTGGCACTTCCCATTCGCTCTCTCTCTCCTGCTGCCTTATGAAGATGTGCTTGCTTCTCCTTCACCTTCCGCCATGATTTTAAGTTTCCTGAGGCCTCCCCAGCCATGCAGAACTGTGAGTCAACTAAACCTCTTTTCTTTATAAATTACCCAGTCTCAGGTAGTTCTTTATAGCAGTATGAAAATGGACTAATACATAGTCATTAGCCACAGGAGGTAAGAAGCAGACTCATGAACACATACACATGGATGAATGTAATAGGGTCATACGAATATTATGGGAAAAATGCATGCTAGAGAAAGTCTCTAGGCTAAAAGAGCTATATTGGGGAAATGATTAACCCCAAGTGCCTTAGAGGCATGGTCTCTTTTCATTTATTTTCTATAACACCTAGAATAGTGATTCAAATAGCCCTGCTGTGTAGAAAATGCTGAAAGCTCTTGCATGCCCCTTGTAATACCACGTGAATGTGTCTCTCTCAAATTACAGACCCTGGAGGGGAAAGAAAATATCCATTTATCAGCATTTCCAAAGCCCTTCACGCTATTCCATTTCTCTCCCTTTTATTTTCCAACTCTTCTCCTACTTGCTCCTCCCTCTTCCCAGAGCCCAGCCATATGAGAATACGCATTGCCACCTGTCTATACTTCTACTTTGTGTTTTTACTTCTAGGCCCTTATTTATACCATTTCTTTTATATCACCCCTGGAGACCCTCCCTCCCCATTTAAGCTTTTTAAAGGCTCTAACTGAATTCCACCCTTACCACACAGACTTCTAGAAACATTCTAGCCTAAAGGATTTCTCTAGTATTTACTGGTGCATACTGTCCATTTTGCATTTATTACATTTGGCCTTTTAAAAAAATAATACATTTGCTTCTTACATCTTTAACTTGGTTGAGAATTCCCAGACAATAAATATTTCTGTCTATCCTTCACAGAATATAACACACGTAGCAGGTGCTCAACATGTTCACTGATTGAGAAATCCTTAAAGACCCAATTGACACACATGGTGAAAATGTGAGGAGTAACAGTTGTTCACATTATACAACAATTCTGGAGCATGTATATTAAGAAAGGTTCAAAAACAAGAAAGAAAGAAGTATTTAACTCTATTGCTTCATCTATATTGGTTGCCTTCTGCGGGCAATTTGAACCTACCTGACTGGTGTCTACGGGGCATGGGATGAAAGAGGCTTGGGAGAGGAACTGGGTGGTACCCAAGAGATCTCTAATGCCATCAGCATCACGTTTATATTCTTTGACAGGCTCCAATCTCATCTTCTCTTTTGGAAGTAAGGCTTCATAGCAAGGGGCATAGCCAGAGGGAGGCAGGAACTTAAACTCTCCATGACGTCCACCCATCAGGAAACGTACTCTGTCATTTGAAGATAGCAGAAATACAGAGGTTAAAAAAAAAACAATGCAGCCCAAATAAGTGAAAATTAAAGATCAATCCCTACCTCCCACCCTCAACATAATTTTGTTGAGAAGTAAACGACTTCAGGTTAACCACAGCAAACATCATCCAGTATGTAACAAAACAGCAGAGGGGTAAGTGAGCATCAAGGCTGATCCTCAGCTGACCCATCACGGCTAAGTTCCTAAACATTTATATACATAAACCACTAGGTTTTTAGAACCAAGTTTATCTGTACTCTAATAGGTAAATAATTACTATAGATATTATTGCAGTATTGAAAAACATAATAGTGATGAGATTATTCTCTGTAAAGATCATATAAAAATTACAGTGTGATAACTTCAACTCTTCTCGAGGGAGATTATCCACACATCAGTTAAAGAAAGCATGACGTAACTATATGGAGAAAGTATTAAAATCTTATTTTAATATTCAGGGGAAAAGACTAAGTAACATCAGAGTATTAATCACAAATGGTACATGGCTGGCGAGGTTACTTAAAAATGTTACACTGTGGAGACCGCATTCCCCCGCAGCAGCCATATGGGGGCGGCTGTGAGGAGGCAGCCATGGCTGCATGGGCACAGATAGGCATCAAGAGTTTGCTCACTGGGATCCCAGTGTCTTTCTTAGTATCATCCTCCTGATAGTACCCAGTCCTGACACCCTGGCCCACCTCCTGCAGTGCTCACTGGGACTTCCCAACGAAGTGGGGAAGGACACTAAAGGTCTCACAGTAATAGCAGGCAGGCTCTGATTACCACCATGCAGAAGTCTTTCAATATTGTAATTCAGTATTCTGGCTGAAAGTCAGCCTCATATATATGGGTTAGGTTAGAGTTAGATTGGACCCTAAAGTTCCCCATGCAAAAAGAAGGTGAAAGTAAGCTATTTCAAAATGATACTTCATACGATCCCAGGTTTATAATCAGAAATAGAGCTTTCACAAGTCAACTGCAACCACATTAAATTGATGAGGAAATACAACCAGTTTTCCATAATTAAAACATGGCGAGATATGGAGCTCTGGAGGTTCAACAGTAATTGAACACTGGAAAAAAGCCAATATATATGCAGTGTTTATGTACAACATTCATTCCCCTGCCCTTCTCCATTTAACAAATCTTTACTGAGCCCATACAATTAGCACTTGCTTTTGTACTGGGGATTCAGCAATGAACAAGGTATATGGCATCCCTGGTGTCACAGAGCAGGTATTCTAGCAGACAAATAGGCGTTAATTACTGATTGGGAGACATCTGATGGGGTTTTAAAAAGGGAGATGTGAAATCACTCAAGTAAGGGGTTGGCTGCTAGAGATGGTGTCAAGGAAGGCCTCTCTGACATGCGAGCTAACTCTGAGGGGTAAGGAGAAATCAGTGAGCTCAAGATCTGGAGGAAGAGCATTTCAGGCAGAGGAACAAGCGCAAAGGCTCTGAGGTGGAGAAGACCTTGGGTGGATCAGATGAACAGAAAGGAGGGTGGCGTGGGTGAGAACACCATGAGCCCGAGTGGTAGGGCTGTATCAGGCAGGGTCTATGAGCCCCGACAAGGAGGTAGGATTTTATTCCAAATGGAAAGCTGCTGATGGGTTTTAACGTAAGGAAATATAAGATTCTCCTAGTCGCCCTATGCAGATAGATCTGGGGACCAATTGGGAGACTCTTGAAATAGTCAGAGGGAGATAATGGTGGGTTGGACGGAGGTGATCCAAGCAGCCACTTCCAGTTTTGTTGTGGAATTAGGCTTGTTCGGAATTGCTCATGGACTGAGTGTATGTGTGGAGGGGGATGAGGTAAACGGAGAAAAGTTATGATTTGGCAAAACTTTCACAACAGGATACTTTCCAGTGGGCCTCACTTCCTTTCACTGGAACGTTCTGGTAGGGCAGCCTTACAAGATATTCTCAGTGTTGGCTGCATAATTGTGATCGTGGAAATATCCTAATCGTGAAACTGGAAAATAAAGCCTCTTTAAGTAAAGAGGTGCTAAGGTTTTTTTCCTTCCCAATAAGAGCAGACACTTTATCTGAAAAGCATTTTATAAAATGCTGTTTTAAAATTAATTATAGAAATCATACTAAACCTCCCAGTTTCCTATTTTAAGGTACTCAATAATAATGATATAGAGTTAGAATCACAATTGTCCCTTGTGAATGCGCCTACATTAAGTGTTATGTAATAGGACACAATCTATGTGTATTAAGAATTTGAACAATGAAATTAAAACAAAATTGAGTCATTAGCCTGCAGTATTACTAATTTAGTGAACCTCAGGAAATAATGACTAAATCTTAAAATTATTTGTTGAGAACTTCCCAATTCAATTGCAACATAACAGATTGTGTACTGACATATGGAAACCATGGGATAAAATTGGATCTTTCTGGGCAAAGAATTAGTGTGGGAAATTTTCTGCCTCTCTCTTCTCATTGAGCATCTTTCCTGTGAGCAGCTGAATGCCTAGTAGCTTGTATAGCAAGTAAGTGTATTCCATTACTCACTAGCATATGGACTCCAAGAACAAGTAAATGATCTCTTATGAGGATTTCTAGAGGAATTTAATTATTCATGAGCTCTGTTGCTAATTGTTGAGTTTCAAAATTTCTCTTAGGTTTTAAAATCTGCTGGATAAGATAACAAATCAAGAAAAGTAGAGTTTCAGGTAGCATTTAATGAGAACAACGCTTAGTTTTTATATTCAGTTATTAAAAGGAGACTGATCATTTGGTTATAAATCTGAATCTCATCTTCTCTAATGGCCACATAAACTGTAAAATAAATTAACACAGGCAGGAATCAGTGTTTACTGCATACTGAAGCTTTGGTCTTTAAACATCATCGTGCAGTGCTTCACTGGGTAGAAGAAAAGGTCCTGGATTGCTTCAGAAGTCCTGCAGATGACATTCCCTGTGCCCTCAGCAGGCAGATTGAACAGACAGTGGTCCAGGGCACACCCACCACCTGTGGCTCCTCCCCTCACTGCCTGTGAACAAACTACCCAGAGTCCGTGAGAAGCGATCCAACAAACCGCCACAAATATTGAAGGTCCCCTTCGTAACTTGCCCTATGAGATCCAGATTGATGAGATCAAAGGTAATAACTAGGGAGATAAAATTCAGGTTTGAAGGGAACGACTGAAAGAAGGTAACAAAATACTTGAAACTCATTTTAATTATCTGAGTATATGAAAGTGGGCTCCCCTCTGTCTCAGAGTTTTGGTTGAGGTCCCACAGTTAGATATATGAATCCATAATTCAGAGGATGCTAAATATTTTCACATCCTAAAGTGAAGTGCTGAGTCAACTATGTAGTATATACTAAAAAACTGTGAAACCAGTTCTATCAGCCACAGCCTATCACACACCTCTAGACGGATAAAGGAAAGAATTCCTTTGGAGAGAACTTTTAGGGAGAAAGGGAGAAGCGTTCTCCCTTTTCGGAAGCCAAACGATAAGGGTTTCAAGAAACCACGTGGAAGCTTGACAACTGTCCTCTGGAGTTTACTGAGGGACACATTTTCCTGGTGATAGAGCTGACAGTGTGAGAAAGGGCTGCATGGAAAAGAGGTGCCCTTTCGCTCAGGGTGACGCCAAGGACTGTGCTCCCTAGAAGGCTATTTAAGGGCTCCATGAATGAGCCCACCATCTGCCATCTTAAAAAGGGACTTCCCAGAAAGGCAAATGTCTGAGTAGAGATCAGAAACCCAGGGGCTGGGGGATGTGGGAAAGGGGATCTGGAGGGAGGTTTAGGGTCAGCCAGAGGGAGCAGCCAACAGAAGTGGTAAGGTTTGTGTCAAAAGAACTGTGGTCAGAAGTTCCCAGCCTGAGGCTAAGAAAACTACAAAAGGGTCCCAGAAAAGAAAGAGGCAGCAACTGTACAACTGCTACACAAAGACTCAATGCTACCTGACAATAGCACTGACTCCATCAGACATGCCTATTCTCCAGTCATCTCTCCCTGGGTCTCAACTCTAGAGGGGTCTGCAATAGGAGCTGGCCAATCAGGGAGGGGCAGACCAATGTGGAGAAGCAGCTGCCTCATACTGCAGGCCCAAGCTGGGGAAGGGCTCAAGCTGTAAACTGAATACAAATTTTGATTTTATATTCAAATAGATAGAACTTTCGAATTACTGACAAAATTGTTCTTGTTCCTAAAAGTAGTAATAAAAGCTACAGGACCTACCCGAGAACTTCTCCAGAGCATGGAGTTACAGGGGTAGAAGAAGAAGCAATAAAGTTAAACCTACCAGTCCACTTCTCTCAGTAAATTGTTACCTGGCACTTCATGTTTATCTTTTAAATCCTTTGCCTCATTCACAAATGAGAAATGTCCAGTTGGAATGTAAATCTCCCCTCTCTACATGTTTTCCTCCCTGGCTCCTTGAGTTCCATGGAATCACCCAGCATCCCCAAAATGTTAAATTTAAAATTAAAAAGAGAATTGAAGAACTGATTTCATTACAATTAGTTCCTCTTTATCCTCAGATTTTTCTCTACATTAATGGATTTAAAAAATCAAATTCATTAATCTATTTAATCCGTTCCACCACAGCACTTGTATCATTTTCTGGGGTTCTTTCTATAACTCAGATATTTCATCAGCTCTCAAAGATTTTTTCCTTCCTAAAGTGTTTACAGTAAGCGACTCTGTCCTTAGATTCTTTCACCTCATAGATGAGCAATAGCTTCAGTAAGAGCTGCCTGGGAGTAGTGAAGTTTTGGGATGTGTAGAGGAAATTTTTATTTACTTGACTGATTTTGAAAACACAGGACAAATTATATTGAAAAATCTCTGCCAGCATTTTCAACTTCGTCTTTGAGATTTGTGCATTTTTGCTTGTTAATTTGCAGGAGAGATGGGTCTACCTACTACAAATTCCCAGATTTGAAAGATTGACCCATTAAGAAAAAAATATAGTAAAAATCATGACAAAGCTGTGCTGTGCTCAAAGGGGGTGACTAACTTTCCTTTCGTTAGGCTATCATATTATTATTCAGAGCTTGCTAGCAAACGTGTAAAATCATTTTAGTCTTGCTAGATGTCTCATTACTGTTATCTGCTATCGAATTCCTCCCAGAGAGCTGGGATAATGTTTCACAGAAGAAAAGGATACAAGCTGTGGTTAAGAGGAGAAAGAATGAGCCAGCTTTTGCTGACCTGAATTTGACTCGTAAGTCACGATTCATAATTGCATCTTTAGCCCCTATCGCTAAGACTGGAGAACAATCTGAGTTATGGACATTCCCACATTCATATTTCTTTCTGGCTAGTGTTTGATGAAAGCTCAGGGCAATCCAGCCAGTGCCCATCATGTTCTCTGAAGAAGCATATTTATCTCAGCAATAATTTCCACAGCATTGACCACAGCAAGCTGGAAATAGCTAAGCTGTTGGTTACCTGAATTTTAGCCAAGTCTGGAGAATACCAACAGAAAACAAACAGCAACCACAAATACAACATCTTTGGATATGGTTATTTTTATAAATTAGAGCTGGCAAAAGAGTTACATAAGATGATTAAATAGATTTATGGGGAGTTTAACTATAGCCATAAAATATATTCTATGATGCCTAACTCATGAATTTTCTGCAAAAAAAAATTAGCACCCAAATTTCACTATATACTATGGCTTTCTGTATAATGCTGTCTATCTGATTCATGCCACTTGTGGGGTGTATATAAGATCAACTTTTAGTAAGAGCTTCCTGGCATCTAAGTAATTCAGCCTTTTCGGTGGGCTACAAGGTACATATACCTCATCCCAAATTCTATTCTATAATGAATACGGTTGTTACACTGGGGGCCTACTGCACTAACAATACTGTCTATAAACAAACCACATTGAGAAGAAAACTATGGAGGCATATTCATTAAGAGAAAAGAGGCTATGACATTGATTTGTGGGTTTTGTCAGTAATTACTCATGCTAACTTTGACTTCACTGTGGGTAAATCTAATTGAAAAAGATTTTTGCTCTTCATGTAGCTTTGCTCTTCGATGACGGCTGGCAGGGACATCCTAATCAGGTATTATTAACAACATAGTTTGTAAGTATAAAAATTATTTTAAAAATTCAAGACAAGGATCTCAGTAAAGACCATTAAACAGGAGGAAACAGGACTGTGAAAGAGAACTCAAGTCTAACTTAGAAGCCATACGGAAGTTAAAAATAAATATGAGAAACAACTCTGAAGACTTCTATGATGGGAGAAAAAGAATCTCTTTCTAGACAGGTATAACACTTTGCATCTTGCTGGGAGAGATGCTATAAAACCAGGCAAGTGATCTACAGTATTGGGTGAAACAATAATTCCTTTTCAATTTCATTATAAAATACGTTTTTTTTTTGAGTCAGAGTCTCACTCTGTCGCCCAGGCTGGAGTGCAGTGGTGTGATCTCTGCTCACCGCAAGCTCCGCCTCCCAGGTTCACGCCATTCTCCTGCCTCAGCCTCCCAAGTAGCTGGGACTACAGGCGCCTGCCACCACGCCCAGCTAATTTTTGTATTTTTAGTGAGACGGGGTTTCATTGTGTTAGCCAGGATGGTCTCAATCTCCTGACCTCATGATCCGCCCGCCTCAGCCTCCCAAAGTGCTGAGATTACGGGCGTGAGCCACCACGCCCGACCAATACATTTCTTTTCAATAAGATACTTTAATTAACTTGGAATTCATATTGTGGTTTCTCTTTCTAGCTCTTTGTTCAACTGAACTAAAGTAGTACAGAGAAGAACTGCTGGGTTTCAGCACCAAATCATACTTTACCAGTTGATGTAAGAATAACACTTGGGTTGTAGAATACCCAATCGGTTTATTTTGATTTATAAGCAACTGGCTAGCCCCCAGTACAGGTCCTGCACTGACCCTGACCAAGGTCATCATGTGATGCACTAGAGGCATTTCAGTAAAATGTATTTCCCAACTACACAGACCCTGTGGTTCCACCTCTCTTCAAATCACAACATGCTGTGAGACCCGAAGCCAGGAATATATCAGAGCTCATAGTTTCCTGAGAGACAGGAAGCTTGAGTGACTTCAAGCCCCGCTGCACACCCCACTGGCACTGCTTTTTAGCCTTCCACCTGTTCAGCTGCTATAAGCAAAAAGCTCTCAGAGCTAAGCTGTTGGTTCTTCAAGTCAACACATCTGGACCCTTCGGTTTCTTAAATTTCCTCAGCAGTTGTGCCTCCTAAATGATTAGTCATCTCATTCTTCTTCTCTTGCAACTTTGCTTCTCCTTTATCTGTGCACTCAGAAGGCTGCATGATCTGCTGACCTAGACACCAGATCCCAGAAATGTCTTCTACATGTGGATACCTTTCAGTCAACTATTTTTTCACCTGCTAACTGCGGTTCTTGTCAAGAGGATTCCAAAAAAATCCCTCCACTACCCTCTAAAAAATCACAGACACAAAGATCCTATCTCACTGTTCTGAGGGAGACGGAAGGGATGAACTAATGATTCAGAATCATTATGCAACATTTGAGAGCAGATGTACCATTCTCTAAACACAAAATGTGGAAAAGTTCATTAGCTAGTAGACTGGAGAAGATCCCTTCTCCATAGATCTAAATTTGCCTAAGTAGTTTTTTCAGATGACTTGCTTGTGAAATAGGTGTACTCCCTTTGAAAATGAGTAAAAAACCATGAGTGGACATGGGCAAAATAAGTAAAAGTGGGAGCAGTATTAATGGTGGGTGACCAAGGCCACCAGCTACACATGCAAATGCAGTCCCGGGAACTGACTACTCAGAGTAACCTTGTTTCTTCAGGAAAGTTCCTGAGTCAAAGGGTGTATGATCCCAACACTGTTGTGTTGTATTTATATTTGTACTCATTCTCTTTATTCCTAAGGAGTGGAGTGGGGAAGATGGAAAATAGGGCTAGAAGGTCCTTTCCCTCTTCCAGAAGGCTTTTGCTCCAATCAGATTTTTCTGTGCTTACAGCGCCTCTCTTGTCAACAACACTCCCCGTTTTCCACATGCTTCTGATGGCTGTCAATGAGAATAGCTCTATGTGGTATCCTCACATATTTAAAAAGGAAGAATTGGGATGAAATATCCTCAGCACAGAAGAACTTTCAACTCTTAGAACACAGTGCCTGCAGATAGCGTAAGATTCCCTGGCTTGAATATGTGATGAGAAGATTTTCAACCTCAGTAAAGCTTTACTCTACTGGTTCTCCATTTGTTACAAGAACCTCAAACAATGCCAATATATAACTTCAATATATTATATCCATTTATATGAATATGTTTGTAAATATGCTTGTGTATATATACAAACATACACACACATCTGTCTCAAATTCCAAAGGTTGAGTACCATTCGCATAGGACAATTCTTTATTTCTAAATAGTTTATATAATTGAAACAGAACCAAAATCCTACTTTGGAAAACATATAAACATATCTTGGTTTACCAATCCACCTGAGGTGCTGAGGCCTACTGGAGTGGTTTCACCCTGAAAATCCCCTCACTTGGACCTGGATCCCTGAAATGGTTTCTTTGTGATCCCAGATCTCAGCTCCTGCTTCCCACAACTCTCCTCCTGCCATGACCCTTTCCAGGGGCTTCCATGGACACTAGTATGATTCTATGTTGACTCCAGTCTCCTGCTCAATTGATTGTGATCTCTTTAAAATACAGGGATGAAGAATGGCTGAGGAAAGTTTGGGAAAGAAGGGTTATTGTGGGGTTTTGCCTTACAGACATTAAAATGAATAACGTGGTTAAAATAATTAAAAATAGCATCCAACTGGTAGGTACGAGGAAAGAGGCAGAGAAATAGCAATAGTATATAGGAAAGCAGCATGCATAGCACAAGCCCAATTAAATGAACAATATTTAACTGTGTATATAAAAAGCCAATATGATTATCTCTAGGTGGTACTATTATGAGTTCCTCCTATTTTCTTTGATGTACATTCCTTTTGTGAAAAAGAAAAACAAAAAACAATAGGAAAAAACCCAAGTGTTAAAGTATAAATCAGAAACTGGGAGAAATATTTGAAACCAATAAAAAACAGTTTAACATCCTTAATATAAAATTATTATACATAAACATGTAAATATATTACATATACTATATAAAGTCAGTATATCCAAAATATGTAAGATATCTACCAAAAAATAAATATCAGAAAGGCTGAGAACACAAAGTTAGCAAAAATACTGTGTTGGAAAAAGCACATTAAAAGTAAGCATAAAAAATGTTTCACCACATTCGTAATAAAAAAGAAAAAATTAATACTCTAAGGTACAATTTTTCCAAATCAGCAAAGATTTAAAATAACAAATAACAGTAAAAATTAATAAGGATCCAATCAGTTGGACATTCCCATATGTTGCTTTAAATGATACTGCAAGCCCAAATCCTTTATCTGAAATCATTAGAGATGTGCTTCAGACTTTGGAATTCTTTAGAATTTTTTTTAAAAGTTACCCGTTATGTACATTAAGCAGAAACTGCAGCCAGGTGAGGGGCAGTACATCATAATCAGACACATTAATATCTCTGCAGTTAAACATATAAATATTCACAAGCCGTAGAATAAATGAAAGACTGAAAACAGCCTCATTTCTGCTGATGACAGTTTTGTCACAAAATGAGTTCAGGTTAGATTTTATTACAAAATGAGTTATGAACAAATTTATGGTTTTCAGAGCTTTTTAGATTCTAAAGTTATTGATAAGGAATTCTGAACTGTTTAGAGAATCTCAAAATCAATTTGGCCACATAATTATAAATTTAGACTTTAAAGCACACATGCATTCTGACCAAAAATGAAATTGGCATAGACTTGAACAGCAAAGTAATGGCTGTATCATGAAACAGCCAAATAAAGGGCTATTATATGGCTATAAAATCATTTTGAAGATACTCAATGACTCAGGAAAAGGCTCATTATTGTTGAATAAAAGATAATCAAGACATAAACTTCATATTCGGTGTAATACCAATTAAAAAATGATGTATATTTGTAGAAGAAAGGACTTGAAAAATATGCCAAAGTATTAATAGAGATTATAGCTAACCATTGGAATCATAGGTGATTTTTACTGTGTTGTTCATAACTATTGTCTTTGAAGTTTTTCTTATAATGAGCATGTAATACTTTTATAATTATTAATTTTCTACACAGGATTTATCCTATTAATCTTACTGTTTATCTGAGTACATAATACAACCCCTGGGGGAGGTTCTACCAGTAGAGATGGAGCAAATGACTCTAGTTGGCTCTTGCCCTTGCACCATCACTGTCCTGGGGAACTTAGTTCACAGTACTGAAGCCCTGAAGGAGACTGCTGGCTTCGCAGCTCACAGTGGTGGCGGGGAGGTGGGGTAACTGCTACTCTCCATGAAATCACAGCCATAACTTACTTGACACCTGCTGAAAAGCTCATCACAGGGAAGAAGAGCCCGTCTGTGTTGAAGTTCTCAAACATCCCCTGCACGGGCTGCCCATTGATGCGGAATGAGATGCTGGGCACCCCGAGGTCCAGGCAGCAGCTTACCACGTCATCCGATCTCAGGAGGTGCTGGTTGATGGAAGCCACAGCTCTGGGTATCCGGCCTGGTGAGGAAAGAACAGGAAGAAGGCTGTGGAACTCTGGAGGCACCTGCTAGGCTGAGAAAGGCTCAGAGGCCTCTGCGGGAGGTGGGGAGGTGTGATGGGTACTCAAGAGGTCCGGAGGTACTACTGCATTTGAAATGCAACTTTCCTTTTGTTTCCTTTTGTGTGAGATGAGCAATGAGAAATGAATTCCTAAGCTGGCGAGTGGGCAGACACCATGCCTGATTTGCGATGAGTCTCAGGGGAAATGCTCAAGCTGCTAAGAATGAGAAATAACAAAAACTTAATGTGCTCAATGAGTGTTCAGACTGTGGCCTGGTGTCTGAAGTAACAGACAGACTGCTTTTGCTGGTGTAGCTTGCTCTTCAGAAGTAGCTGGTGTGTGTGTCTGTTTAGTTGTAAGTGCCCAAAGACCTTCCTGTCTTCTACTTCCTCAAAAAGATTAGACTGCTGTAGAGTTGAATAGAGAAGCCATCAAAGAGAAGAATGGCAAGGCCATCTAGCCATTAAACTATGCTACATAGGCTGGGCACAGTGGCTCACGCCTGTAATCCCAGCACTTCCGGAGGCTGAGGCAGGTGGATCACCTGAGGTCAGGAGTTCGAGACCAGCCTGACCAACATGGAGAAACCCCGTCTCTACTAAAAATACAAAAGTAGCCGGGTGTGGTGGCGCATGCCTGTAATCCCAGCTACTCGGGAGGCTGAGGCAGGAGAATCGTTTGAACCCGGGAGGCAGAGGTTGCAGAGAGCCGAGACCGTGCCATTGCACTCCAGCCTGGGCAACAAGAGTGAAACTCCATCTCAAAAAACAAACAAACAAAAAAACTATGCTACGTAGTTTGCTTATTTGTTTTAAAGAACTTTATTATTTCGGATAAGCAGGAAAACACATTGCCAGTTATACTCTGAATTGATTAAAAAACTTCTTCACATCTCTTTCATTAGATGATTTATTATTTCCTGACTTAAAGTAGTGAGGAAAATCACCTCTCTGCTTTCCTATATCATCTTATTCTGGAAATTCTAAAAGTAAATATTAATAATTATAACCACCTACCCCTCCCCTCTCAGGTTTACATTTCTATTAGAAAGAGAGCAACAAAAGAGGAGTTAGGTTTTAAAATAGAGCTTCCAGCAAAAGATAAAAAGATATCTTGTTTCTTGATTACAGAAATAATATGTATTCATTATAAATGGTCACCATTTATACAGGAAAGTATACAAAAAGGCTGGGGAGCTCATGCCTATAATCCCAGCACTTTGGGTGGCCAAGGCAGGCAGATCGCTTGAGCTCAGGAGTTTGAGACCAGCCTGGCCAACATGGTGAAACTCTGTCTCTACTAAAGATACAAAAATTAGCTGGGCGTGATGACGTGCACCTGTAGTCCCAGCTACTTAGGGGGCTGAGGTGGAAAGATAGCTTGAACCCAAGAGGTGGAGGCTGAGGTGAGCTGAGATCATGCCACTGCGCTCCAGCCTGGGCGACAGAATGAGACCCTGTCTCAAATAAATACAAAAGAAAAAATATAACTCCATAAAAATTCTTCCAAATATATATGTACACACTCTATTTTGATGGAGTTATATATATTTTATGGAGTTATACACATTTTTTTTTCTTTTTGGAGACAGAGTCTCACTCTGTCGCCCAGGCTGGAGTGCAGTGGCACAATCTGGGCTCAATGCAAGCTCCACCTCCTGGGTTCACGCCAGGAGGCTGCCTCAGCCTCCCAAGTAGCTGGGACTACAGGTGCCCGCCACCACGCCCGCCTAACTTTTTGTATTTTTAGTAGAGATGGGGTTTCACCGTGTTAGCCAGGATGGTCTCGATCTCCTGACCTCGTGATCTGCCTGCCTTGGCTTCCCAAAGTGCTAGGATTACAGGCGTGAGCCACCGCGCCCAGCCCCACACACACACTTTTTATTCAAACTGGGGTATAGTAGGTTTTTGTAGCTTGTTCTACTAATTATATCTCAAACATTTTATTGTATAATACAATATTCATTAGAAATTTAATTTTAATGGGTGTATAATATGCTATGAAAAGGTAATTTAAAAAAATCCCCACCTGATGGATATGAGTTATTTACAAATTCTGTACATGTATCTTTGCTATAGAATATTTATAATCCCAGTTTAGAACTATTTAATGTTTTCTGTGCTTACTGCTAGTCTAGTTCAGGTTGAGCATCCTTAATCTAAAAATCCAAAATGCGAAATGCTCTAGAATCTGAAACATTTTGAGCACTGACATGATGGCACAAGTGGGGAACTTCATACTCAACCTCATGTGATGGGTCACCATCAAAAAAGTCAAAATTTTGTTTCATGCACAAAATTATTAAAAATTTTGTAAAAAATTACCTTCAGGCTTTGTATTTATGAAACATAAAGGAATTTTGTGTTTAGAGTTGAGTCCCATTTCCAAGGTATCTTATTATGCATATGCAAATATTCCCAAACCCAAAAAATCTAAAACCTGAAACACTTTTGGTCCTAAGAACTTCGAATAAGGGATACTCAACCTATAACAGATTCTAAACTAAGTGGTGAATTTTTAAATGGTAAAATCACTGTGCTCTTTTTAATTAATAAAAAAGATTAGGTAGCTCCCTCTAATTAATTTGGGTAATTGACAAAGCCATATTGCATTCCCTCCCACTCTTCCACAGGCAGTAATGAGGCTCTCCTATGTGCCAGATACTACACCTGGGACTGGGGATCAAAGACAGAAGACCCAACTCGTGCTCTTAAGAAGCCCATAGTCTGCTGGGAAATGGACATTTAAATACAAAATAATACGATAAATAATGGAATGAAGGTACGTATGTGTTGCCTTCTAGAGGGAGAGGAAGATGCCTGGGAATCTGTCTGGGAGCATGGGACAAGTTGAGACTTGGAAAATATAAAGGTCTCTAGAGAAATGAAAGGAAAGAGCAAGAGGAGTGTCTAACATAGTTGCAGAATGGCTGGAGTTTGGTAAGGCTGGAAGCTGAGGGTTAATGAAGGCTGGATGAGGGAGATATGGTGGGGCAATAAAGCTGGACAGGAGCATCCAGCTTGGACCACCTGCACAGCAAGAGTGCTGCTACACATAATGTACTCAATGCATATTGGCAAATAGTCTGGAGTGGCCTTAGACTCTGTTTTTATAACTTTAATACCTTGCTTCACCACTGAGAAAGAGGAACAACTTCCTCATTGAAGCACCTATAGGTAAAATTATTTAAAAAGAAAACAAAACTGAACCAAAGTTGAAGAGTGTGTAGGTTTGACATCTTTCACATTTCTCCATTTGAGGACACTGAGTACTCTTAGCTCACTGTATGGAGTTTAGATACCCAAGGTCCCAGGATCTTTTCTTCCTCCTGTTCAAGTCCTTGCTATGAAAAAAATCTATATATTAAAATTCAGCAAAGCTTGCAGTAATTGTCTCACTTTTAAGATTTATTTTACCATTAAAAACAATTTTTTTTCATTAGTTTAACTTCTGGAAAATATCACTGTAGTTACTTCAACTTTTTTTTGAGACAGAGTTTTACTCTGTCACCCAGGCTGGAGTACAATGGCACGATCTCGGCTCACTGCAACCTCTGCCTCCTGGGTTCAAGTGATCCTTTCACTGCAGCCCCCAAGTAACTGGGACTACAGGCGCACGCCACTGCCCAGATAATTTTTGTATTTTCAGTAGAGATAGGATTTCACCCCGTTGGCTAGGCTGGTCTTGAACTCCTGGCTTCAACTGATCCTCCCACCTCGGCCTCCCAAAGTGCTGGGATTACAGGTTTTCACCTCGTTGGCTAGGCTGGTCTTGAACTCCTGGCCTCAACTGATCCTCCCATCTCGGCCTCCCGAAGTGCTGGGATTACAGGTTTGAGCTACCACACCCAGCCTACTTGAACAAATTCTAAGAAATATTTGTGAACTGAGGAAGACCAGGAAATAATTGAAATGCTACACTGGACAATTGTCTTTAAAAGTATTCAGATCCTTGCTGGATAAAAATACAAATTCCAAGGTTCTTTAATGTTCTAAGAATCATACAAACTGGGACAAAACTGCCAAAGTTGAATCGTGACTCCAGTGTCCTCTCTCCCGTCCTCTGAGGGTTCACTGTTGGCTTCTATACTGGCCTGAGGCTCGGCCACTGAAGACAAAGAGCAGCTTTCATGGGGGATGCTCTTCATCTGCAGCAGGGCTTTCATACCAACAGGAGCTGAGCTCTGAACTTTATTTAGCCATAGCTGCCATATGCCCTCCAGAGGAAATATGGCTGGGAGAATTTCCCCCGTCTGGCTTATTCTTTCCATTGAAAATAACCACCAGGAGGAGCAATTATGCCCTCGTGGTGAAAGACACTGTCTTTTCCCACCTTTTCTCTAAGAGACTGGGCTCAACGTAGACGTTTCCTTTGGAACATTTGCTAAGAAAAGTTATAAGCAAATTGAATCCATAGGCTGGGCCTATTTTTAAAGCTTGTACAGTAGAGAACAGAGTTGGGACTAATATTATCTAGAAATGAAAGGGTAACTGTTGATAATCACTGGATATGAAGGATATACTTAGCAAGTGCTTAGAGCAATGTCCTGGGAAGACTATTTGGATAAGAGAGCCCATCTCATATCATATTCACACTGTAAAAGGTCATCTGACGACGTACACCTCACTTTAAAATGTGAGTAGTATGAAGAGTTTGAAATAGGAAAATGATGGAATGGTGGCATTGCTTTTGCATAGTGTGTGTTATAAATCTCCTCACATGCAGAGAAAGTAATCTCCACCCCTGTGAGGGCTTTCATGGCTTAATAATCATTTAGGAAGGGTCTTGTATTCCACATTTAGACAAGATGCAAATCCTTTTGACTGAGCTGCAGTGAGATAGCAAAGGGAGGTTGGAGGGGCCTTGGAATCACACAGGACTGAGTTCAAATCCCAAGCCCTTACCTGCTGCATGAACCAGGACCTATGATTTTACTAGAGGCTCAACTTCCCCATCTGTAAAATGGGCACAGTGGTACCCACAGGGATGCTATAAAGAGAGTTATTTGTAAGGTACCATTATTATCCTTTTCACTTTAATGAAGTAACTAAATGATGTCCTGTGTACCACTTAAGAGGCAGTTTATCGTAGTGGTCAAGGGGTTTCTGGAACCAGACTGCCTGGGCTCTAGTTCTGGCTCTGTCACTTAATGTGTGACCTTGGGCAAGTAACTTACCTTTGTGGACTCAAGTTACCTAATCTGTCAAACAGGAATAACGTCTACCTCATAAGACTGCTATGAGTTTTGAATCAATTAATCTATATAGAGCAATAGAAGAGCGCCTCGCACACTGTAACCCACAGCAAGTGCTATTTGTTTGTGTTTTTTTCAACTCCAGGAACCTTAATTATTAGGCTAACAGTAGAAAAGTTTGCCGGGACACTGTAGGAATATTATACCTTTTATAATATTAGAAAAAAATAACAATATGGGAAATTATAGCATTGAGGGCTGAATCCAAAAAGTGATTTAAAATCTACTTTCTTTATTCAAAGACAGTACTGAAAAACATGCACATTTTAAAGTATGTTTAATGTATTTGACCCTTTTAGAACAACCAGCAGAAATGTGACACTATGGAATGAAAAATCAAACTTGTTTCAGAGAGCTTTTCTAAGAGCAGCCTCAAGTGCTTTTTATGATATTAGGAACTCTGAATAACTCTAGAGACCATCCACTGCAAGAGGCCAGTGGTTCTTATCTCTGCCAGTCTCAAGAGGAAAAACCGTCCCCTGGTTTGGAGGCTCAGGCCCACCTGAAGTGCCCAGGAAGCTTGGAAAGGCCATTCCAAACCCGATAATATGATTTTTTTTAAAGGCCACTTAATTAGATGCTGCATATCTTCAATTAACCTCAGGGTGTATTATTACAGAATTTAGTCCCCTCTGATGAGTAACAAGGCAACTGGAAACAGCGATGCTCAGCACTTGCACAGGTCCAGGCACTGCAGAGTTTGGCATTATAACACAAGCACAAATATTTAGCCATTTGGAATGACAGGGGATCCAAAGACAGAAAAGCGCTGCTCTTCTGCAGCTACTCCTCGGATCTCGTCCACATAGGACTGGGGTTGGAAAGGTCTGAGTCACAGTGGGCTGTGTTTTATAAACAAATACCCTGGAACTCATCTTAGTTGGGAGACAGGTGAAGTCCCCTTGTGCAGATCTGACTGCAGAGGTAAATTATCTTGAGGAGTCAGTAGTCTTAATAAATCAGGAAACACAATTTTACTCCATTCATTCGCTTCCGTACTACTCATCTCTTGGGATGGTCAATTCTTTTGCTTATTTCAATTCTGAGGAGGAAAAAGTGGTTAAAGGGAAGGGGAGATATGATTCCTCCTATGAAACTTCCCCCAGCCAGTAACATACTGTGTAGGCTGCTCTGAGCAGAATTCACTCCCAACTGCTATCCTGAAAGCCCCATTGAGTCTCCATCCAGAGAGGGAAAGTGAGACCATCACGAAAAAGAGCCATTCCTCCAAAGAGAAGATCACAGTGTCTGAGTTGACCCTGGACTCTGTAGGGAGGGTTAGACAGAGTTGAGGAGGCAGATGTTCCCACAGCTGATGCCTGAAAATGACTTCCCAGGCTTCCATGGCTAAAAAGGCCTATTAAGGCTGCTTCTCCCCTACACAGAGAAAAAGCTCATTCATACTTCCAGGATGTCACTTTGAGAATTCTTTTCTCATTCAGCATGGAATGGGGGTTCTTTATTCCCTTAGATATTCCTGGGGTAGCCCTAACTGGGCTATTCTCATGGTCTTGAGTGAAGTACCAAGGACTCTGGATTTGGTCTTTATAACTGCAGTGCAATTCATAGATGACGATGGAAGGTAGCTCATATTTACTGTCTATCTAATGTGTGTCAGGGACTTCATATTTCTTATTTAAATTTCATAAGAATCTTATAGTATCCTCATTTTATCAGAGGAAAACTGAGTCTCTGAGAGGTTAATTTGTCCAATATAAAAAAAAGAAACATTAAGTGGCAGAGCTAGGACTCAAACCCAGGCGTAACTCCAAAGCTACGCTGTTTGTTCTTGACTTTCCATGGACAAAGTGTTAGAGGCACTGTAATTCTTTCCAACTACTGCAAAATCTATTGTACTTTAATAAGTATGTTAAAGACATACTTCAGTATGTTCAAGGCAGTGGCTTAATTTATGCACACAAATAACTTTAAAGGTAATGACCTGGGCATTTAAATCTCAAATAAAAGGAGAATAATTTATCACGACCACTTTCTAATATATCCCCCTATCTACCCACCATTCTCTCCTGTAGTAAGTTGGAGTGTTATTTCTGTTTCATTTCTTCATCAATTACCTTTTCATAAGATAGTCTGAAATTCATGCCTGTCCTGGTGGGGGACATCAACAGAAACTTTATTTCTTCAGCTGAAGAAATATTCCTGACATATTCCAATCCCTTCTGCAAGATATATGTTCCCTGTGTGCTCGTTGGAGAAGTCAGAATGATGCCCAGACCCAGGAAAGCTTTGGGTTTTGGTGAGAATGAAACGTATAAAACTTGGAGACACTGGTTTCTCCATGTCTCATCAGATGCTGGAGACTGAGGGATGAAATCCCTGGAGTGCACCTACATGCCAATATACCATCAAGTGCAGGCCATTTCAGAGAGCCACAATCAGTTTTTGAAAAGCTGAGTCACCAGCCTTCTTCCCACTTCTCCAATTACAGGAGCCACTGCTAGTGATGTTCGGCATGAGCCTGGAGCACCCAGCTTCCTTGCCTTCAGAGGAGACAGGAGGGATGAGGGAGAGGATGGGGAACTGTACACTCCTGGAATGATACACAATTAGACAGGATGTTCAGGTCCTGAAATGCACAGAGTAGCCCTCTATGGATGCACCATGAATGGGTTCCATGCCTCCTGACTCACTGATGTATTCATTCCTCAAATTTCTACAAAGGGATACAGGAATACACTAAGTGCCCCATGCAGTGCTGTAAAGTCAGAAAAAGACTAAATTTTTTTCCTTTGAGAATGATTAGTTTCTCTTCGAAACAAGGGTCCAATTTGCTTCACCCCAGGGTCTAGGTATGCTTCATACTTCCTTAGCCAATCTTCATGCAGAGCCCTCTCAGGTGTAGCTGGGCTCCAGAGAACATTCTTGGGCTATGGTGGCGAGTTGGTGGGAGATAGGCAGCAGTCAGCAGGAGTGTGAAACAATTTTTACAAGTCAGTCTTGTTAATTCCTTCACAGACTTAATCCTACCACACTCAGGAGCCGCAAAGGTGCATGAGCATAAGGATTCTTTCTTCTCAGATCATTTCTTCAGAGACAGTTTCCTGTGAACCTTATGATATCTGATGATAACCTAAGCTTAAGGTCACTACTTCATAGCCACAGACTCAGTGGCTCCATGATAACACTATGAGAACAAAGGGAAGCTCCACGTTCCATGAAGAATTAGGGAAGGTTAAGTTGGGAGGATGAGAGCACAAGATAAGACTTTCCCTTCACATGACCCCATCATCCTGCCATTTTGAATCCACTTATGTCAGGACCACATTGTCCTCTGGGACACACAGAACATGAACGAAGGCTTTTTTTCATTCTTCCCCCATGGCAGTGATCCAGGATAAATAAGTATACAAATAAATGTTTACAGCATTCCTAAAAGTTTTAAAGTGTTGAAGCTGAATGCAACATGGCTCCTAAAATAACAACAACAAAAAAATCCATATGGACCAACTGAAAATGAAGACCAATTAAAAGAAGCATGTCATTGGGACCTGAGCTGACTTCATCATTGGCATGAGGCAATTAGGTTGTAACTAGAAAGCTAAGGGAAGGAAGAAAATGCGATAAGTTATGTAGCTACCAGTTACAGAAGAAAATATACAGGTTTGTCCTGTAGAGGTAAACTTTTCCTTTGTACTGGATTTGAGGAAGAATGTGTGTCATGGTTACTTATGTAACGGGCACACGGCACAATGCTTACGTAAGGGATTTCTATAAGGGACGCGACGTCTCCAATTGCAGTTTTGCAAAAGATACAGAAAATACACGCTTTGGACAACAGACAGGAGAGGTAGGGCTCTTCTTCTTGATGAAAGCCTGAGAGTTAATCTCGCGTTTTTCACCCAGGCAGAAGTCAAGACATTCCTCCACAGGCACGGGCCATGGACATGCTTGGGAAAAGCATCAATTATTTATCTAAAAAAAGGAAGCCCTGAATTCGTTTAAAAAGGTTAGCACCTATTGTGTGTTAGGCATGGATCCAGACATTTTATAAATTGTATTATGAAGCAACAGGCTGTGTTGACAAGATTATGGACTTGTAGTCAGGTCTGGATCCTTCCTAGTGTGACTTTGAATAAATTACTGAACCATCTTTATGCTTCTGTTTACACGTTTGTCACATGAGGTCAATATTTTCTACCTTAAGGGCTCCCTGTGAGGATAAAATAAGAGAAAAATGAGAAAGTATGTAACTCACTGCTCAGTGAATAAATGCTGAGTCTCTGTTCATATAATCCTAACGATTCCGTACAATAAGGCTCATACAGATACAATGAGCTTGAGAGAAGTGATCTGCACTAGACCATGTAGCTAGGAACTGTCTGAGTAATGGTATAAATGAGTCTTATTTTAATCTGATACTCTTTTCCACCTAACCGTTTAATTAGTTGAGACTCTTGAGTCTGTATCATTTCAAATGGAAGTGGTCATTTCAGCTTGAATAATTTGAGCCTCCATCATTTCCAGTGAGATTATGAGCCAAAGCTTTAGCAAGGTACTCACCTGACCAAAGGTGAAGTCCATCAAAGCCATAGGAGTACAGGTCGTCACCAACACCATTGCCTCCCCATCCTTCTCCACCTCCTGGGTATGGGGCATAGCCTGAAGAAGAGGCCCAGCCCACCCGCAGATGTGTGGGCTCTGCTGTTAGGAAGGGGTCCACCTGGTCGATAATCAGCTCGAAGTACCACTTCTTGTACTGGGCTGAGCCCTCCGCGACTCCCAGGAAGATGTTTGGCCGGATACTGAAAGTAAACATGGGCAAGTGGCATCTACACACCCTTAAAAGCTGAGAAAGCAAGTTGAACCAGACCATAGGAGGCAACGGCCCATTTACACGTAGGACAAGAGCAATGCTGTGTATTTCATATTGCTCAAAAGATGGGAGGGATCTCTAAAAGCCAGGAGTCTGGGATCAGCCTGGGTAACAAAGAGAGACCCTGTTTCTACAAAAATTAGCTGGGTATGGTGGTGCACACCTATAGTCCAAGCTACTTGCGAGGGTGAGGTTGGAGAACTGCTTGAGCCTAGCAGTTCAAGGCTGCAGTGAGCCATGATTATGCCACCGCACTCCAGCCTGGGCAGCAGAGTGAGACCTTGTCTCCAAAAAAAAAAAAAAAAAAAAAAAAAAAAAGACTAGAAAAAGCTTAGGACCCTCAACACTTGATCAAGTTCTTAGTGTGATGCAAGAGGACAACATTTTCATTACAAAACATAAAGGATGTTTCTTTTAATATTCCATTCAAGGCAACCAACGTTTACTGAGTGCCAACCATGGGCAACGATGCTGAAATGTTATACAGATTTGTAAGATTACAAACCTTTGTTTTTTAAGTTAAAAAAAATTTACTTGAGTTCCATTTTTTGGTCAATTGGTATAAGCACCCTTATTTTCAGTATAGCAGCTTTGTTACCGAAGCATTATTAATAACACTGGTCTCTTAAAACCATTAAGAAGTCATTACTAGGCAACCTCATTAAGGGAAAGAGGTTTTAATGTATCCAGCAAAGTGGTTAAAAGCTTAAGATACACCACTTAGAGTTTTTATGTTAGGAATCATACTTTTAGAGACGAACTGTTCTTGGGCTGGAGCTATGCCCTATTTTGGGTAGGCAAAGAAAAACCAGGCTGGCACCATGAAGAAAGTAAGTCTGTGTGACAGCTCAGGTCTTTGGGCCACTCTGCACTTCAGAGGGAAGATTCTATTCTTGCCATTGTGGATTAGTGTGTAGGCCTAGGTAGAAAGTGGCTACAAAACCGCAGACCTGCCTAGTCCCAGTCCAGTGAGTTCACATGACTCACGTGCAGCCACATGCATGGACTAGCAAGCTAGGGGTCCTGCATGGGACCCTGCTCTTCACCCTGATCCTCACAGACAGCAGTCAGATACATGGCCATGAGCCAGAGGATGCAAGAAGCCACAGTCTCACTTGGGACATCCATTCTATGAAAAGATTACAGAAAAAAAGTTGGTATATAAAAATAAATATGAATATATTATGAAGTTATAAGAGTTGCATTACTGTTTAAAAGAAAACACGGTAGGCCACCTCAGGTCAAATTCTTTAGCACTCAGATGCTACACATACTCTATCCTCAGCTACTTAAACAGAAAAGCTTGAGGAATTCTGCTAAAGGTGTTGGAGGCCCTAGTCATAGGAAATGCACATTTGCTTGGTCTTGTCTTATGTACTTGTATCACCATGGAAACAATGGGTGGGCAACTTTGGAGTTCAGATGAGCCCTCTTTTCCTGCTTGGGGACAAGACAGGCAGAACTATGCTTGGCATTTGGAATGGTGGTGGTGGCCTTACCTGGTTACATCGTTAATCAGTCGTGTCTGCAGGAGTAGGTTTCTCCGGGGCAGCAAGTTGTCACAGATCAGATTCTGGTTGGCTCTCACTGCAACCCCATTGCAGAGACAGAGGGAGCACAGGATATCCAGAACCTGCAGCAGGACACACCCACCAAACCTTAGGACCACCAGGAGGGCACAGCAGGCAGGACCACCACAATGCATGAGGGAAGGAGTCCATAAAGGGTGGGGGCTAGGTGACGGGTAGAGAGCCAGCTCAGAGCCAAGGAAGCTTTGCCTCTTACCCAGAAGGAGCGAGTGATGCCTCAGAGCCTACTGCTTCTTGGGAAAATGAGTCTGGACTTCTTTCTAGCCCCTCTGTTGTAGTCTTATGCCCCTTCCCTCCAAACGATGCAAACCATCGGTGGCCATTGCTCTATTACAGTAAGTAAGAGGCTGTGCTCTGAAGACAGACTGTCTAAGACAATATCCTAGCTAGGCCAGGACTAAGGTGTGGCGAGGCATCTAGGGCCCAAAATCCAGGCCCTGCTCACTGTCTGAGCTCTGAAAACACAGAGCAGAAGGATAAAAGACCCTCTGTGGACTTCAAACTCAAGCAGCACACTCTCACCCAGCCCTGATGGTGCTTGGCACTGAGTATTAGCGGAGGTCTTAACAAAATTTTAAGGCCTTAAATAAAATATTACAGGTCTTAATAAAAAGGCACGTAAGATTCCCATTTGGCTAAGGTCTTGCACGTAGCAAGCTTGGGAATCTCCTGTAGGTGGGGTGATGGTAGGGCAGACTCCTGTTCTTCGGTCTTTTGCTGTGGTATCATCAAAACTCATGAAGATACCCTTTAATTTCTGGAGATTGGTATTCTAAATATTTTACCCGCTCTCCTTCTCCCATCTAGAAGGAGAACAAACTTTCAAGATCCCAGGTGGCCCATGAATCTAAGACATTAAACTGCTTTTGCCCCTTATTCCCACTTCCTAGGCAGCTGCAAAACAGTCTCTGTCTGCCTTGTCCTGCACGCTCACCTCTCCTCTGTCCTCTCCTTGCACTGTATCCTCTTTCATTCAGATTTTCTTTGTTCCTATCATGGCAAAGCGAACTGTGCCGGGCCAGTCAGGCTCTCTTCCTCCTGCTCTCCTTCACAGAGAGGAATGCGCAAACAGCAGTCGACAAATAACAGCCACGATATGGCAGGTTGCGCCAACAGAGAGGCAGGCAGCCTCATTTCAGTCTTTCAAAGTGGCCACTGAAGACTCAATGCTTAGTGGGGTTTGATAGCTTCAAGGTGTTCATGGCATTTGTATCCATAATTCTCACAAACCAATTTTCTACTTGACTCCCTGAATGACAGTTTTGTTCCAGATAAATACAAAGCACATTTACGGGACAAGCAGAAAAGAATCCCAAATGCAGTTTTATGGGGGACTCTTACCATTAGCACTCTATGAAAGACATCAACTGTGGAAACTTGAAATCCAGAGGCTAATTTCTCACCCTAAGAAAAGAGCCATAGATGGCCAGGAAATGAAATACTTTTCAGTCGGCCTATTACACATTTCATCTGTTTTGCCTTGGAGTGATGGCTGTGGGAGACTTGCTGTCACAGCCAGAGGGAAAGCAGGGCTTAATCCACATACAGTAGGAACAGCAAAGAGAAAAAGGCTCTGTAAAAAGCACACAGCCTAACAGAGCAGTGCATCATCTATAAATAAATGATGCTACTTAAAGAATCAGAGTTGACATTGTTTAGGTTTTGCTTTAGGAGACACTCCTTCAGGTAAAACTGGGGAATGGAGATAAACTTCCTTTTCTAAAATAGTTCAAATGGGTTTGTGAAAGGAAAATACCTTGGGCCCCCAAAATCACTAAGGAAAACTCAAGCTGGAAACTGCTTAGGACAAACCTGCCTCCCGTTCTATTCAGTCACTCCTCTGCTCACTGAGATAGATGCATATCTGATTTGCCTCCTTTGGAAAGGCTAATCAGAAACTCAGAAGAATGTAACCATTTGTATATCACCTATCTGTAACCTGGAAGTTCCCTGTCCGCTTCCAGTCTTCCTGTTTTGGCTTCAAGTTATCCTGCCTTTCCAGACTGAACCAGTGTACTTCTTATATATATTGAGTGATGTCTCCCTAAATGTCTAAAACCAAGCTGTGCTCAGACCACCTTAGGCACGTGTCGTCAGGATTTAATGAGGCTGTGTCACGAGCGTGTCCTCAACCTTGGCAAAATAAACTTTCTAAATTAACTAAGACCTGTCTCAGATTTTCTGGGTTCACATTTTGGTAACCACAGGGGGGATCCTGAGTGGAGGTGCCCCTGACCTTTGACAAATCTCCTATCGGTGCTTGGTACCAGCATGAGCTAACTTATGGCTTAAACCAATAGGACAATTTGCTGAGGTCTGAGAGTACTCCCTCCAGAGAATCCCTAATCTCCCAAAACTTCAGGTTGAGATCTAAAGTCTGTTTTGCTGTACAACTCCTTTTTTTTTTGGAGACGGAGTCTCGCTCTGTCTCCCAGGCTGGAGTTCGGTGGCTCGATCTCTGCTCACTGTAAGCTCTGTCTCCTGGGTTCCCGCCATTCTCCTGCCTCAGTCTCCCAAGTAGCTGGGACTACAGGCACCTGCCACCACGCCTGGCTAATTTTTTTGTATTTTTTAGTAGAGACAGGGTTTCACCGTGTTAGCCAGGATGGTCTCGATCTCCTGACCTTGTGATCCACCCGCCTCAGCCTCCCAAAGTGCTGGGATTACAGGCGTGAGCCACTGCACCCAGCCAACTCCTATTTTTTTTTTTAGTTTTACTTGCTTCCAACAGGAAGGCAAGTTTTCCTGCTTCCATGATGATGGAAGGCAGGTAACTCCTTTATGGAGTTTGAGCTTGCTTCCAACAGGGAAGATGAGTTTTTTTTTTTTGTCCTGCTTCTAGGCTGGCAGACAGCAGTCTATAGCCTAAGACCCATCACTAGGTAAGAAACTGGTTTGGGATTCTGTCTTGCAAATTCCTTTTAAACGACTAAAGTTAGCATTTAACAACCAGCTGGTATTAATTTCTGCTTACACTTAGAGTGCTCAGAAATCGTACAATTTGTGTGATCGTTGTTAGTTTAGCAGCATTTGTCCTAGCAGAAATACGGTAATAAGATTTAAAAAAAAACTTTTTTAAAGGAGCTCAATGGTTAAAAGTCAGCTTAGTTAAAAGGCTAACATCCAAGTGTGCGTGTTTGTATTTGAAAGGTCTTCATGTTTTTGGTTTTTTGTTTGTTTTTCTCTCCTAAGGCCTTGTCTTTTTTTTTTTTTTTTGAGCAATTTTTTTTTCTTCTCAGTTAACTGAATTCCATTTTCATCTGATTTTTTTTTTTTTGTAATTAAAATAGTTATTGCAGCAGAGGCTACTCTTGGGTTTTTAAGGAAGGTGTAGTTTAATTTTATGTTTAATTTGGCTCAAGAAAAATAACAGTGTCTCCCTCTAGCACCACCAGACTTTTTCTCTCTGTACTTTATGATGTAAATTTTGCTATTTGATTTTCACTTGAGTTGTTTCCCTTAATGTGCAAATTTAAGGCTATTTAGCTGACAATTGCCTAGGGTTGTGAAACAGGTTATCAAGAATCTGAAAGTCTAAGACAGAAAAAAAAAAAGTGGGGGAGGAGTCTTTATAAATCTATAAAATGTACTTCCATTGGCACGCCTCATAAGTTTTTATATGTATTTTTTTGTGTGTACAGAATGTTTTACTACTAACAATATATAAAAGAGCTCTAAATAATTGGCTTAAAAAATAAAAGCTCTTAAACTATATACTAAATAAGACTAAATAAATGCTTTTTAAAGTTCCTGTTTAGTCCTTATTTTAAAGTTCCTATTTAAAGACTAAATAAAATGCTTTTTAAAGTTCCTGTAACTTAAGTAAAATCTTTTTTTTTTTTTTGAGACAGAGTCTCACACTGTTGCACTGTCGCCCAGGCTGGAGTACAGTGGTGCAATCTTGGCTCACTGCAACCTCCGCCTCCCGGGTTCAAGCGGTTCTCCTGCCTCAGCCTCCTGAGTAGCTGGGAATACAGGCGCCCACAACCCAGCTAATTTTTTGTATTTTTAGTAGAGACAGGGTTTCACTATGTTGACCAGGCTGGTTTCGAACTCCTGACCTCGTAATCTGCCCACCTCAGCCTCCCAAGGTGCTGGGATTACAGGCGTGAGCTACTGCGCCTGGCCAGTGAAATCTTTAATAAATAAGCTAGCTTTAAAATTACTGGTAAACTACTATTATAAATGCCTTAAGTATTGCCCAGCATACATTTTTGTTTGCATTTATTCATCAAGCAATTTCATACTTATCCCTGCCAAAATACTGTAAGGTGTCAAAATTTGGCATAGGGGTTACAAAACTACAAGCCCAGCCCAAAACAGAATAATCTTTGCTTTTGTAATTTGTAATAAATAAGACATTGATAAGGGTTTAATGATAATAGTTGTATCTTGAATTTAGTAAGATTACCGTAACTTCTAATCCGGTGGCTTTAGGCAGTCTAGTCCACAGGCAATAAGGAGGTTTGTTTTGGGAAAGAACTGTTATTGTCTATTTCAAAGCTAAACTACAAACTATGTTCCTCTCAAAGTTAGTTCGGCCTATGCCCAGGAATGAACAAGGACAGCTTGCAGGTTAAGAGGGAGGGGTGGGGGAAGAGAAGGATAGGGACAGATTTGTTTAATGATACAAAATTACAGCTAGATGGGAGGAATAAGTTCTAGTGTTCTATAGCAAAGAGATTATGGTTTTTGCCATTGAAAGGAATGGCAAACTGCAATTACTTTTGCACCAATCTAATAGTTAACAATAATATATTATATGGTTTCAAATAGGAGGATATTGACTATTCCCCACACAAAGAAATGATAAATGTTTGAGATGGTGGACATGCTAATTACCCTGATCTGATTACCATGTATATTATATGTATCACAACATCACTATGTACCCCATGAACATGTACAAGTATTATTCATCCACTTAAAATAAATAAATAAAAAGAAGTCAGAAATCCCCCCCCCCCAAAAAAAGAACAATATTGAGTTGGTCAGATCAAATCTCTTTTCAGTGTCTCAGTTATAATTTTGCAACGGCAGTTTTATAACTTTAAATAATGACTGTCACAGTTTTCGTGAATAATCTAGGTAAACAAAACAATTAGGTAAATGTAATGGCACAAATATTTGTAGACAAACTGGTCATAATTTAGAATATAAAGCTATATTAAATCAAATAATAGATATTTCACTATTTGGGTATTTTCCAATAAATACATATTGTAGGAAAACATTATTGTTAAAGAAAAAAAAAGTGTGTCCTTAAAAAAAAGTGAACAAGTTTTGTCTAATTCAAAACTTAAAGGTTATGTATACAACAAGGTAAAAGGAACCAGGAATAAAAAAGACGTAAAGAAAGTTATAAAAATAAAGAGGCTTTTTTTTTTGAGGTGAAAAACTTAAAGAGAAATAATTTTATATAAGAAAGAATCTTGTATGGTAAATTTAGTCCTAAAATAAAATCACTGATTTTTTAAAAAGGAGGGATGTTCAGAATAAATCAGAAAGTCCAACCCTGTCATGAGCAGTCAGTGTAAGTCACAATAAGAGGATTTACACTTTAAAAAAAATTCACACAATCAAGTTGTCATATGAAGTTTTGGTTTGCTTAGGGAAAAAAACTGAGATAAATTTTTTTTTAAATTAAGGTTATTACATTATTACATCCATGTATCTTCCTGTATGTGCTTTTAAAGTTCTTGTAACATTGAGTTACAGGGCTCTAACTCCTGGGTCTAAAAAGGACACCAAGTCCTGCTAAATCTTAAACACTGATAGCAATTGAAGGCTCATCTTCAGGCCCGATAGAAGATGTCAATCAAAATAAACTGCATTCCTGAGACACAGGGCAAGAAATTAAAGCTATTCAACTCCTCAAGGCCCAGGGACTGTCTCCAAACAGGTGGGTGTGTAAGATTATAAGATTGTAAGGTGGGCCAATTTTGAAAGATAAAATAAGTGCAGTTCCTCTATAAACTAATTATTAATGTTAAAGGCAAACTGATGCAAAACCAGTATATGGACCCCTGTGTCAGATTAACAAGGTTTTCTTGAAGCATTAACCAACTTCTTAATAAAGATTATAAAGGTTACAAAAGGCTTACGGAAGTTATATTTTATAATCAAGATTAAATTTTATAAATTGTTTATAAAAGTTTGAAAGCAAACGTAATTGACTTCATGCTGTTTCTATTAGGGCTTCCTTGTTTAGAAAATTAAGTCTTCTCTCTCAAAGAATGAAGGTTTTCACTTTTTGAAATGCTTGAATTATCACTTAAATAAATGACTTTACAATGACCTGTAATCCTATTTTGTAGTATCAAGTGTTTTAAACCTTTTATATTTGACAAACTTTCCAAAATCAAATTATAAATTATGTCTTTTTCTAATCTAATCTTTTAAGACATTAGGTTCCCTAAAGTCCAAAAATGACATAATTTAGCTTATTTGGTATAAAAATTATACAGGAAGCATTGTCAAATATGAAATGGTATTTGGTTTCTTTGGGATATATTTGTATAAATGTGTTATTGGTGTGTATTCCAAAATTATGGAAAACTCCTGTAATTCTGATGTACCTTAGTGTACATTATCAGTAATAATCATAATTGTCATTTTAAAATTATTGCGTGCCACAGAGGTAACAAATTTCCTTGTCAATTGTTTCTTTTAACTATGGCTGCCTTAAAACTTTTTTTCATCCACAAAAAGCTGTCTTGTTTTATCTTGTTTGAAACTTTCTCTAAAAGGTGGGTTTATAATCAGCTGTAGGACTCTAACAGGTGCACTTAAATGCAGGTTTTCTGATAACTTTGGAAATTGTGACATTGGAATAAAGGAAAAAACTTTCAGAACTCTCATGCAGAGCTGAAATGTTCATGGCTATCAAACGTAACAGGAGTTAACTGAATTAACTGAAGCAACAAAAAACTGAAGTAATCTTTTTGACTTTTTGCTTCAAATGTTGCTGATACTTTGTTTTGTTTTACAGAGTTAAGAAAACCTTTAAGCTATTTACGGCTTTTAACAATTGAGTAAAGAACACTCCTGTGAACAAAATTTGGAGCATATTTGTTTCTCTCTACCTAACTTCTCCAGAATTTGGAAACTATTTGTGAGTAGTCTCAATTCATGGCAATAGAGTTATTTGCATAAGTACAATAAGAATCAGTTTTCTTTTGTAATAGGGCACAGTTGGATACACTGGTTATTTTACCAAGGCTTTGACTGGAATGGTGTGCTTTCCTTTAAGGAATCAAACTTGACTTATGGAGCCAATAAAGCCCTTGGAACAAATGGCCTCATATTTTGTGTACACAGTCCATGTATAGGGTTTCTGAGGTAAGTAAAGAATGTCACTTTCTGACACGTGCAGAAGCCCCAGGTTTATCTTGGACCCTCCAGAGGAGAGGAAATTCACCCAACTCATAGGTATTTGATGGTACAAATTCATGGCTGGGCTCAGCTTTAAGAAGTTGTATCTGAGATTCCTGCTATGGAACAAAGTTCCATCAAAGCCCATTTAAAAGCCTATGTAAAAACTAATTACCCTTGCTGCACTGTATACAAATAATTAGGCCAAGTATAATAAAGCAAACCAGTCCTACCATGATTTGTCTTCAGTGAAAATGGGAAACTGCAGAGAGAAAAATTATGTTTCAAGTAGACCTGTTGTTAGATTCTGGTCTGCCTAGTATCTTTTTCAATTTTTATTATTTTCTACAGTTTGGGACTGAATTCTAATTTTTCCTGATTAAAAGTCTTCGAAATAATGTTTTCAAATTTTTTCCCTTCTTTTTTCCATTTTTCCTAATTTGGAGTCACTGAAAACTAAGTTGTGCTTTCTTAAAACCCTGTGTACCGAAGCCAGACAACTTAAATAAACTTCAGAAGAAAATAACAGCAACCTGTTTACGTACATAAGCCACTTTCATACCTGCCTACTAATGTATGGACTTCAGAGTAATGTGGCCTATATGGATTTTTCCAGGATTGTTCTTTTGTTCATTGTTTTTTTCTCTCCCTTCCTCCCCACTGTTTTCTGTTCACAGGATATGGGACTTCACAACCTCCTAAAAATTAGCTTTTGGGACCTACCCATCTAGGAATAAACCCTTCTAGCTATGAGAGATCAGATGAAACTTGAGACCAGAGACTCTTCTCTTGTAAAATGCTTTCTCCAAAAGATTAAAAAAACAGAAAAGTGGGGAAATGTGAAAGGAAAATGTCTTTAGCCCTCACAATCACTGAGGAAAACTCAAGCTGGGAACTGCTTAGGGCAAACCTGCCTCCCATTCTAGTCAAAGTCACTCCTCTGCTCACTGAGATAGATGCATATCTGATTGCCTCCTTTGGAGATGCTAATCACAAACTCAGAAGAATGTAACCATTTGTGTATCACCTATCTGTGACCTGGAAGCTCCCTCTCAGCTTCCGGTCTTCCTGCCTTTGCTTCAAGTTGTCCCACCTTTCCAGACTGAACCATTGTACTTCTTACATATACTGATTGATGTCCCACGTCTCACGTCTCCCTAAATGTCTAAAACCAAGCTGTGCCCGGACCACCTTCAGCACATGTCGTCAGGACTTCCTGAGGCTCTGTCACGGGCACGTCCTCAACCTTGGCAAAATAAACTTTCCAAATTAACTAAGACCTGTCTCAGATTTTCTGGGTTCACAGGTTCTTTGAAAAGAAAAGGGAGTGCAGATAAGTCTAATCCACCATGGGGGGCATGCAGACATTGCAACTGTACTTTCTGACTGACAGGGGGTATCTTGGTGACCACTGGAATACCTGGCTGGAGAGGCAGGTATTGCTGAGTATTCACCAGACTCCATTTTCTTCTCCTTCTGAACATACAAAGGCTTTATTTCCCACCCTTCACTTGCAGGTATAGGGGACTAAATTCTGGCCAATCGGAAGTGGGTGGCCCCCAGGAGTGGGCCCCACCATCCTTACCTTCCTTCCACTGGATACAGATATCCAACAAGGGATTCCAAAGCCCAAAGATCTCCTTATTTCAAGTGTGATCCCCAGAAGTGCAGCACTGGTACCATCTAGTTCATCAGCAATAGTGCTACCATTCTAGAAATACAGATGCTTAGCCCCAAGTCCCACTCCGAAATTACTGAATCAGAGCCCTCATGTTAACATGATCCCCAGGAGACTTGTAAATACCTTATTGTCTGTGAGGCTCTGCCCTTAGGGGATGGTGAAGCCAATAACCACACTCTATCAAGCCCTCCCACTGGCCTTGGAGAGTCATATGAGAAAAAATAAATTTTGACTACGCTAAGCCACTGACAATACGGGGTTGTGTGTCACAGGAGTTAGGCCTCCCTAATCAATGGCCCATTTGTGGGGTTCATTTGTTTCTGGTTTTCATTCTCATCACTGATACCACATTTCATTAGAGAGCCTCTCATTTTGCTTTTTATCTCTATTACTGTCTATCCCAAACACAAGCTTATATGGGAATTATACTTTGAAGATAAATACCTACGGAAACACTGTTTGGCTGCTGCATTTTTGTCACAGCTTTCATCTGTAAAAGCAGTCTGATCAAACAAATGCTAACTATATTTTTTCTGAGATTTTTATGTCAAGTCCTATATTTGAGAAATGGCTGCTATTCAGCCCCTCCAGGCTAAACCTTTGATTCCTGATTTATACTTTCTGAGAATCAATGATATTACTATTTTATCATATATTTTTCTCAAAGGTAGACCCAAATCCTTGCAAAACAAAGAAGATAATAAAAAATATTTATCTATGGCAACTTTGAGCAGGTTTGGAGTAAGGCAGCTTCAGGGGCAAGTAGAAAATGCATACATTATTTATATTAGCAGAATCTTACTCTGGAAAAACTACAGTGACTGTTAGAATTTTCATCAGTTATTCTTTTTACCAAATAACACAATCAGTGCTACTAACATAGTGTGTTATTAGTTCAAGGTGAGACAGGAGTAGATTCTGGCTCACTCATTTGTTCCTTTTATTCATTTATTAAACCTTCAACAAACATGTATGAATGCTTGCCATGTACAACATCTTAGCTTGGCGCTATGAGGATTACAAAGACAGTCCCTACCACAGAGGAACTTACAGATGTAAGAGAAATAGATGTGAAAAAATAACTATAATAGAAGGCAGATTGGAACAATTATTACAGCAGAGAACAAATCATAAGAGAGGAGACCAATTCCAACTGGAATCAGAAAAAGATTCATGGAGGAAGTGGCGTTTGAACTAAGTTTTAAAGAGCAGACAAGAATTTTTCATTGATTTTTTAATTGACCAGAGAAGAATTTTGATGAGTCCTGGAAAAGTAGGAAGTGAGGAGCTATTGAAGGATCCACAAGAGTGAAATCATTGAGAGGTCAAAGGGTAAAGTGCATTCAGAAAATATGGAGTGGGCACTGCAACACACTCCTGTCTTTTTCACTCCAAAGACTGTGTTCTTCCCCTATAACTTTTTGACCTCAAATCTGATCATGCTTTTGATGAGTGGCAGTTATTTCCATGAAAGGGACAAAGCTAACAACTTAAATATTTTAGCAAAGAAGTAAAGGTATAATAATTGCTACCATTATATGTAGTCTCAATTCTAAGCATATGATTGGAAGTGGCAAGGTACAGGAAGAATTTTTACATCTCAAACCTATGAGATGTAAAATTATATTTAAAGGAAAAATGTCATATCCTGAAGGCTACCTTCATGAACCCATAGGAGCTCTCCAATTCCAGTCTGCGAAACACTAACTTATTATATGAAAATGCCTTCGAGGCAATCCCATTTACAATAGCTGCCAAAAAAAAAAACCCTATGAAAATATTTAACCAAGGAGGTGAAAGACCTCTAAAAAAAATTACGAAACACTGATGAAAGAAATTGCAGATGACACAAAATGGAAAAACATCCCATGCTCATGGATCAGAAGAAGAATGAATATCTTTGAAATGACCATACTGCCCAAAGAAATCTATAGATTCAATACAATCCCTATCAAAATACCAGTGTCATTCACAGAATTAGAAAAAACAATCCTAAAATTCATATGTAACCAAAAAAGAACCTGAGTAGCCCAGACAATCCTGAGCAAAAATAACAAAGCTGGAGGCACCACATTACCTTCAGGCCTCTGAGCCCAAGCTAAGCCAACGTATCCCCTGAGACCTGCACGTATATGTCCAGATGGCCTGAAGCAAGTGAAGAATCACAAAAGAAGTGAAAATGGCCGGTTCCTGCCTTAACCGATGACATTCCACCATTGTGATTTGTTCCTGCCCCACCTTAACTGAGAGATTAACCTTGTGAAATTCCTTCTCCTAGCTCAGAAGCTCCCCCACGGAGCACCTTGTGACCCCCGCCCCTGCCCACAAGAGAACAACCCCCTTTGACTGTAATTTTCCACTACCCACCCAAATCCTATAAAATGGCCCCACCCCTATCTCTCTTCACTGACTCTCTTTTCGAACTTAGCCCACCTGCACCCAGGTGAAATCAACAGCTTTGTTGCTCACACAAAGCCTGTTTGGTGGTCTCTTCACACGGACACACATGACACAATTACTTGACCTCAAATTATACTACAAGGCTATAGTAAGCAAAATAGCATGGTACTGGTATAAAAATAGACACATGGATCAATGGAACAGAATAGAGAACTTAGAAATAAAGCCACATAGCTATAGCCAACTGATTTCTGACAAAGTCAACAAGAACATACACCATGGAAAGGACACCCTTTTCAACAAACAGTGCTGGCAACTTTGGATTGCCATATGCAGAAGAATGAAAATGGGATCCCTCTCTTTCACTAAATACAAAAATCAACTCAAGATATAGTTAAAGACTTAAGTGTAAGACCTGAAACTATGAAAATCCTAGAAGTAAATCTAGGGAAAATTCTTCTGGACACTGGTCTAGGCAAAGAATTTATGACTAAGACGTCAGAAGCACAAGCAACAAAAACAAAAAATAGATAAATGGGACTTAATTAAATTAAAAAGCTCTGCAAAGCAAAATAAATAATCAATAGAGTGAACAGAAAACCTATAGAATAGGAGAAAATATCTGCCAACTATGCATCCAACAAAGGACTAATACCCAGAATTTACAGGGAACTCAAACAACTCAACAACAACACAAAACAAATAATCCCATTAAAAAGTGAGCAAAGGACATGGACATTTTTCAAACGAAGACACACGAATGGCCAACAAGCATATGAAAAAATGCTCAGCGTCACTAATCATCAGCGAAGTGCAAACTAAAACCACTATGAGATGTCATCTTAACACTAGTCAGGATGGCCATTATTGAAAAGATTAAAACATAATAAATGTCGGTGAGGATACAGAGAAAAGGGAATGCTTATACACGTTGGTAGGAATGTAAATTAGTACAACCCCTATGGATAACAGTATGGAGATTTCTCAAAGAACTAAAAATAGATCTACCATTTTTGATCCAGCAATCCCACTACTGGGTATCTACCCAAAGGAAAATAAATTGCTATATCAAAAAGATATCTGCATTTGTATGTTTATCACAGCCCTATTCACAATAGCAAAGACATGGAACGAACGTACATATCCATCAATGGAAGATTAGAAAATGTGGTTTATATACACACACACACACAATGGAATACTGTTCAGTCATAAAAAAAGAATGAAATCAGATTTTTGCAGCAACATAGATGGAACTGGAAGCTATAATTTTAAGTGAAATAATTCAAATACAGAATGTCAAATACTGCATATTCTCACTTATAAGTGGGAGCTAAATAATGTGGAGATGCGGACATAGAGAGTGGAGTGATAGGTGTTGGCAACTTGGAAGTGTGGGAGGGGGTAAATGATGAGAAATTGCTTAATGAGTACAATGTACATTATTTGGGTTGGGGTTACAATAAAAACCCAGACATCAGCACTACACAATATATCCAGGTAACAAAATTGCACTTGTACCCCTTATTTTTTTATAAATAAAAAAAGCAAAGGAAATGCTTTCTAGGGTGAATTTTTCACTGCAAAAGTTTTGTATTTAGATAATTATAAAACTAAAATCACAAAATTAAATATATTCTCACAGAGCATTTGGATTCTAAAGAACATGTTCACAGGCTGCAGCTTGAGAAACACTGGAAAGAATATTCAACTTCTGCTCCTAGTCTGTCATTAATTAGCTGTGTGGCTCCTGGGAAACTGCTTAACGTCTAAGGACCCAGGCTCCGGCCTTCTTTCTGCCACTGTCATGTACAAATAATAATGATGCTATGTCATAAGGTCGTAATGAGAACTGAATAAGATACACATGAACACTGACAGCAATAACTGGCATTTGTTAAGTGCAAAATAAATGCTGGTTATCATTACTGTTGTTGCTCTTGTGGGAAGACTTCTGAGGTCCCTTGTGGCTTTAAAATTCTGCATATTTTGAGTCATTGTCTTCACCGAAAACTAAGTGGATTAGTCAGAGACTCCTGAAATTCTAGGACTGGAGACAACAATGCAGCCTGGAGAGAAAAACATGACCTTGGCATTTTCCAAGCAAAGATGAAGTGTTGCAATGGAAGTCTGGCCTCCACTCAGCACATTCTTTGCAAAATGACCACAAATACATTAGTGATGGTTTGAACCTGTTTTTTCTCTTTGAAAATGAAAGCTATCCAATGGAATAGTACCTAAGGAAGGATCTGAATTCATGACAAACCTTTACCCAAAAATCTATCCAAAGATGGAAAAGGAACGTCTTTGAAAAGACTCTTATGTACCAAGATCACATTGCTTCAACTTTTACATTACCAGAATTTCTCTAACAATGTCTTGGTTCTAGAAGATTAAAGGCTACTCTGATAACATATCAGATCAGGCATTGATTTCTAGCAAAATACTTCAGCTTGGTGGGCCTCAGTTTTCTCAACTGTGGAATGGGTAGAATAGTAATCAACTTGCCACCAAGTGACATGCATCAAATGCTTTGTGGCTTTTGGCTGAAAGAAGCCACAACAAAGTTGGTTATTTATTAAGTACACTATGTGTTCTAATAATAAAGAAACCTCTGGGGCAATGAGACGAGAGCAGCTTTCCTGTCAAAAGGCTTCTCTGACATTTGCACATAGCCCGTGGCTCCTAGCACGTGTTGCTCAGGTGCCTATTGATTATTCTCATTACACTTCGCAGACAGGAAGGAACATGTTGGAACGCAGAGAATCTGGACTGAAGCGGAAGCTTCATGTTTGCCTTTGATTTGCTGCATTTGGAAAAGCGATTTCAGATCCCATGTATTTCTTTTTATTATTTGTCAAACAATTTCCCACATGCTAAGGACCATGGCTTTCTGCTGCCCACGGCTGATGCATGTCATACAGTCTATGCTGCCGAGTCTCAATCTCCCGGACACACTGAGCTGTCTCAAATACGCAGTCCCCCCAGATGATGACAAGCAGAGACTGCCAGTGACGAAGCCTGCTTCTCCCCACTCTGTAGAAGCACAGCTGCAGTCCCACATGTCCCATCATGCCATCTGCTCTGAAATACACCTCCTGAGCCGTTGAATATCGCGTCTGGCCACTAATTAGCACGATAGTCCCCGTGTGTGCAGATGTTGAAGGGTCAGGAAAAAAAACTCCCCATATTTTAGTAGACTTTCCCCACAGATCACTGTGTTTTAGAGATATAACTTCATAAAAATAGAGATGTTAGAACTATAAGAGATCTCAAAAAAATGATATAGCATTCCACTTAGTGAGATGCCCTTGTCACCATTTTACAGATGACATAACTGAGGCCCCAGCTCATATAGCTGCGTTGTATAAAAGGGAAGGACCAGTGGCTTCAGTTCTGCTTGCACACGCACAGATTCATTTACTTCATTTGGTTTCACTCATAGTAAATCTGATTTTGTTTAATAACAAACCATGTTGCTAAGACTTTCTACACTGTTTTAAATCTGATTTCTTCATACCTTTTCTATACAGCTTGTTATAAGCTGTTTCACTACGAAGTTCCTGGATCCTAGGGTGAAAGCCAGTCCCATACGGTTGGCCATGTGCAGACAGGGCCTACTGAGTGTCCCACAGTGAGCTGGTGTTAAGGGTTAATGATAATGAGCAGCGACTGGGGAGCTGTTGGAAACCCACGGCACCATCCGAAGTCCAGTGTGGCTGCCCAGCTTGGAGAGTGCTTGTATGCGGGGAAAGTCTTTTTTCCAGTTTCCCAAGATTTTTATCAAAGTCAAGAAAGACTAATCAACATGCTCTCAGTAAAACACAATGGTCATGAACATTGGGGAGGGAAACACCAGGCAAAGTCAATCACCGTTCTTTCCACACCTACCTTGTGATTCCGCCCGTGCTTATCCAACAGGGAGATGATCGACTTGATGTGGCCCTCCGCTATCAGATTTAAGGCTTCTGGGCTTTCAGTTAAGATGCAGTGCAAAACTTCCAAGATACCTACATGAATGCCACAAACATCAAATTTGGACATTAAATGCCCTGCAGAAGTGACCACAATTTAGAAACCTGAGTATGAACAGTCCTTCCTGAGGGGACAGGATATCGTCAATTCTTTGAATCTATCAAATCTTTCCAGCCAGAAAAAAAATGCATCATTTCCGGTAGACTTCAGAGCCCCCTGGGGGCCAACCAGTCTGTAATTTACTGGTGATTTTAATTCGGCACAAACCCTATCTCCCGCTTCCTGGACAAAGACATGATCTTTGTGTGTCAAAATACAGAGAAGCAGCTATAAAATAAAATTTTTCATTTGATCAAACCACATAATACTTCATTTAAAAATAGATACAAGAGAAGACGTCCAGTTTACTATAAATTCTAAAGGTCATTCAAGTAATTTGGAAAATATTCTGAGTTTCTCCCAAATAAGAATTTTTCTAGGAACTACCCTAGAAATTATTTTTATTTTAGGTCTACTCATGTATCAAACAAATTGTAAGCTCACACAATAAAGTCTATTTGGCTTTTCCCCCTTTTTTTTGGCACACTGGATAGGTTATATAAGTGAAGGCTTAAGAAAAACTAGTGCCTCTGCAGCCTGGCACATACACGGTAATATCATGATTGAAATTCAAGGGAAGTAGCTGGCTAATAGCTTAATTAGTTTTATTAGGAAAATTTCTTTTGATTCTGTTTTTTTCTCAATGTTTTCATAAGTTAGCCTGAAATGTAATCTAGCCCATGAGACCGAGGCACTGAAGAAAAAAGAGGCTTAGGAAGACGTGTGTAGGTGGATGATCCTTGGGGGAACCTCTCTTGGCCGGTCTGTTAAAGCACCTGTCATTTCTACACTGCGAGAAAAGCATCAAAACCCTTCAGCTTCCCCTTGAGGGGCGTATACCTGCCATGTTTACTCATCTCGGAGGAAGCAAACTGCTAAGCCCTGCAGCATGGTCACTTCCCAATGATGACCACACTCTTGGCTCAGATTCTCCGTAAGTCATGAGGGAGGACTATAGATATGATGTGAAGGGTGAGTCACGGGAGAGAGGGTGAGTGGGGATCATTTTTCCTCTCATCCCTGTCATTCTTCACTCCCGCTTTTAGACCGTAAGAAATAGTTTGGGCACCATTGAAAAGGGTTTAAAAACCCAGAGAATAAGAATATAATGGGAGTTAGAAGGAGACCAGGATCACTGGGTGGGTGAGGTGGGGGTGGGGGGTGATTAATGGACCCGAGGATTAAAAATGAAGGCACGGAATAACAATGAAGGCACAGAGTAAAAAATTTAAAAAGGAAGGATTGTTGAAGTCTGGGTTAGAGTTGTTAAATAAAGTCGTACAGGTGCCAGGAAGCTTGAAGACTATTTCTTTTTAATTTTGAAGTATGATTTGAGGATTGTTTGCAATCCATTGGAAAAGATTCAACTTTGTTTTCTTTTTTTACAGAAAGAAAAAAAAAACCCTTCATCTTTTCTAGTTATAGTTTCCTGTCAATTCTCACCTGAGGAAGATTCTAGTCTGTCCAATTTACTGATGAGCCAATCAAGGTTATTGGAGAATTGAGCGCAATTGTTTCTGTTTCCGCGAATGAGAGCAGCTGCAAACAAGGAGATGTTTGATCATAGAGGTTAAAGGATATAATGATGGGCGTGAGAACTTGGAAAGCTGTCGAATATTTCACTTGCTTAGCAACTAAAAGGAACTGAATGCCAATCTCACCCTATCTAGCCCTTTGACACAATTCTTTCTTTTTTTTTCTTTTTTTAAGTGACAGTCTCACCCAGTCACCCAGGCTGGAGTGTAGTGGCTCATTGCAGCCTCAAACTCCTGGGCTTAAGTGATCCTCTCGCCTCAGCCTCCAGAGTAGCTGAGACTACAGGCATGCACCACCATGCCCAGCTAATTTTTAAGTTTTTTTTGTTTGTTTGTTTGTTTTTTGAGATGGAGTTTTCACTCTTGTTGCCCAGGCTGGAGTACAGTGGTGCAATCTCGGCTCACTGCAACCTCCACCTCCTGGGTTCAAGTGATTCTCCTGCCTCAGCCTCCCAAGTAGCTGGGATTACAGGCATGCACCACCACACCCAGCTAATTTTTGTATTTTTAGTAGAGACAGGGCTTCACCATGTTGGCCAGGCTGGTCTCGAACTCCTGACCTCAAGTGATCCACCTGCCTCAGCCTCCCAAAGTGCTGGGATTACAGGAGCGAGCTACCATGCCTGGCGTAAATATTTTTTATTGAGATGGGGTCTCACTATGTTGCCCAAGCTGGTCTTGAACTCTTGGCGTCAATTGATCCTCCTCACCTCAGCCTCCCAAACTGGTGGGATTACAGGTGTGAACCACCACACCCAACCTCTTTCTATACTTAGAAAAATAAAAATCTAGTATTGACTCACTTTACAAGTATTTCCAGAGAGTCTGCTATGTACCAAACACCGGTCCAGTTGTTCAGACTAGAGCAATGAGAAAGGGAGGGAGATTCCCTGCCTTCATCAAGTAGGCAATGGAGACAATAAATGCATAAGGTAATGAAATTACTTCAGATAGTGATAAGCAAGAATTTAATATTGGCTTGGTTACTGACTTAAGAACTCAACTTCTTGCAATGTTTTCTTAAATTTAGCTACAGATTTATTAATCTTCAGCGCTAAAGGAAGGCATCCCAGTGAACACAGCTGGAAAGGTTGGCTATACACTAATGGATGAATAATAGCAACATGTAACTATAAAATATCTAAAATATATCCCTATTTGACAGTGGTTCTTGAGTCATGGTCCCTGGATCAGCATCACCTAAGAATTTGTTAAAAACTCAAATTCTCAGGCCTCATCCAGCTTTACTGATTTAGAAACTCTGGGGGTGGGCCTCGGCATCTGTATTGTAACCAGCTCTCCAGCTGATCCTGATGTCTGTTCCTACTTGAAAGCCACTGGCAGATGATACTGCAGAGAGAGGGAGAAAATATGCTGTCATTTGAGTTTTACCAATCTACACCAAATAACCTTCTCTCCACAGGGCAAAAAGAGTAGACGCAAATCTGGAACAAGTCCATGTAAATTGATTCGCCCCCAAGTAGCTTGCCCTTCACATGATAGGTTTGAATTGGAATTTCACTGAGGCTGATACATGGCAAATTTAGGATAAAGAAAGGCCTCCTCTAGGGCCTCAGCTTTGCATCTTCAGTCAGTAAAGGACACAATTCAAGTCTGAGCTCCTAACCTCCTTTTCAGATCAGTTGCAGCAAGGAAGTTAAGCATAAGAGTCCTGGAGTTAGACTGCTGGGTCTCAAGCCATAGCTCCATCAGTTACTAGATGTGTAACCTTGGGTTATGAGCATCTATGTACGTCAGTTTCATCATCAGTGAAATGACAGTAATAATAATAACTGACCCTTAAAGTGTTGCTCTGGAGTTCAAAAGCGATATTTCACCGCTCACAAAGAGATCAATAATTGTTAGGTATTATTGTTAAAATCATGCCTACTGGGTCAATACAAAACACTAGAGTTTGAAGACACTTTACAGGGTCATACAGTGGCAATTGATCAGTACTGTGGTAATCCAATCAGCCTCAACCCTAAGCTGGGGAATAGGTCCGGACTGATTTCTCTGGGCTCCATTCTGGCCTAGTGAACTTTCTATGATAGATTTCCTCTCAGTGGGACACACACTTCAGAGCAAAGCCCTAAAGTACTAGCTTATCACAGTGTCTGAGCAACTCCTGGTGGCCGCCTTCTTGCACAGGCTCATACTGTCTTCTCTCTGCCTCCCACCCATAGGCGGGTGGCCTAGGCCTATTGGATGGAACCTGTTGTAGCAGGCATCAGAACTTCACTACACACTCCATATTGTGAGAAGATAAGCTTGTTGCTGGAATATTCTTACTTCCCACCTTTTTCTTTTCACCAAAATGAAATAAATTACAGGCCAAAGCAGTGAGAATCATGACTAACAAGTGGACAAGTGAGAGGGCACAGATTTAAAAGAATAACAATTCTTAAAGTACAGGTGATATCTTTGCAGAAGTTTAAAACTGGAAGACATCATAAATGTGTTCTAGTCTCGTTTCCTCATGAAAGGTAAGGAATAGAGGTTGAGGGAGTGTAGGTGTCTGTCAAACAGTTTCCCAGGTAGTTACAGGGAAACTGATTATCATCTGCTTCCACTGGCTGCTACTAGTTAACAGAATGAACAGCTGGGTTAAAATTGAATGGTTAACAAAAGACTTCTAAGGAATGAGGCAGTCCAAGTATCACAGGGTTAATGGCAAGTTAAAGACAATCTTGGGATTGCACGTGGAAATCCCATGGAAATCATCCCAGGGAGAAGGCACTGTATGTGTACTTACCCAGCAATTTGTAGAGGAGGTTCAGAATTTCTTTCCAGGCCATGCCACTCTCTTCCCTTGCAATCCCTGCAAAGTGTGCTACGCTATTGTAGACATTTAAGCGGTCAATGCAATTTAAGACAAGGGCCAACATTCCCTGAGAAGGAGAGTGGAGGAAAATGTAAACATTGCTGATTAAGAAAGCACAGTCCCTTATGCTCTTTCCCCTCCTGTATCATTCACCTTTTAAAGCTGAAAATGCCAATATGCAAATAGACCTTCATGGTGCCAGTTGGGTTTGTTTTTTTTCCCTCCTAAAAACAAAATATGTATTTTTATGCCTGAGAGACCTAAATAGCATCCATTTGGAGAGTGAGTCAGCAGCCTCCTCTGACGGGTTGCCCCCACGTGCTTAACTCAATCCAAGGACATACTTAGGAAGAGGGAGGGTGAATGAGTTTCACAAAAACCTGCTTTCAGTCTGGTGTGAAGTGGTTCTGACTCACCCAGAAACAGCTCTGGATATAGTACCTATTTTTCTCTTAAATATCAAGTAAGTTCAAGTTCCATTCAGATGCACAAAACAGCCATGCTTGCTTCCTACCTCCCCACCCCCCCGGCCCCCTGCAAAAAAAGGGGATTTAGAGACAATAGCAGTACAAGAGGATCTTCAACCACTTTTCTAGCTAATTTGAAATACTATGCCACCCAGTAAAAATCTGTGCTAGCTGTTCTTAGCGCATGGGAGGGAGATGGTAAATGGAATTTCAGTAGCCTTTAAGTCATAGAGAATGCCCCTGAGGCCAAAGTCTGGTTAGATCAGAAGACTGAGCTGGGATGGTTTACATCCCACACCACTAACTTTGGAAATGCCCAAGGGACAAGCCCTGTGCCCAGGCATGGCAGGCCCAGAAGTACAACCATGGCCTGTTGGCACTAAATCATCACATCTCCGAGTCTGGAAAAGGCTTGTGGCTTGTCTGTGGTCACACACAGCTGGAGATGGAACCAGAATGAGGTCCTGGGTGTCTTAAGCCCCAAGCTGATATTTTCCTCATGGTCAGGCCCCACTCCCAGTGACTCAGATGCTCAATTCTGACATAAGACAGCGTCTTCTGTGTCTTTTAAACCAGCTTCTCAGGTATTCTCAATGTGGTAGAATCCAGGCATCTGCATTTTTCAAACAGGTTTCCCAGGTAATTCTAACGTTTCCCAAAACTTGGGAATCACAGCCAATGTCATGCTCTCACAGCTGAAATTTACTGAAAATGTATATTTGATACACATGTGGCACTGAAGCTTTAAAATGTAATCTGGTTTGAACGTGCCAGCCATTGCTAATGTAACCAGGTTTGGTGGACAGGGAAGGTTGGCTTCCAATTTCCCAGCTTCCAAATCTCTCTTGTCCTCTGGCTCTCTCATAAACACGTGCATGCAGAAAGACAAAGCTAAGTTGTAGTCACAGGGATATTCTAGCTCTGGACACTAAGTGAATTTCAACTTTTCATTTTTCGACTTACCTCTTCCTTGAAAAGATTTTGTCTGTTTTTGAGTGAGCGGAGCTTGTTCTGCTTGTCTTCATGTCGCATCTCCTCCTCTGGGGGCTGGAAGTAGGCGATCAAGTCCTGTAGGGTCTGCAGGACTTCTTCTATAGGCAGGGTGATGGGGGCAGCTGTGCGATTGTTTCCGCTAAAAACCATGAGATTGACATGGTTTAGGCACTGGCCAGCAGCAGGGCCCTGATGAACACCCACTGGGTC